>NC_000002.12:231732042-232035072 GCF_000001405.40 Homo sapiens | reverse complement strand
AAAAAGACACTGTCAATAACAGACAATAATCAACAAGACAAAAAATTAACAAGGATATTCAGGACTTGAACTCAGCTCTGGATCAAGAGGACCTAATAGTCATTTACAGAACTCTCCACCCCAAATCAACAAAATATACATTCTTCTCAGTACCACATCACACTTATTCTAAAACTGACCACATAATTGGAAGTAAAACACTTCTCAGCAAATGCAAAACAATGGAAATCTTAACAAATAGTCTCTCAGACCACAGTACAATCAAATTAGAATTCAGGATTAATAAACTCACTCAAAACCCACAACTACATGGAAACTGAACAACCTGCTCCTGAATGACTACTGGGTAAATAATGAAATTAAGGCAGAAATAAATAAGTTCTTTGAAACCAATGAGAACAAAGACACAATGTACCAGAATCTCTGGGATACAGCTAAAGCAGTCTTTAGAAGGAAATTTATAGCACTAAATGCCCACAGGAGAAAGCGGGAAAAATTTAAAATCAACACCCTAACATCACAATTAAATGAACTAGAGAAGCAAGAGTAAACAAATTCAAAAGTTAGCAGAAGACAAGAAATAACTAAGATCGGAGCAGAACTGAAGGAGATAGAGACATGAAAAACCATTCAAAAAAATCAATGAGTCCAGGAGCTGGTTTTTTGAAAACATTAACAAAATAGATAGACCAGTAGACAGCCTAATGAAGAAGAAAAGAGAGAAGAATCAAATAGACGCATTAGAAAATGATAAAGGGGAGATCACCACTGATCCCACAGAAATACAAACTACCATCAGAGAATACTATAAACACCTCTACACAAATAAACTAGAAAATCTAGAAGAAATGGGTAAATTCTTCCCAAACACCCTCCCAAGACTAAACCAGGAAGAAGTCAAATCCCTGAATAGACCAATAATAAGTTCTGAAATTGAGCCAGTAATTAATAGCCTACCAACCAAAAAAAGGCCCAGGACCAGATGGATTCACAGCCGAATTCTACCAGAGGTACAAAGAGGAGCTGGTATCATTCCTTCTGAAAGTATTCCATACAACAGAAAAAGAGAGACTCCTCCCCAACTCATTTTATGAGGCCAGCATCATCCTGATACCAAAACCCAGCAGAGACACAACAAAAAAAGAAAATTTCAGGCCAACATCCCTGATGAACATCAATGTGAAAATCCTCAATAAAATACTAGCAAACCAAATCCAGCAGCACATCAAAAAGCTTATCCACCACGATCAAGTTGGCTTCATCCCTGGGATGCAAGGCTGGTTCAATATATTCAAATCAATAAATGTAATCCATCACATAAACAGAACCGATGACAAAAACCACATGATTATCTCAATAGATGCAGAAAAGGCCTTTGACAAAATTCAACACCCCTTTATGCTAAAAACACTCAATAAACTAGGTATTGGAACATAGCTCAAAATAGTAAGAGCTATTTATGACAAACCCATAGCCAATATCATACTGAATGGGCAAAAGCTGGAAGCATTTCCTTTGAAAACCGGCACAAGACAAGGATGCCCTCTCTCAGCACTCTATTCAACGTAGTACTGGAAGTTCTGGCCAGGGCAATCAGGCAAGTGAAAGAAATAAAGGGTATTCAAACAGGAAGAGAGGAAGTCAAATTATCTCTGTTTGCAGATGACATGATTGTATATTTAGAAAACCCCAATGTCTCAGCCCAAAATCTCCTTAAGTTGATAAGCAACTTCAGCAAAGTCTCAGAATACAAAATTAATGTGCAAAAATCACAAGCGTTCCTATACACCAATAATGGAGTGCCAAATCATGAGCAAACTCCCATTCACAATTGCTACAAAGAGAATAAAGTACCTACGAATACAACTTACAAGGGATCTGAAGGACCTCTTCAAGGAGAACTACAAACGACTGCTCAAGGAAAGAGAGGACACAAATGGAAAAATATTCCATGCTCATAGATAGGAAGAATCAATATTGTGAAAATGGCCATAGTGCCCAAAGTAATTTAGATTCAATGCTATTCCAAGCAAGCTACCATTGACTTTCTTCACAGAATTAGAAAAAACTTTAAATTTCATATGGAACCAAAAAAGAGCCCATATAGCCAAGACAATCCTAAGCAAAAACAATAAAGCTGGAGGCATCACGCTACCTGACTTCAAACTATACTACAAGGCTACAGTAATAAAAACAGCATGCTACTGGTACCAAAACAGATATATAGACCAATAGGACAGAATATAGGCCTCAGAAATAACACCACACATCTACAACCATCTGATCTTTGACAAACCTGACAAAAACAAGCAATGGGGAAAGGATTCCCTACTTAATAAATGGTGCTGGGAAAACTAGCTAGCCATATGTAGAAAACTAAAACTGGACCCCTTATACAAAAATTAACTCAAGATGGATTAAATGTTTATATGTAAGACCTAAAACCATAAAAACCCTAGAAGAAAACCTAGGCAATACCATTCAGGACATAAGCATGGGCAAAGACTGTATGACTAAAACACAAAAAGCAATTGCAACAAAAACCAAAATGGACAAATGGGATCTAATTAAACTAAAGAGCTTCTGCACAGCAAAAGAAACTATCATCAGAGTGAACAGGCAACCTACAGAATGGGAAAAAATTTTTGCAATCTATCCATCTGACAAAGGGATAATATCCAGAATCTACAAGGAACTTAAACAAATTTACAAGAAAACAAACCATCAAAAAGTGGGCAAAGGATATGAACAGACACTTTTCAAAAGAAGACATTTATGTGGCCAACAGACATATAAAAAAAGGTCATCAACACTGGTCATTAGAGAAATGCAAATCAAAACCACAATGAGATATTATCTCACGCCAGTTAGAATGGAGATCACTAAAAAGTCAGGAAACAACCGATGCTGGAGAGGATATGGAGAAATAGAAATGCTTTTACACTGTTGGCAGGAGTGTAAATTAGTTCAACCATTGTGGAAGACAGTGTGGTGATTCTTCAAGGATCTAGAACTAGAAATACCATTTGACCCGGCAATCCCACTACTGTGTATATACCCAAAGGATTATAAATCATTCTACTGTAAAGACATATGCACACATGCACACATATGTTTATTGTAGCACTATTCATAATAGCAAAGACTTGGAACCAACTCAAATGCCTATCAATGTTAGACTGGATAAAGAAAATGTGGCACATATACACCATGGAATACTATGCAGCCATAAAAAAGAATGAGTTTATGTCCTTTGCAGGGACATGGATGAAGCTGGAAACCATCATTCTCAGCAAACTAACACAGGAACAGAAAACCAGACACCACATGTTCTCACTCATAAGTGGGAGGTGAACAATGAGAACATATGGGCACAGTGAGGGGAACATCACATACAATGGGGCTTGTCGGTGGGTGCGGACAAGGGGAGGGATAGCATTAGAAGAAATACCTAATATAGATGATGGGTTAATGGGTGCAGCAAACCACCATGGCACATGTATACCTATGTAACAAACCTGCTCATTCGGCACATGTATCCCAGAATTTAGGGTATAATATAAAAAAAAAAAAAAAGAAACCCTGCACTTCACAGCACTAATAAAAATTACACTTAAATTTGTATAAGTGTGATCAGTATCTGTCTTTTCCTACCTGTACTCCCCATTAAACTATAAGCTCCATGAGAGCAAGAACTATGTCAATACTACTCATTACTGAATTCCCTACACCCTATGAATACCTGGCATATAGCTATAACTCAATTACTTTAGCTGTATCAGATTAAAAAGAATGTATGCCTCAACAAAGCTCTGAGATAAAATGGTACTCCTCACATCACATCTTTTTTGGAAAAGCTAGTAAGAACATTTCTTGAGCTCCTGCCATTCTAAGATTTTTAGGCAGTATTCTAAAATTTTTACATGTATTCTCATTTAATTTTCATGACAAACCTATGAAGTAGGTACCATGATTATTCCCATTTTACAGATGAGACATTTGCAGCAGAAAGGTTGTACAATTCACTCAAAGTTATAGAGATGAATGGCAGAGATGAGATTCAAATCTAAGTAGCCTAGCCTAAAAGCCCATACTTTTAGTCACTACTCTATAACACGTATTATTGAAGAAGACACCAAATTCTTCAAATAAATAAAACAAAAAAGCCAAATAAAACAAATGATATGAAGACAAATTCAGACTTAGATACATCTATAACACGTATTATTGAAGAAGACACCAAATTCTTCAAATAAATAAAACAAAAAAGCCAAATAAAACAAATGATATGAAGACAAATTCAGACTTAGATACATGTCTCCAATCCTACATGACAATTCAAAGATATTGTCACCACACATCATTCCAATGCCTGATCCTTACTTTTATTTAAAACCATCAAAACTAAAACCATATCTTCCTTTCCAATTAACAGACATAGATGGAGACCGAAACCCAAAATACTCTCATATTAAAAACATTTTCTTCTGCCACTAAATCCCTGATTTATAAAAACACAGACCAACTATTTTTATCTGCCAAGGCACCCAATCACCAAACTGGGCCAACAGAACTCCACATGTATTGCCTGGGTTTTCCACTGGAGGCAGCAGAAATGCGTGGGGACTGCCACTGTCTCCATGGCTTTGTCTTTCTAGTTCTCCCTGCATAGGATGTAGGAAAATAATACATACCAAGTTTGAATGGGCCCTCAGTATTTATTCAAAAGAATACCAAAAACCAGTGCAAGGCATGTGACAGGGAGGATGGATCACTAGAGAGAGAGCAAGGAGAACTCATTTAATTAGCAATCTGCCCAGCAGATGCTTCTAAGTTCCAAGCATTCGGTAGCATGCTTCCAAGATTACACCCCATCTTATCACAGCGCCTAAGGGGTCTGTGACTCCTCCAGTTTATGATGCCTTGTTGGTGCACCATGGAATGTGAAAGACCCTAAGAAATCTGTAATTAGAAAGGGAAAACTTAACTCACCTTCCAATGCTCCTCGGGAAGCAGTTTCACGACCACCAGATCCCCATTTAAGGCTCTATTACGAGCAACAACCCCATCAATAAAAATGTCTCGATCACCATCCTAGGTTGGAAAAAGAAATAAAACAATAGTGAGCTTAAAAACACATAAAGCAAAAAACAGATTGCCTGCTTTCATAACTGAAATAGAAAACAGCAAGTTATTCTTAGGTTATCCTTTTTCGTATTAAATAAAGCATGCTGATACCTTTTTAATACTAAATGAATTTTTTACATATCAAGAAAGTATAAAAATAGAAGGTATGCAAGAGAACAGAAGAGGAACAACATATAATCTCCCCCAAGAAAACAAACTGAGGGCAGGAGTAGCAATGGCTCTAAGATTTGGACTCTCTAGGAGGAAACCAGCAAATTCATAATGCCCCCCAAGAAAGTGGCAGAGAGACTAAATTGTGGTTGTTTTTACGGAGACCTAAGTAGAGGGCAAAGAAGAGAAGGAAAGAGATGTAATATGAGATTCATCACGTGATCTTCACACTCTACCGACCTTGCTGACTTAGGACCACCGTGAACTCCAGACAATGAACACAAGATACAGACACTTTCATCCTCACTCACTCACTCAGAAACAACCCACTTTAAATAATGTGGCTCCCCAGTGAACTCCCCAGGTGTCAACTTCTTGGCTTAAATAGGTGCCAGAGTCTTCTTAGTAAGCCAAATTACTTTGTAATTTTAAATAAACAAGATAGCCAAGGAAATGCAGGCCTTCACCAGCAGTCAGGGTTCCTGAGAAAATGAAATATTTTCAAAATGTTTCACCAACAAACATGTACTCTTATCCTTCTATTCTCTACAAGTTTATATGATGTGCTCTTTTTCAGAGAATAAGAAAGAAGTAAAACATTTTTTCTTACAGGAGGTGACAGCAAAAGAGTCTGGAACATCATCACTCAAATTTTTCTAATAGAGACACTTGACATAGATAAGATTGAACATAACACTCAATGGACTGAAGGTGATTACTATGAAATTTTGGTTAAAGTTAAAATTAGCATCCCAAAATCACCAAATCAAAAAAAGGGGGAGGGGCAGATTTTAGTCACTCAGCATTTTTTACAGCTTCCACTTACAAACCATTAGAGATCTTCTAGAATAGTTTTTCTGCTCAATTTCCAGTTTAGCTATGGGTTGACAGCTGTGGCTTGCACACTCTGCCAAAACTGACCCCACCCTAGTCCCTGAGGAAAAGCTACTGTGTTAGCCACAAAACATGACTGTAGTTGACCTCTTGACAAGCTTCTCAGAGAGATGTGGAAGAGACAGCCAGTAAACAGAGAGAGAACAACTGAAATAAGGCACATCACCATCTATTGCTGCCTTTTGCAATTCAAACAGCAATAGGATCTCTCAGACCTCCTTGGAATGAAAAATGGGCTGTTTGGAGGTCACCCTAACCCATACTCACGTGTCAAACATATGCAATGAAATGCCTCTATTATAAGCAGATACAACCACCCTTTGGCAGCGCAGAGATTTCAGATTGATGGGATGATAGTACTGTCACCTTACAATCCCAGGAAACCAAGGAAAGCAGGGCTGAGTTGAACCTCAGACAACACAAAAATCTATAGCTACTGCATCATACTCAGCTCTTCCTTGATTCATTCAGAAGACTGATCTGTCGCTGAATCTCTTACTTTAAAGACACTAAGCTTGGGAACTGCTCAATATTAAAAGTTTGAGTCATCTCTTTTAACCACTTTTTTAGGCCAAAGATTTCAGCTCTTTGTTTGAATGCCAGAAGTCTTGTTCCACCCATCAGAAAGAATAGATAATAGAAAAAAAAGAAAGAAAAATAGATAATGAACTTCCCTGGAAGAAAAATAATGGAATTGGGAGGTGGGCATGTGGTAATCAGACTAAAGACTTAGAGGACTGGGGGAAGGAGGACAACACAAATATGCCACGATGGTCACAGCATCCTTCATTGATGGAACAGTTCCCTTTGGACCAAAAATAAATTCCACCACTGTACAAAGGGTGCCTCCTATGACACGATGCATTAAAAAGTTAGAGAGCTTCTTAGATTTACATAATTCAGAATAGAAACTGTGCTTTTTAAAAATGACAGGTTTTTCCATCTGATCAATTTTCTCCTCTTTATCCTATCCCCAAATAGGATAAAAGGCATGACAATAATATCATTTTATCTTGGTTTGCTTGAAAGTCACATGATTTTACTCACATTCTGTATTTCATTTTTATTGAGAACCTCACAAAACTAGCAAGTACACATAAGTTACTCATCCTGTATAGTTTAGATGTGTCATGAAATGAAAACCAACTTTCTGTCAGTAGAAATTATAATGAACCTAAGTCAAGTTCCCCTAAAACAAAGTATTATTTTATACCTGCTGACTAATTCACTGTTCTTCACCTCTTTACCTAGGGAGATATTTTAGCATAGCAAATGACATTGTGTAAATTCACAACCATTTTTAGAGTGAGTAAGAGCAAACCTAAATAGTTTAAACAAATCTCTATTTTTGTCTCTCTAAAAACTTTAGAATGTGAGCAACATTAGACAACATTTACTCCATCCCCTCATTTTACAAATGAGGAAGCCACTGTATGTCCTACTGTCAGAGCAAAAGCCTCATCTTTCATATTCATTCCTGCCTTTATGCTCCTAGCTTAAGCCGGTAACAATTAGGCCCTGGTTCTGACATTCTACTTCCCAGTCTATCTGCAGGCATTTTTCATCCCATACATTTTATATGTCATAAAATGAAAATCAACTTTCTATCAGTAGAAGCTATAATGAACCTAAGTCAAGTTTCCAGTTCATACAAGTTCATATTTGACATGGATATGAGATATGTATACTCAGAAATCTAGACCACAGGTGGTTATGGGCTTTATGTATGAGTAATCTGTTGCCTCTATTATTGCCCTCTTCAGTTGCTTTCTATAATGCTTCTGGAAACTGAAACCCACAAAGCAAGAATGTAGGACTGTTCCCGTGTCCAAAACCAGAGTGTATACAATCACTTGCAATGGGCCTTGATTGGTAGCTCTTATGATCTATTCTTAATTACCTAGAGGTGAATTGTTTTTCTCTGAGACAATATTACGACTCAAGCAGGAGCCAAATAAAAGAATAAAAGAGGCATAGAAATAAGCCAATCCTAATATCGCAACTGTCTAAAAATTTCTAAGTATGACGTAGTAAGAATACAATTTTAAGTAAGAGAACAACTATGAGCTTTTAAAACATCACCACCTTTTGCTTTTGTGTCTTAGCTTTCTTTAACAAGCCAGGTTACACCATGGAGATACATCATTTGCAGATGTAAATTACTTGAATTTAGCTTGCAGGAACCATAGGACCTCTGCTCTGGCCCTGCTCCAGCCACAACCCTCCCCATCAGACAAGGAGTTCACAGGGCCAAATGGATGTGCTTCCCTAAAATAAGCAGCCCAAAGCCTACCTCCAGGACATATACAGGCACTTCCCCACCACCGGAGGCACCCCCTCAATGGGGGTGCCTCCACTCAATGGCAGGTATTTCTAATGGGTATGGACATAGCTTAGATACATGGGATAGGATGCCCACGTTTGGGCATGAAAGGGCCCTCACTGAATGCAAGGGAATCACAAGGGGACAGGGAGCTAGCACTGAGAAGGGAAGAGGGGCAAGCCAGAGGTGAAGCCATGTTTCAGCATGGAGCTGCAAGAAATCTGAGAATTCTACATTTGAACTCAGGTATATGAAGGTGTATTTGGCAAGGAATAGACTTTGTCTATTCCTACATGGAATATATAGAATAATATATTTTACTTGATGGTGGTTTTGATGTCTAACTTTTCAATATTTGATTTAAGGTATGTGTGCCTTCTTTTCTACTTCTGTCCTAGGTCCCACACTTGCTAGGAGCCAACCCAATAGGGATTTAACTTAGGGAAATTCTATACTGTGTTATCAGGGAAGAGAGGAAGCAGCAAAATTTTCAAAATGCTGTAGTTCCCCTTATCACACCAATCAATAAGAGCAAACTTAAGCATGCACAAGAGACAAGAGGTCTGAATATACCCAGTTCCCAGCTGTCTCTCAGGATGAACTTACTACATTGAGTGACATTTTCATGCTTAAAAATCTGTGTCTTTCATACATGAGGGCTCCTAATACAATCAAGTTCCTTCAACTGGTATATTCTTGAAGAAACAGTCATGCTTTCTTATGGGAAAAAAACATTGGTTATGCAGGACGTACTGAGAGATGGTTTATCCGTCTCCAACACAGCACCTTCCTAAGAGATTTTCTGGGTAGTTTTTATGATTCCTGGATGTAAATTTAAGCTTATGAGCAAATTCTGGAAACTAACACATATGTAAACTGCACTTCTCGTACATGTGAGAACTGTTCGTGCAGCCAAGTTACCACCTCAAAACTGACCCTCAATTCTACAACCCAATTTTACAACTCAAGTTTCAGGGTCAAGACATATGCCATTTTCTCTAACAGGAACAGAATATGACTGAGAAAGAATAATGTGAATGTCAGTGATACCTTTTATCTAATTCAATGGGTAAGACTCGAACTTGGATGCAATGTGAGTCCCTGGATTTCAGAAGGCAGGGGAAAAGGACTAAACTGAGCTTGAGAATAGGTCATAAGGTTATTGTAACAATAACAATAATATCACTTGAGCATATAAAATCTGAAATGTTCCAAAATATAAAACTCTTTGGGCACTGACATGACATTCAAAGGAAATGCTCACTGGAGCATTTTGGATTTCAGTGTAAGTATGTAATGTAAATATTCCAATATTTAAAAAAAAATTCTAAATCCAAAATACCTCTGGTCCCAAGTGTTTCAAATAAGGGGTGCTCAATCTGTAATAATGACATTTATAAAGTACATGACTGAACCTATATTCTCACTAAACTTACTGTCATTTAAAATAATAAAATATGTTAACTAAAATATATGTATCCCATTTCGTCATCTATAAGCATAAGTTTGGTCTCTTTCACTGTGAAAAATCTGTGATTCTATAGCTATTCTATTTATGGTATCCTGGAAAAGTTAGGTCAGGAATTTAAGAATATTGCTCTCCCAGCTTTGCTCAATCAAACCTTCTCTAGAGAACTGCTGCTAACTATATATCAGTGTAAACTTGATTTAAGTGGAAAGAGCCTCTTAAAATGAGTCATAAATGTAAGAAAGGGTCTAAAGACCCAACGGTAAAGAGCCTTGTACAAAGTTTTATCACCTGCACGAAAGTGAAGTGAGAAACTCTGACCCCCACCAAAAAAAAAAAGCATTACACGTTATTTTTGGACAAATGTTCAGATTAGCTCATGCAGTAGATCCAAAGTAGATAGCATATTTGTTTAGGAAAGATTAACTTAAATCGGTGGAAAAAACCATAAATCCTTTTAAGCCATAAACCAAGGGCGTCCAGTTACACGAACTGGTGGGTAGTCTGCCTGGGTCCAGCTGCTCTTTGCAGCCTTGTAACAAATGCCATCCCTTTCATTTGGCATGCGATTTTAAGACTGACAGAAGGGGTTGTTAACCAAAAGAAAATTTAGTTTATTTAAATTTGAAACAAATCTTTGCCCATCGTCAATTTTGTTTCACTACTCTGCTTTTTAGTTAGAATATATGATTTCAGTTTCGGAGCAGATCTAAAAAATTAAATGTGACATAAAGTTTATTATAAATTTATTGAACTTACCGGGGAAGGAATGAAGGCTTCATGAAACTTCTTTGGATTAATTCTCAATACACCCTTTAAAACAAAAAATAAAGTTTGTGAAAATCTAGCTATATATTTACGATTTTTCCACGTATGTTATTCTCCAATAAAAAGTTTTAAAATTAAACAGGTCACTTGAGAAAACAAGTTAGATGTATAAGAAATATTCATTAAATGCAGGAAACACAATTTATGTTGATATCTGAAATAGAGGGTTCTATCAAAAACAGAAAGCTTAGACTGGCACCTTGGTGTGAACAAGCAAAGGTAAGGAACAACAGAGCTTGGCGTAGAGTGGGAAAGTGGCAACTATTAGGATTTTAGATGCCCCTATATGCTAGTCTTCAAATTTAAACCTTGACTTTACAAACAAGATTACCTAGGGATTGTGCCTCACTATATAAAGGCCTTTTTTTTCTCCCAGTTCCAAGACCTTTCCACAATTGCTTGTTTCTGTGACAATTTTCAAAGTGGTACAGGTTGATTTCCAAGCTAGATACTGAGCCTTATGAAACTGGATGCATTATTTTTTACTCTGGCCCCTCTGCAGAGCTGAATGAGTCAATAATTCAAAATGGTCCATAACCAGCTCTTAATGCAAACTGGAATCCTGGCTCCAACAGCCAGGCCACCCAGTCTGCCTTCAACTTCATGTTATTCCAGCACCAAATCAGGGTCTGCTTCTATTTACACACAGGGGTGCAGGTGGGGGCCTCTTCAATAGCAGTTCAGTATTTCAGGCTCTTGCAGGAAGCTGTAAGGCTCCCCAGGTTCCAGCTGTAGTCTCAGGCCACTGGAACACATGGATGGAAGCAGTTATTTTTCTAACAGCCAGACTCAAAGGATATCTTGAGAAAGTGTTTTAAATAACATTTCTCCCTAAAACGTTTAAAGACTCAAAGATACATAATTAACAAAACAGGCAACGGCATAAAATAAAGCAGAAAATAATTTCCTTCTGCACTGTACCATGTTTAAATTACAAATGTCCATGCCACAGTTTACAATATCATGAACACTCAAATAGACTACTACAAATGATCATTCAGTCCTTAATTCAACAATTAATTATTGAGTATGGACTATATTCAAGACCCTGAGACACACTGATGGAGAAGATAATGATTAACTAAGCTCAATCCCTATTTTAAAGGAAAACATAAAGCAGAGGTACAGCTTACTTTCACAGCGAGGGCACCAGAAGAGGCTTCAGAGATGGTATCTGACCTAGTCCTTTACAGAAGAGCAAAATTTGCAAATAAATCAGATGAGAAGTATAGTAGAGGACACTGTGTTAGCAAAAGTGGTTAAGAGGGCACTCACTAACTCTTCTCCATTGTGCGATAACTCTGCCTAGCACAGAAGAGGGAGGGACCAGGAGATAAGGTTGGCAAAGCTCCCCAAGGCCAGTCCCTTGTTAAAGAGTGTCACAGTAAATCCACTTCTAGACAGCTGTTTCTTGTTGAGGGAAGGAGGGAAAAAACTTACATTTAACCTAAATATTCATCCACTCACTCAACAAATATTTCCTAACGAATAGCATGGCAGGCACCATGTCAAATGACGGGGTACAAGGGAGACTAACAACAGACAGTCTCTACCATCACAGAGCTTACAGTCTCGTGAGGGGAAGAGACTCCAAACAAACAAAAGTCAATTCATTGAAATTAAATGTCTAACAATTTCATTTTCTGATTCCAGATGCTTTTCTCTGGCCTAAGTTTTTTTTTCAATTCCTATTCTTCTATCATCCCTTGTCGCTCAAAGAATGGTTAGCATATGAACAAGTACAGAGATCAGAATGCCTCTAGCTTTGAAAATGCCTTTAATTGCAGGGCACTCAGACAGGCCAGGCTGGGCCCAGGGAAAAGAGACAGGTTGCTCAGGGCTGCATCCAGGCTCTATTTAAAAGAAAAGATGTTAAGAAGACCTTGAAGATTTTACCCTTGATTCTCTATCCCAAACTTCCCAATATATACAAAAGCACACAAGGAAGAATAGAAACCTGGTTCCACAACAGCATTTGCAAATTTGACTGGAGCATAACTCTGAAGAACTGGACCTCGGAAACAGAGCCCTTGAGGGAATGCAGATCACACTAAGAAAGCAGAAACTCCCACAGAGCTCCGCAGCAGACCAGAGTTGTTCCTATAGCCTGAGAGAAGCAGCTGGCATTTAAGTCTGTCAAAAACAAATGGTCATTTAACTAAAGGATACTTCCCACAGATCTCGTCTTACTCACCTACAAAAGTCCAAGGCTTTCATTTCTATAGCCATCCCCTAACCTGACCCAATTGCCCATCTCCTGTCTTCTTCCTAAAGCACTTCCCTAGGCCTGAAACTTGATCAGTGAGGATCCCATAGCCTCCATCTCTTCTCCAGATGCTCCTGATTCTTCGCCTTAATTGAAACCTGGCTGTTCCCTGAAGTGATTGCTTCTCTCGAGTGCTCTCAGAGGGAGTCTATTTTATCTCTCATAACCCATGTATCTCAGGGACCAAGGGAGGAAGGTCTCTTTGCTTCCCCATCATGACTTTAAAAGTATTTTTTCCTCCATTCTCTTTCAAAAATCCCAGATCCTTTAAAGTTCATATCATTAGCACCTCTTTGGTGCTGTCATCCTCAAATTTACAGGTGGGTCAAAGCTCCAATTCACTAACATTTTGACTAGCAGTTCACTGCCTTCCTCTCTATCCTCACTACTATATATATTTTTGGGACTTCACATCCATGTTGAAGACCAAGCAACCCTAGCCTGTCACTCTAACTACCATTTGCTCCCCTAACCCACCTACTCTCTCCCACGTTCACAGCCTGGATCCCGTCAGCACTACTAATGACACTACCTCAAAAAAAAAAAAAATTCAAATATCGCACTTTCCGATGGCAATCTTCTGTCTACTTATGGTAGAAACCCCACTTCAACAACTCTTCGATTTCACTAAGATCTCCAGCCCAAAGCTGTGACCACATTGTCACCATTCATTGTCCTCCCACTGTTTACTCCCTTCTCTAGCCACCTAATTGCCATGGCCTATCATTATCTATTAACGTTGCAAATCCTGAACAAACCTCTTACTCTGATACTCAACCAGCAAAAGACCTTGAAGATTTTACCCTTGATTCTCTACTCTCAACTAACCCCAGCTATCTGCTTTCTCCCTTCCTATACCCCAGGAGCTAAACAGTACCATAGAAAAACACCACACAACTGGGCTAAATCAGTCTAACTGGCAATCACAAACATACTGTATTTGGCTTGTTTGAGAGTCCTTAAAACTGAGGAATTTCACACATATAAAATACATATTTCCAGATATTCTTGAAAAATCATAAGATCTAACAGCTTTGGACAGGGTTCTCCAAATGACAGCAACCACCTAACCTGAATAACAGACGCTCCTCTTATAGTAATAAAAACAAAACTCAAGTGCCACTTATGCAGGCATACGACATGCCACACACTCTTTGAAGAGCTTTATATCGATCAGCTAATTTAACCCTCACAACAACCCTATGAGGTAGATACTATTATCCTTGCTTTTACAGATGAGGAAACTGAGGCACTGAGAGGTTAAGAAAATTGCCCGCTTTCACATCACATTCAAGGCCAGACAATCTGGCTCCAGACTCCATGCTCTCAACTACTGTGAACAGCCTCTCTCTCTGTTTGCCACGGTCACCACCAGGGCCTGTTCACTCATGTATGCCAGCTATCCCTCTTGCCCAAAAACTCAGCACCACATTCCAACCCTTGCTTTTCTCTGTCTTGGTTAATGGCAACATCATCCAGCCAGCTGCTCAATTCGAAAACTCAGCAAGCATCAGGGATGCCTCCCTCTGCCTCACCTTCCATATCTCATCCATCACCATGTCACATCAGTTCTAGCCCCACATCCATCCATCCATCCACTCCTCTCCATCTTTACTGCCACTTTCTTGTTCCCATCTCCATGTTTTCTGACCTGGTTTACTTTGATACCTTCCTGAGTGGCCTCTCAGCTTCCACTCTATTCATCTCACAATTCCCAGAGAGGTATGTTCAAAGCATGAAACAGATTATTTTCTTCCCCTGCTTAAGAGCCTTCAGTGACTTCCTGCTGCTCTTTGAACAAAATCCAATTCTCCAGCATAGCCTAGAGACCCTACATGACTTGGCTGCTGCCTAACTCTCCACTTGTCCCATAATATAACTCCCTTTGCTCACAATGTTCCAACAGGCTTCCTTCTCATTTCTCAGAAACACCAAGCCTTCTTCTGCTTGCTGCTGTTCTACTAGCTGAGCTATCCACCTATGTTCTTCTCCTAATTCTTCAATTGGCTGATTCATTCTCATCTCAGATAACCCACAGATCATCTCACAGAGGCTTTCCCTAACGACCCTACTAAAGAGGCTCTCTCTAATTATTCTCTCTCACCCTTCCCATTTCTTTATTAGCAATGATCAGTCTATAATTTCTTCTCTTTTTCTTTAGTTGTTTTTCCTTACCTCCCCAGTGACTTGCCTAACTTGCTCACTGGTATACGCTTGGCACTGAGTAAGAAGTCAAGAAACATTTGTTGCAGTAATTAATTAATTAATGCCTGCAGAGCTAAAGTTCTCTCATCACCCCCAGTATTAATGTTATGAATATCATCTCTCCCTTCTAAGTGGCTGGGCATTCCACTGTAACATCACATCTATTCCCCTCATCTTTAATTCATCCCCAAGTATTCTCCAGCTGATTTTACTCTTTAAAAAAAAAAAAAAAAGAGAGAGAGACAGGGTCTCACTCTGTTGCCCAGGCTGGAGCACAATGGCATGATCATGACTTACCTACCATAGCCTCCAACTCCAGGACTCAAGCGATCCTCCTGCCTCAGCCTTCCCAGTAGCTAGGAATACAGGTGCACATCACCATGCCTGGCTGATTTTTATTTTGTACAGATGAAGTCTCACTATGTTGCCCAGGCTGGTCTTAAACTTCTGGCCTCAAGCAATCTTCCCACCCTAGCCTTCTAAAGTGCTGGGATTACAGGCGTGAGCCACCACACCCTGCTTGATTTCACTCTTAACAAATGGTGAAGGTCCCAGAAACTAGTTCATCCTGACCTCTATCTTCCTGGACTAGGATTTTTCAGAGAGCCAATAACAACTTCACACCAATATTCTATTCTAAGAGGAACTCCGACATCATGACTAAGACAGCTCTGGAGGCTTAGCCTGAACTTCCTTTAGCCAAAGCATCTTTTGGGATCTGAAACAGCCAATTCTGCCATGTTCATACCCATGTCACCTTGATCATCACCCTAAACTGGAGCCCCTTCCAGGCTTGTCTATCCCCTACTCTAATCTCTCCCAACATCTCCTATAACAACCTCTCAGTACTCTACCTATGAAGAGAGAAATGAAATACATTTTTTGATGTGAGAATTTATTATTTTTTTTTAAACTTCAAAACTACATGTACATGACCATGTGTTACTGTTATTGCCATTTCAAACACTGGAAAGAGGAAACTGTGGTCTCCTCCCCACATAGGAAAAAATACTAATGAAATGTCGAAGTATTAGTTAAGGTATTGAAAACAAAATAAAAATACTCTACTCCTGTTTTTTTTTAAATCCCCCTTCAATCTCTCGATAAAAGTTTCTTCTCTGGATAGGGAGAAAAAAAAGAGGTCAAAAGAGATGAGTTTGAATACTAAAGTTAACAAAAGTTTCTAAGTATCTCTAATACACTTAATTTTCTCCATCAGCATTAAAACATCCTTTCTTGTCTGGCCTTTTACCTTACCCCGCAAGGCTTGCACACATAAAGTTTATATCAAGCAGCAGATGGACTCTGTTTCTCTGCCTATGAAAATCTTATTTACAGTGTTGTATATTTCACACGGTGACCTCATATCTGGAACCCATTCCTTTTCCCATCTGCAAAGAACAACTGTTCTCATATGTAGGGGGGAGGCCCTGGCTGCAGAGTCCCATGATGTCACAGGCCAGAAGGAATCACTTACAAACTCCTGGGAATTAGAGTTGTTATATTGATCAGATTTTTGTTTTGTTTTGTTTGAGTATCAGCAACGAGTTGCTTCAAAAGCAAAAACTAAAAGGGAGCTGAAGCTAATATCACTGCAGAACGCTGTCCTCTCCTTCGCTGTCCTCTCCTTATCTCTAGACAGGTATAATTCTATAACCAAAATTCTAGGCTAGTTTTCTTTCAAGTTCTAACAACTGAAGTTCCCCCAACTCTTCTTCAAAAGACAGTATCTGGATCCTTTATTCAGTCAGTAAGTAAGTATTTATTCAATATAAATGTATTAAGCAACAGTCAAATGCCAGGCACTGAGCTAACTTCTGGAACAAGACATGACCCTGCCATCAAGGACATGAACAGTCTATCTGGGGGAAACATAAAAGCCAAGAAATGGTGTTAAGTTTAGAATAAAGGGAAAACAAAGAAGTCAACTACAGGAAAACACTAACAGCCAACTCTACTTGGAGAATTAAAATGAGGCTTCTCAAAGTGGGTAACATTTAGGCACGGACTTAAAAGGTAAGCACCATTACATCAAGGCAGCAGGAGAAAGCATTCCAAGCACCAGGAACAGCATGCACAAAGTCACAGAGACATCAAGAAGAACAGTTTTTAGAGGAAAAGACTGGAAGGCTCAGGGTGAATGGAGGAGAGTGTTCCTGGAGGAGAGTGCAGGAGGATAAGAATGGAAAGGCACAATGGGTCCTCCTATGTGAAACAAGAGAAGGGCCAAGAAACTTACAGATAAAATGGTGTTTGGGATATGGGCTGAACAATGAAGAGCAAATGAATGGATTAATGAATGGACTAACATCCAAATGCAGCTTCATCTCTCCTAAGAGAGGCCTTGTCAAATAAATCCAGGGAAAGCTTTAAAAAAAAGAAACACCAATAGGGCTGGGTGTGGTGGCTCATGCCTGTAATCCCAGCACTTTGGGAGGCTAAGGCAGGAGGATCACTTGAGGTCAGGAGTTGAAGACCAGCCTGGCCAACATGGTGAAACCCCATCTCTACTAAAAATACAAAAATTAGCCAGGCATGATGGCATGACTAATTTTTACCTTCTGTAATCCTAGCTACTTGGGAGGCTGAGGCACAAGAATCGCTTGAATCCAGGAGGCAGAGGCTGCAGTGAGCCAAGATTGTACTGCACTCCAGCCTGGGCAACAGAGTGAGACTTTCTCAAAAAATAAATAAATAAATAATAAATTAAAACCACCAAGAGTACTCCAAGAATCAGAAAAACCAACTCATTTTTTAAAAGATAGTTTTCTTTCTTCTTTCTTGTGCACGTGTGCACTTGACCACAGATAAATACAGAAAGGTAAAGAAAGGTGAAGGAAGGAAGGAAGGGAGGGAGGGAGGGAGGGAGAGAGGGAGGGAGGGAGGGAGGGGACAAAAAGGAAGAGAAGATGACAGCATCTGTAAATTGGTTAGATCTTCAGCCAAAAACACAAATACAGAAGCTGGGCTCTCAGAATAAGAGAAAATGGAACACAGCATTTTCAAGTGAGCCAGGTAGCACATGGCAATATTTCTATACTAATGAAAGTATTATGAAATAGACTTAATTCACAGAATATGTGGCCCTGCCTCCCTCCCCAGCCTACTACCTGCCTGATAGTTTATGCCCAAGGAGGCCTAAGCTGCCATACTCCATGTTGTTTCACAAGTTCATGTTTTCGTTAGCGCCACTGCCTCTCCATACCTCCCACACACATATCACTCATCTGATAGGCCCAAACTAGACCCTCAATACCTACCACGAGGGTCACCAACTCCAGGAAGCCTCTCCAGAACCTCAGCCTACACAGTTTCCCCATTTCCCCCCAATATTTTGCCATATACCCTGGTCACCCTTTTATCTGAGCACTTGCCATTTTATCCCCAAATCATCTGTTCACATGACTGCCTCCCACCACTGGGCTGCAAGCTGAAGTACAGCAAGGCAATCTTGTCTACCTCCATGTCAAAGGCACCCATGCTGCACACTTATTCTAACCATAACTGTTCCTGGCTCACAATGGATGCTCCATAAACATTTGTTCAGCCAAACCACTGAACTAGCTTGTAAACATAGTTTGTAAAGTATAAAGCACTCAACAAATACTGTCTATTGTTGTTTACTGCTTCCTTTCCAACCTCATCCATTTTTCTCCGTCGTTCAGCATCCACATGCTCCAGAAAAACTGAACTATTCAATGTTTCATATATCCAAACCCAATTTCTCACTTCTATTGTAGTAGCTCACACTGGTCCCTACATTTGTAAAGCTCTCTCTTATCTTCACTTACTCAAACTGCACCAATCCATGGCCTGGCTCAAACATGTCACTTCCAATAAAGCATCTCTAGACAATCCTAATGGGAAATAGTGGTTCCCTCCTCTCAAATCTCAGAGCACTTTTCCTGTTCCTGTCTTGTGGTGCTTATTACCTCTAAATGTACTGTAGTTCTAAGAAGAATCTGTTACCTCATCATCTCTGTTATGCCATCATAACAGCCCTGCACCTGTTACATCATCGTCTCTCTGAAAGCATATAGCACAGAACAGGAAACAGTTTAATAGATTGTTTTGGATTCTACATATTCAGAGAATAGCCTTCCAGTAGATTTTAAGCACCTGGATGAGTGTTCCTCTCTTCAAGCCTTCTGAAACATCCTCCTTGGACATGTAAGTTTCAAATATGCTCTTTTTCTTCCCTCGTGTGGACCTGTTCTTTGACTTTTTGTCACCTGGCGAAGCACCAATGTCATGTGGACCAGCCACAGCAGACACACCTAGAAACAGGAGGCAGCAATCAACTCTTTCCTCAAACATCTGTGTATTTTTAAAACTGGAGATATTATACCTTTTTACAATTATTATTTAAAGAGACCAACAAGAGACTGAAACTCCCTGATGGTGATTTTTAACAATAACAAAAAGGAAAGAGTGGCTAAGAAAACATGAATAAAATATACACAGATGAGACTTGAGTTTTAAATCAGCACAACAACACGCATGGAACATAATCTGAATAATGAGTTCAGTATTCTTTGCTATTTATAGACACACAGACTTTTTGAAAATAGAAATTACTAAAAGATTGCCACTTTTCTAGAGGAAATTAAACAGCTGTACTTAATACAACAATAAATTAAGACAGCAAGAAACCACATCTAATTCTAGAATAAATCACACAGAATACTTAACAGGTCACTAAAAGAATTATAGTAGCCCTCAGTCCTAAAAGACAGCCTCCACTTCACACCCATTCCACTTTCATTTCAGTTCTCCAGTTATTCAGGCAGACTCCATTTTCCTTTTACTACCTCTGGGGGTCCCCAGGGGCCGGAGGTTCATTCTGTAGTCAGGATGGCTCATTATTGGCTCCAAGGTCACTCTTCTCTCCAGATCCAGAGAAACCTCCACTGCTTAGCTCAGAGTTCCCGCCTTGAGCAGCTCTGTTGTCATTCGCTGAAACCAAGAAGAGATTGGTAATTGGAGAGCGGTTAAGCTGTAGCCTCCTCTGTCCTCTCAGAAATTTAGTAGTTCAATGGCAAAGGCAACATGGTGCCCCTCCTGGGTTCTGGCATCACATTCTCTGGGGCAGTTAGTCAAGCACACCATCTGTCTCAAGTTTCTTTTCAAGGCCTTCACCCTCACAGGTACCACTAGACTGCTTCTTTGGGCCACTTCAACTAAACATCTCCACAAATGGGGCAATGATGTGAAAAATAAGGAATCCTGCGGTTCTATTCAGCTTGTGAAATGCACAAAAATATAAAGAAATATAGTTTTGAAAAGTGATAATAAAGATCTAGAATCTAAAAGCTGTAATGGAATAGGTACTAAACTGGGGCTCAATATGTGGCATTTACTAAGTCCAACTCCGGACAAATGATATACCTCTATGAAACCAAGTAAGTCAATTCCTTAGAATCCACCAACAAAACCTAATTCATTGTCACAACTTGACGTCCCAAACTATGCAGGGAGCCCCAGATGATTCACATGCTTTCAAAACACAGCAATACTGTAATTAGACGTCTCTTCCCCTACTCTTACCTGCCATCACCTCAAACCAGCTGTCTCATCAGAAGCTCAAACAGCTGTATCTAAGGAATATAAGAGCAGCTGCCAGGATCAGCAGGCTGGAATGTGGGGCCCTGCAGCTGGCCCCTGGCCTTCCACCTGGATGCTGAACATGTCATCACAACTTCTACTTTCTAGTCTCTGCTGGCCACCAGCCCAGGAGTCAAGTCTATATTTGAAATTTTTGTGGGCAGCCTGAGTTCCCACAAAATGAATCAAGATGTCATTCTGAACACTAGCTTCCATTTCCTCTATATTTCCCACACACGTCCTTCACCAAAATGATGTAATTTCTCTTTAAATTGAAATTAATACTAACTCAGCAGAAGAAAAGCAATGGAGACAAAGGATAATAGGCCACTTAGGGAAAGATAAAGAGATTCACAGATAAAGCCAATCCAGTTGAAAGAAGGGAGAGAAAGAGATGGCCTTATATAAACAGCAAGGGAATGGGAAAGGCAGATGGAGGAGTCAAGACTGTCTGAGGGCTTAATACAGAAATGCTTTTATCCACTCGTTAATTTCACACATATTTCTTCAGGGCACTACACTAGACAGAATGAAGGATAAGTGGTAAGCACTATGTTTTTTTAAAATGTGGATAAATGTACAGATGACAGGAGAGAAAGAGTATCTCCAGGTCAGGAAACCTGAGAGTACTTTAGGAGAGATTTTAAAGAACTAAGAGTGTGAGGAAAGCATACTATTGGCAAAAGGAAATAAAAATAGAGGCGCAAACAGAAAATACAGGCGAGTTCTCGCAAAATTAATTCCATTTGGATAGAGTCCAGCCTATATGAAGGGAGGCAGTGGCAAGGAAATTAAAACAAGTTGGAAGGTCTAAAAAACTAGGCCAGTTTTTCAAAAGCACTAGGGAGTTTTCAAAGCATGAATGAGCAGAAGAGAAAAACAACAGATTAGAATTGTTTCAGGAAAAATTAACCTGGTACAGGACTCAGAGTCATCTGGACTTGACAGATACTAGCAGCAGATGCATCTTAGGAGAAAATCAGGACAGACAGGTGAAAGGAAAGGAAGACCCGAACTTGAGTTCAGGACACTGAAAAGAAGAGGCCCTTACCATGGTATTACACAGGACAAAGTGGCACCATCTAGCAACGAGGCATGTCTGGAAGTGAGCAAGGTGGGAGTGGTTGTGTGAGATTTCTAGGTAGGAGACTGGGAGTTGGTAAAGTTAGAGAAGATGATGAATTCTACTTGGAGTATTATATGCCTCCACATGGGGCAATCCACCAAATACTTGAAAACAGGAGCAAAAGAGAGAGAGAAGTTAGCCAGTCATTTGCATAAAGATGGTAACACGGAGTGTTCAAGAATGGATAAGATTGCCAAGAAAGGGTACGCAGATACAGAGGAGGGCATAGGACAAGGAACGAACAAGCAACATTCCCTTCCCCGTGACATCATTGTGAAGGCCTATTATCCCTGTAGAAGTCCTGGGCACTCTTACCCTGACAAAATCTGGGTTAGGGCAACTTTTAGGAAATGTAAAGAAGTATAAAATACAACAAAGAAGCTAATGAAGATGTAGGAAAAGAATCAACAGAGGCAGGCATTAAGAAAAAAAAGAGAAAAGAGCTCCCAAGTGAGGACAGATCCATGATCAGGGTATGCTACCACTAGTGACTAAGAAAACAAACGCGGCAGCCTTGGTTGGGGCGAGGAGTCGAGAGCAAACTGCCAGCAACCCAAAAACAAGCGCTGGAATTGAAAATGGGGCACTACATGTCAATCCTGATTCAGGCAGAAGTTCAAAATGAAGGGGAGTTACTGCCAGGTAAGTGAGACAAGGGGACAGATTTCAATTCCAGTGTCCCTAGATCAGCTGCATCTGTATCTTTCCTTCACAGCAGTTATCCCAGTTTGTGTGAGTAACACCTAACTTGTCTCTTTAGCTCAGGGAGACAAGGAATGTTTGATTGGGTTTGTCATTGTAACTCTGGCAGCTCCCACAGCACCTAGGATAGAATAGGTGCTCAAAAGCTGCTCCATAAATGAATGGATGAGTTTGTTTTCATGAACAAGCAATGAGAACACTAAGCAGAGCAGGGTCATACCAGGAAACTACTTTAAAAACAAGTCAGCAAAGAATGGGGGAAGAACGCAGGACTGAGAAAACAAAATTGGCAAGAATAAGCTGGACAGCTAGGCAGGCAGTAAAGGCCACATTTGGGTACCAAAGCACTAGAAGGAGATGGAAAGATTCTGAGTATATAAAATGCTAAGTAGAAAATGAACAAACAATGGCTGGGCATCGTGGCTCACGCCTGTAGTCCTAACACTTTGGGAGGCCAAGGCGGGCAGACTGCCTGAGCTCAGGAGTTCAAGACCAGACTGGGCAACATGGCGAAACCCGGTGTCTACTAGAAATACAAAAAATTAGCTGGGCAAGGTGGCATGCGCCTGTAATCCCAACTACTCAGGAGGCTGAGGCACAAGAATTGCTTGAACCCAGGAGGCAGAGGTAGCAGTGAGCCGAGACTGTGCACTCCAGCCTGGGCAACAGAGTGAGACTCTGTCTCAAAAAAGAAAAATGAACAAACAGGCAGGCACAGTGGCTCACGCCTGTAATCCCAGCACTTTGGGAGGCCAAGGCGGGCAGACCACCTGTGTTCGGGAGTTCGAGACCAGCCTGACCAACATAGAGAAACCCTGTCTCTACTAAAAAAACACAAAATTAGTGTGCGTGGTGGTGCACGCCTGTACTCCCAGCTACTTAGGAGGCTAAGGTGGAGAACTGCTTGAACCTGGGAGGCAGAGGTTGCAGTGAGCTGAGATTGTGCCATTGCTCTCCAGCCTGGGCAACAAGAACAAAACTCCTTCTCAAAAAAAAAAAAAGAAAGAAAATGAACAAACAAGAAATCTTCTATTCCCTGTGACATAGTTATAAAGGCCCATTAAGCCTGAACAAGTCCCTGGGCACTCCTACCCTGACACATTGAAAGCACGGGCCAGTTTCCAATCCTTACTAACTTCCAGAATGAGGGCCACTGATACACTGCCCAACAGCCCACTGGTCCCTAGAAAAGGTGTCCTACCATGGAAATAGTTATACATTCTTAAGAGCTGGGCTGACATTAGGATGAACAGGCAATAGCGGTCAATAATGTCACATGGTACAAGAAGGCAGGAAGGATGAGGAATGGGGAAAAGGCACTAGACCTCACTAAGGGCAAATCTGAAGAAGGCTTCTGGGTGAAATAAACGGTGTCTTGAGAACCTCTGTATTCCCCAAAACCTAGCACAATGCAGAGTACATAGCAAAGGCTCAAAAATTGGAATAAATGAAGCCTATTTGGGACAGAAGTCAGGTTACAACAAATATATACTAGTGAGAAGCATGAGTGGCAGGGCCAGGACTACAATGGGGCAAGCCAGGCACTTAGGGTGCAAAATTTGAAAACGCAAAGTTCTATGAGTACTAATCCCACACTTGCAGGACCCAGGAGTGAGAGCTTCCTAGAATTTTTGTGCCTTATGCATCTCACTTGTCTTAGCCTAGCCTTAGTACTTACGAGTATCAGAGCAAATGGAATGTATGAAGCCGAATAGCGAAGGAAACTCAAAGAGATAAAGTCCAAAGACAGGTTTAGAGAGAGAAAAAGATGAGCCAATGGAAAGCAAAAGATGGGAAAAACAAGCAAAAGATGACTATTGATTAAGAAAAAAAAAGAGGGCAAAATTAAAATAAATCTCAATGAGATTAGAAAAATAAACCATTTATATTACAAATCAGTAAGAAGTACATGGATTAATCAACAAGTAGTATTAAGACACTACTTAATACCATTTTAAAAAAATAACCAATACATCCCTACTTCATAACATATTCCAAAATAAATTTCAGTTTGAATAAAATTTAAATGTTCAAAAATGAGAGACAGAGACAGGGAGACACACAGAGATGAAAGATAGAGAGAAAGGGAGGGGGCAGGGGAAAGGATATCCAGACGGTTGAATGAGGAGTTTGACAAATATTAACCCCTAAAGCAACAATAAAACTGACATTGCTAAAACTATTTAAAGATCTTGATATTGATCAAAAACATTACAACAAATTTGAGAAGTGCTGGTCCAAGAAAATCTACTGAATCTTGGTAAGAACAGTGAAGAGTGTGGTGTTTTAGCCTGGGGCTCCTATCATCCCACACTCGCTCCCAATTCCTTGGTACAGAAGCTACCAGGGTAGGACAAGCTGTGATGACAGGAAGCTCCACTGCCAGAGGGAGCTAAATTAATTTGGAGAAGAATTCCATGCCCATAGGTGTTGTCAAAAAGTGATTTCAAGGGCAAAAAAGGAGGGAAAGCCAATATTACAGCTAACTTGAGTTTGCAATGCCAGTCAGCGCAAGCAACAGATCAGCAGACCAACGTGGAGACTAAGGAATGAGACAGCCAGACTGGGCCTTGATAAAAATCTATTTTTTCCTGCTGGTCTGGAAGACTGTCCACATGCACAAGACTGCAAACATGAAGGAAAGAAATGTTAGGGCCACAGCAAGCTGCTCATTCCTGGAAAAAGATGAGGCCTTGCAAATGGAGAAAGTAAAACCCAGGCAGACTTTCTGAACTTTGAATGCATTCTCCAAGCCTCACAAAAACCAATGACAAAGGGAAGCTCGTTGTTTCAAGGAATTTAAACACAACCTCTGACCAATCATAGGCTGACCACTAAGATACGCTGACCCAGGAGGCAAATACTTGACAGCCATACTGAAAAATAAAAACAAGAAAGGATGAGCTAAGCAGAGACATCAGCAGTCACACACACACACTCCATGGAGAAACAGACTCCATGGAATTAATTAGTCCAGCCAAGTCACTAAACAAACAAAAAGAGCAACCACCTCTAACTCTGGGGAGAAGGAAATCAGAATACAGAATATATTATCAGAAATATCCAGTTTTCATAAGATATGCAAAGAATCAGAAAAGCGTGACCCATACATGGAAGGGGACAAGTTTCAATAAAAGCTATCTCTAGGGGAGCCTAGATTTTGAAGTTAGACAATAGGACTTCAAAGCAGCTATTATAAATATGTTCAAAGAACTAGAAGAAAACACTTTTAAAATAAAGGAAACTATGATGACAATGACTCAGCAAACAGAATATTAACAAAGAGAAATTATAAAAAAGAGCCAAATGGAAATTTCAAGTGGAAAGACAACAACTGAAATGAAAAATTCACTAGAGAAGCTCAAGAGGAGAATTAAGCTGGCAGAAGAAATAACCAATAAATTTGAAGGTAGATGAATTAACGTTATACAATCTGAAGAAAAGAAAGAACAAGGAAATTTTCTTTTAATTCCAAAGTCAAGAATTGTAATAAGGAGTCTCACTCCATTTTTTAAATTTTTGATGTCTGACCACTGACTTATGTTAAGCCTCACCTCACTTCTCCCCTTTTGAACCCACAACTGATCAGGCTAATAAGGAAGTCCACATGTGCCTTGCCTTTGGCACCAGGGGAAAATTCAAGTTTTGCCGATCCTCAGCCTGCACATGGGAACTCCCCAGCACCCTAGCCATTATAAAGGCATAACCCACTCCCTCTGTCTAACTCAAGGCAGGCCAGACCCACTTGTACTAACCCTACCATCCCCAGAAGTCTCTTGGGTGAATAATAAAATTTCTCTCAAATTTTGTTGGCGTGTGGAGTGCTTCCAGCATAGACATCCTACCTGTTAATTGGAAGGGTTATTTTCTACCTCCACAGGGTGTCCAAAGAATAGAAATGAAAGAGAGGACATCTCTATAAACCTTACAGAAATTAAAAGGATTATAAAGGAATACAATAAACTTAGAAAAAAAATGGACAAATTCCCAGAAATAAAAATTACTAAAACTGAGTCAAAAAGAGAAAATTTGGCCAGATGTGGTGGCTCACACCTGTAATCCCAGCACTTTCAGAGGCCAAGACAGGCAGATTGCTTGAACCCAGGAGTTTGAGAACAGCCACAGCAATATGGCAAAACCCCAACCCTATTAAAAAAAAAAAAAAAAAAGTACAAAAAATTAGATGGACATGGTGGCATACACCTGTAGTCCCAGCTACTCTGGTGGCTGAGGTGGGAAGATCACCTAAGCCTGGGAGATCAAAGCTGTAGTGAGCGTGAGCTGTGATTACATCGCTGAACTCCAGCCCAAGTGACAGAGTGAGACCCTGTCTCCAAAAAAAAAGTAGTAGAAAATCTGAATAGACATATAACAAGTAAATAAATAGAATTATTAATTTAAAATCTTCCAGGCTCAAATGTCTTCACTGGTGTATTCTACCAAACATCAAAAGAAAAAAATATCATCAAATCCTTTACAACTCTTCCAGAAAATAGAGAATTCATTCTGTTATGACAGTATTCCCTTGATACCATAGCCAAAGAAAGGCATCAGAAGAAAAAAACTAAAACTTGTAAACAGATAAGATAGTTCATATTTTTTAAATTTCTTCTTGAATCAATTTTATTAATTTGCATTTCTATAGGAATTTCTCAATTTCATCTAACATTTCATGGTGGGAGTAGAATGTTGTTCAAAATATTCTCTTGTATTTTCTTAATACCTGTCCTTTCTAATATGGTGAAAGTGTTCTTCACTTTGGGAGGCCAAGGTGGGTGGATCACTTGAGGCCAGGAGTTCACAAGACCAGCCTGGGCAACATAGCAAGACCCTGTCTCTACAAAAAAATACAAAAATTAGCCAGGCACAGGGGTGCACACCTGTAGTCCTAGCTACTCAGGAGGCTGAGACAGGACAAACACTTGAGCCTGAGAGGTGGAGGCTGCAGTGAGCCAGGTTTCCAATTATTTTCTATGCCATAACTGAGAGCGGAAGTATCAACCTCACTCTTAACTCTCTCATTCCCAACTCTCTCCTATATGGACTCACTCTTCTCCCAGACAAAACTTCTCCATACCTGCACCTATCTTCGCTTTCTATTTTAGAGGGGAAAATGTCCCTACATATTTATAACCTAACCCTCTTAATGTGTGTTCTTCATGTTATTTTAATCTACTCTAGAACTTTTAACACACCCATTATTCTTGCCACTGGGGTATTCCCAATAGCACACAACCAATGTAAGAACCTGGCCCTGCTCCCCTTCTGCCCACCTCAGGCTACCAGCTATCATTCCATTTCTCTCATTCCCATCCTTGCCAAAGTTTAAAAATGTGGTCTGGACTCACAACCTCTATTTCCCCCATTACACACTCTTTAATCTCTTTTGGAATATGACGTCTATCATCTTCTCTATAATGAAGTAAAGTTTTCTGTATTCCTAGAAAGAAAAATCCTCACTACTTAAATAATGGCATTCTCTCAGTTTGCTTGTTTTTTGTGCAGGATGCCACTGACCAGCTATATCTTTGTAATACAAATTCTTCACCCTTGGCCTCCAGAACACAACAGTCTTGTGGTTCTTCTCTTTCTCTCTCTACAATTCACAGGTTTCCTTACAGACTCCTCTTTTTTTCACTTACCTCTTCGGTTTCTACCATTTACAAGATTCTACTCTTATACCTCATCTCACTTCTCTTTTAAAGAGTTTTAAATTTTCATCTCCAGCTCTGCTCTTCAAAGCTCTTCTTTAACTTTCCAACATCCTGCTGAATAATACCGGCAAGCACTTTGAATGCCACATGTTTCTAATTCAATTTATTATTCTCCTCAAACTGTATTTTCCACCTGCATACTACATCCAGATTAATGACATCATTATCATCCCTGGGCAGCAACAGTAGACATCTAATCTCTTTTTCTCCATTAGTACTCTATTACCAAATTCTGTCTATTCTACCTTCAAAATGAGTCCTAAGTAGATTCCTTCATTTCCAACTTAATTAGCACTGTCTGAATTCAGGTTGTTACAACGGTGTATGTACCATAAAGATGGCAATAGTTTTTTAGCAGGTCTCTCACTCACGAATCTCTTTTCTTCACTCCACGTTTCACCTACAACATAGAAGATATTTTATAAAATGCCTTTTCTTTTTTCTTTTTTTCTTTTTTCAAGGCAGAGTCTCGCTCTGTCGCCCAAGCTGGAGTGCAGTGACACGATCTTGGCTCACTGCAACCTCTGCCTCCCGGGTTCAAGCAATTCTCCTGCCTCAGCCTCCAAGTAGCTAGGACTATAGGAGTGTGCCACCATGCCCGGCTAATTTTTGTATTTTTAGTAGAGACAGGGTTTTGCCATGTTGGCCAGGCTGGTCTAGAACTCCTGACCTCAGGTGATCCACCCGCCTCAGCCCCTCAAAGTGCTGGGATTACAGGCATGAGCCACCGCGCCCAGCCATAAAGTGCCTTTTCAAAACCCTTCAGGGTTGCTCACTGCAGCTCTATAATCTAACCCATCCTTCCAGGCGCATCTCTTACTATAAGTTTTTCAATATCACACTAGGTGAATCACTGATGAAAATAGTAAGTTGGGAAAGACTATGATTGCCATCAAAGCCAGAAAAATGACTTAAAAACAAATTGGGTTAACAATTATAAACCCTGGAAAAAAATCAGAAACAACTACCTATAGATTCTGCAGGGTAAACAAAGGGAGGAAGGCTGTTGGGAGGAGTAGGAATCTGGACAAGTAACTGGTATTAGTAGGGGGAATTTCATGAGTTTTTATAAAATTTGTGGGGAGGGAAATAGAAGTTTTGTCCCAAGGGCAGGCCACCATCACAGGGTTGGTGCAATGCAGGCAGCTAAATCTTCAATACAAATTCCATAGGCTGCGCCTGGCTAGAAGAAAGGACCACAGGTGGAGGTCAGTAGCAATCTAAAAGAGGAGAGAGCTGAAGAAGGGACTCCCCTAATTCTTATGACTCTTCAAGTCTCAGGCTGACCCCTTAGCCATGTAGACATGTAGGACAGACTCAACGCAACATTATAAAGGCCTAAAAATTTCAAATGAGATTTAAGCCAACAGGAGATTTCAAATGAGATTTAAGCCTACAGGAGACAAGACGCAATCTGAACCTAACAGGGTCTGAAGCTAAGTGCTAGTGAAATAAAAAAAAAAAAAAAAAAAAATCAAGATTCTTCAAAGGAATTTAACAGAATTCAGAGTCTACATAAAATAATATTCAGGAAACAATCCAAAATTATTTGACATACTAAGAACCCAGAAAACATCCATTCTAAAGGGAAAACTACAAATCCCAACCTCAAAATGACTCAGATGTTAGAACTATCAGACAAGAACTTTACATCAGCTCTGATAACTACGCTCACTGAGGTAAAGGAAAAGACACTTGAAATGACTGAAGAGATTGAAACTCTCAACAGAGAAATAAAAACGTACTTAAAAATGAGAATTTTAGACCAGGTGTAGTGGCTCATGCCTGTAATCCTCGCACTTTGGGAGACTAAAACAGGCAGATCACTTGAGCCCAGGAATTCAAGAGCAGCCTGGCCAACATGGTGAAACCCCGTCTCTACTAAAAACACAAAAATTAGCTGGGTGTGGTAGCACATGCCTGTAGTCCCAGCTACTTGGGAGGCTGAGGTGGACAGATCACTTGAGTTCCAGGAGGTGGAGGTTGCACTGAGCCAAGAACACGCCACTGCACTCCTGCCCGGGCAACAGAGTGACACCCAGTCTCAAAAAGAAAAAAAAAAAAAGAAACTTAAAATTAATAAATACAATATCTGAAATAAAAAATTCAGTGGATAAGCTCAATAGCAAAATAGAGGTAAAAGAATAAACACTCAAGGAGTTTAAACTTTATCAACAGAAATTATACAACCTGAAAAACAGAAAGAAGACTGAACAAAAACATAAAGTATTATGGACTTACAGGACAACAACAAAAGGTCAAACATAAAGGTAATTGGCCTGGTGGGTCACATCTGTTAATCCCAGCACTTTGTGGGGTCAAGGCGGGTCGATGACCGGAAGTCAGGAGTTTGAGACCAGCCTGGACTACATGGTGAAACCCCGTCTTTACCAAAAATACAAAAATTAGCGGGATGTGGTGGCGCATGCCTGTAATCTCAGCTACTTGGGAGGGTGAGGCATGAGAATTGCTTGAACCTGGGAGGCAGAGGTTGCAGTGAGCCAAGATCATGCCACTGCACTCCAGCCTAGGAAACAGAGCAAGACTCTGTCTCCAAAAAAAACAAATAAATAAGGGGAATTGATTTCCCAGAAGAAGAGAACAGGTCCCAAAAAAATGAAGAAACACTGGCTAAAAACATCCCAGATTTGCTGAAAAACATAAATACATAGATTCAATAAACTGAGTGAACCCCAAAAAGGAAAATTGTTTTAAAAATTATATCTATATCATCATAATCAAACTGCTGAAAACGAACAATACAGAGAAAATCTAAAGCAGTCAACATAAAAAGAAATACCTCAAACAGAACAACATTTTGAATGGCAGCAGATTCCTTATTTTTTATTGTCTTCTTTCCTGCCAGCCAAAGACAATGGAATAACTTATCTTTAAAGGGCTAAAAGAAAAAAACTGTCAGCCCTGAATCCTATTTCCAGCAAAAATATCCTTCAGTAATGAAGGCAAAACAAAGACATTTTTCAGATAAAAGAGAAAACCCATCACCAGCAGCACTGTACTACAAGAAACGCCATACTGAGTTCTTCAGGCTAAAGGGAAATGATACCAGAGCAAAACTGGATTTTCAGGAATAAATGTTAAGCACCAGAAATATTTAATGTATGTAAATTATACATGAGTAAAGTTGTAAAAAATTTTAAGGAAAATTATTTCTAATCTGCAATTCTATATGCAGTCAAACTAACAATCAAGTATGGGGGTAGAATAAAGACATTTTCAAAATAGCAGGCCAAAAAAAATTTCCTGTATTTTTTCTTATGAAGCTACTAAAGGATGTGCTCCACCAAAATGACACAATAAACTGAAACAGAGGATGATATGGAGTACAATGAGGAGAAGACTCAGCACAAAAAAAGTGCAAAGGAATTTTCTAAAACGACAGAGAAAAAAGAGACCCCAGGATAGCAAATGTGCATTAAGCATAAAGGGTAACCTCTAGATTGGAGGACAAAGGTCTAGATTAGAGCAGAGTCAGGAAAGAGAAATTGTTATCATTTAAGATCCCTGCCACCAAATAATTTAGCGTCTTTTTAATCCAAGGCAGAATACCTGGGTAAGCCTGGCTTACTTCCTGTTCTAGGCTTAATTTGACCATAACCTGATGAAGTTCCTACTCTCCCCTCCAATAACTTGATTGAGTTGAGGCCACTCATTTCACCACACAGAAATGTTCTACTTTGACCAACTCCTGAGCTTCTGAATTAACTAAAAGATAATCTATGGTATGTTTCCTTTTATATGACAAAGAAAGAAAAAATAAGAGTTACACACACACATACGATCATTTGTGCAAAAAGACACACAACACAGTAAATTAGAAACTAATGAGACTGGCTACCTACAGTGAGTAGATGGGAACAGTGAAAGGGAGGCAGGTGATAACTAGGTAAAAGAAATGGATGTGGAATAACACTTCACTTAATATGCCTTTTTATATGTTCTGACTTTTGGAACCACAGTGATGTTTCACATCTCAAAAAAAAGCAACATAAAACAAACCAGAATGGGGGAAATGGCCTAAAAATGCAATTCAAATAGAAAGAAATTATGCTAACTCTACTTAAAATGAAAAACACAACAAATGTTAATGAAATAAACTGAAGACACCAAAAAATGGAAAGATATCCCATGTTCATGATTGTGGAATACTGTAACAGTGTCCTTACTACCCAAAGCAATCTACAGATTCAATATAATCTCTACCAAAATTCCATGACATTTTTCACAAAAATAGAAAAAGCAATCCTAAAATTCATATAGAATCACAAAAGACCCCAAATAGGCAAAGCAATCTTGAGCAAAAAGAATAAAGCCTGAGGCATCACACTACCTGATCTCAAAATATAGCCTACAGTAATCAAAACAGCACAGTACTGGCATCAAAGCAGACACACAGAGCAATGGAACAGAATAGAAAACCCAGAAATAAAAAAGCACATTTACTATCAATTGGCCCTCAAAAAGATGCCAAGAATACGTAGTGGGGAAAGGACAATCTCTTCAATAAATGGTACCGAGAGAACCGGATTTCTATTTGCAGAAGAATGAAATTAGACACTCATCTCACAACATATACAAAAACCAAGTCAAAATGGATTAAAGGAGGCCAGGAGTGGTGTCTCAGCCTGTAATCCCAGCACTTTGGGAGGCCAAGGCGGGTGGATCACCTGAGGTCAGGAGTTCCAGACCAGCCTGACCAATATGGTGAAACCCTGTTGTCTACTAAAAATACAAAAATTTGCTGGTCATGGTGGCACATGCCTGTAATCCCAGCTACTCAGGAGGCTGAGGCAGGAGAATGCTTGAACCCGGGAGGTGGAGCTTGCAGTGACCCAAGACTGGGCCACTGCACTCCAGCCTGGGTGACAAGAATAAAACTCCATCTCAAAAAAAAAAAAAAAAAAAAAAGAATTAAAGATTTAAATGTAAGGCCTGACACTGAAAACCACTGGGAAAAAACATGGAGTTAAATAAAGTTCCATGACATTGATCAGGGCAAAGATTTTTTTTCTTTAAAAATACAAAAGCACAGGCAACAAAAGCAAAAAAAAAAAAAAAAAAAAAAAGACAAATGGCATTCCACTAAGCTAAGAAGACTCTGTTAAGCAAAAAATCAACAGAGCAAAGAGACAATGAATGAGAGAATATATTTGCAAACCATACATATAATAGTTAATATCCAAAATGCACAAGGAACTCAAACAATCAATTGCAAGAAAACAAATAATCCAATTTAAAAATGGGAAAAGGACCTAGGTAGACATTTCTCAAAAGACCCATAAATTACCAACAGGTATATGAAAAAATGCTCAATATCACTAATCATTAGGGGAATGCAAATTAAAACCACAGTGAGATATTACCTCATACCTGCTAGAATGGCTATTATCGAAAACACAAAAGATAACAAGTGTTAGCAAGGATGTGGAGCAAGAGAACCCTTGTACACTGTTGGTGGAAATGTAAATTACTATAGCCATTATGGAAAACAGTTTGGAGGTTTCTCAAAAAATTAAAAACAGAACTACCCTATGATCCAGGAATTCCACTTCTGGGTATGTATTCAAAGGAAATGAAATCAGTACATCAAAAAGACATTTGCACTCCCACGTTCATTACAGTATTATTCTCAATAGCCAAGATACGGAATCAACCTAAATCCTCAGCAAGGGTGAATGGATTTTCAAAATGTAGTATATATACACAATGGAATACCATTCGGTTTAACAAACAAACAAACAAACAAAAAAAAAAGGAAGCCGGGTACAGTGGCTCATGCCTGTAGTCCCAGCACTTTGGGAGGCCAAGGTAGGAGAACTGCTCGAGCTCAGGAGTTTGAGACCAGCCTGGGCAACAACATGGTGAAATCCAGTCTCTTAAAAAAAAAAAAAAAAAAAAGAAGAAGAAGAAAGAAAGAAGGAAAGAAAGAGAGAAAGACAGAAAGAGAGAAAGAGAGAAAGAGAAAGGAAAGGAAAGGAAAGGAAAGGAAAGGAAAGGAAAGGAAAGGAAAAGAAAGGAAAGGAAAAGGAAATCCCTCTCATTTGCAACAACATGGATGAACCTAGAGGACATTAGGCTAAGTGAAATAAGCCAGGCATAGAAAGACAAATAAATACCACATGATCTCATTTATATGTGCCGTGTAAAAAAGTTGAACAGATAGGAACAGAGAATGGTGGTTACCAGAGGCTGGGGGTTGAGGGGAGAGGAGAGATGTCTGTGCCAAAAGACACAAAATTTCAATAAGACTGGAGGAATAAGTTCAAGAGATCTATTGTATATCACGGCAACTAGAGTTAATAACAATATATTGTATACAGTCATCTCTCTGTATCCATGAATTCTGTGTCTGTGAATTCAGATCAAAAATATTTGGGGAAACAACAATAAAAATAAAAATACAACAATTTTTAAAAAGAATCCAAATTTAAAAATACAGCATAACAACAATTTTCATACCATTTATATTGTATTAGGTATTATAAGTAACCTAGAGGATTTAAAGTCTGTAGAAAGATGAGCATAGGTTATATGCAAATGTCTTGCCATTTTATATAAGGGACCTGAGCATCCACATTTTTTGGTAGCTGTAGGAGTCCTGGAACTAATCCCCTGTGGATATCTAGGGGCCAAGTATACTTGAAAATTGCTAAGAGAGTGTATTTTAAGTGTTCTCATCACAAAAAAATGATAAGTATATGACATAATGGATATGTTAAGTAGCTTGATCTAGTCATTCCACAATGTATACATATAGCAAAACATCATGTTGCACACCATAAAAATATGTAATTTTTTGCTTGTCAATTAAAAATAAATAAATCACAATATATTAGAGGGCAGCAGGAAATGGGTGTAACAGGAATGGCACACTAACCCAAGTAACTGTGGGGTACAGTATTTAACCAAATCCTGTGGCTAAAAACAAAAAATAAGTGTAAATAAAGATTAAACTCTGGTTAATAGGTTTTTTATAGAAGTATGAGTGAGCAATTCCAAAACTGCTTTCTATATATCCTAGATGGAACAAATAAGTAAATACTTGTGGATAACGAGCCAAGTTTGTCAATGTTGGAGAAAAAAATTACAAATATGGAAAAGTGGAAAGGCTAGAATCGAAATGGAACTGGAGATATCAGTATAACTCAATGGTTTATAATAAATAGAGAAATACGGATGCGTCTATATACGCACACAAATGTATATAGCATATAAAGATATATTCTTATATTCCCTAGCTTTGTCTCCTGAAAGGGCCTAGAATCAATGACATTCCAGTAGCAATGAGCATATCTAGTGCCTAGATCTCAGTTTCTAAACACCACTCATCACTAAAAGCAACCAATGGAAAAATGGCCAATTCTGAGACCAGGGTAGAAACGTACAAATATGAGCCTAGAAGAGGGGTTGGCAAACTATGCATAGTGCATCCACCTATTTATGTAAATAAACTTTTACTGAAACACAGCCAAGCTCATTAGTTTACAAATTATCTATGGCTGCTTTCATGCTGCAAGGGCAGAGTTAAACAGTTGCAAGAGGGACTGTATGGTCTACAAAATCGAAAATATTTACTATCTGGCCACTTACAGAAAAGGTTTGCCAAGCCCTGGCCTAGAATATCTTGCTGTTCCAGAAAGTAAGAAAATACTCAAAAAATGATGAGGACATGTCAAAAGTTCACAGGAGCCCTCTGAAAAGGCTGCTACTGGCCAAATATATGATCATTTAAATATCAAAATTTTATAACTGACTAAATAAGAATCCATAAGTTCCTACTGATAGACAAAAATAAATAAGTGAAAGGGAGAAGCCATTCCTTACAGCAGTATCGCAAGTGATAAATCTAGAAAAAACAATGGAATTAGAAAATTACCATTGGCAACCATCATCATACTAATTAATGTGTATTCATCAATGAAATCTAAAACTAGTTGGTAAGAGTTTAAGAAGTAACAGAATTTTAAATAGTTTCAAAGTATCCTCAAAGATATTATGTAAACACAAAGAGGAAAATCTATCTTGAGGGTGGAAAAATCTGGCAGACCCACCTTAATCAAGTGATCAAAGTAAACACCGGTAATGAGCCAAATCAACATTATATGTCTCCTGATATGAAGCACTAAGAAAAACATGTCAGTTTTGAAACATCAGTTCTATGGTTTGAATGTCCCCTCCAAAATTTATGTTGAAATTTAATTGTCATTGTAATGGTATTAACAGGTGGGATCATTAAGAAGGAATTTGGCCATGAAGGCTCAACCATAGTGAATGAATTAATGCTATTATCACAGAAATGAGTTCCTGATAAAAGTGAGTTTGGCCCTCTCTGCTCTTGCTCTCTTGCCCTTATGCCTTCCCACCACAGGATGATGCAGCAAGAAGGCTCTCAACAGATGTCAGCACCTTACTACTGGACTTTCCAGACTCCAGAACTGTGAGAAATAAATTTCCTTAAATTACCCAGTTTGTGGCACTCTGTTATAGTAACAGAAATCAAATTAAGACAGTCAGTTAAACCCAAATTGAGGGACCTGCTAAAAACTGTCCCTGTTGTATAACTGGCCTATAATCTTCAAAAATGTTAAAATCATGAAAGGAAAAACTGTTCCAAATTAAAGGAGACTAAAGACACGTGACAACTCTATGCCACTCATGATCCAGAATTTTCTTTTCATATAAGAAAGGAAAAGGGCATGATTGGGGAATTTGAATAAAATCTACTGGCTAATGGTATATCAATGTTAATTCCCTGATTCTAATAACTGCATAATGTTATAAAAGAGGATGGCTTTGAGTGTCTCCACTCACCAAAAAACAAAAAAACACAATAGAGGATAAGTGGGGAGGGATACTAAAGCAAATGTGGTAAAATATTAACACTGGGGAATCTTGTAAAGAATACAAAGTAATTATTTGTACCATTCTCTCGTCTCTTTTATCGGTCTGAAATTATGTTTTTCAAAAGAATCCAAGTCTAATTATAGAATCATACCTGTTTTACTGAATTACATTTTTTCTCATGCTAAAGAATATTCCCAACAACTGACAATTTTGATATACCCCTAACATGGAATACAAATGACGCACTAAATAAATGAAGTTCAAATAATCAATTAAAGGCTATGTGGACTACAGGATCATTCCACCCTGTTTCATATGAGCCAAAACAGATTTATTAGCTGCAAGCTCAAATAAAGTGATCTCAAATGAGAGTTATGTCAGTAAAAACACTGCCTCTTAACAGGTCAGCAATGACTTTACTCACTTATATTTTACAAAATATTTTGAGGATTTAAAAGATTAAATGTCCTGAAAGGGACAACAGCCCAGCACTTTTTGCAAACACAGCTGTTGGTTAAAGCTCTTGAGAAAAGAAAAGCTCTGGAATAGAAATCAGTTGTAGGAAGAGATAATGGTTATAAAATATTAAGCAAATTTTGGAATCTTTATTAATCTAATAGCTGACTTGTTTCTAAACCTTTGCTTCCTTACAATAGGCTAGGCTTGCTTCAGGCCCTGGCCATAGAGCAATAACCATGACAGACCAGGTCCCTACTCTCATGGCGCTTACAATCTAGGGGAGGAGACAGACAATACACAAGCACACAGGCAGTGACACAGAGCAGGGAGGCAGTGGCCAACAGGGTGGGGGAAAGGGACACTACTTTAGTTCAGTCATCAGGAAAGCCTTTATTGAGGAAATAATACTGTCACTAAGGCCACCATGTGGAGGTCACAGACTAGAGCCTTCTAGACAGACAGTATGACAAGTATAAAGACAGAAAAGGAGGAACAATCTCAGCATGTTCAAAGGACTTTAAAATAGAAAGCCTCCACAGTCTTATGTATAGTAGTAAAGAATAATCCATTTTATATTAGATGTGATAACAGCATTTTGACTACATGTGAAAATGTTCACATTGCATAGTTAAGATATGTACATAAATGATGTCAGGATTTCTTTAAAATATTTCAGCAAAAGAAAGATAAACACGGCAAATGTACAAAAAATACTAAATTTGGGTTATGCACTATTCTCTCAATGCACTATTCTCTCTACTTTTGTGTGTTTCAAATTGTTTCATAATTTTTAAAAATTCCACAAAATAGAGGCTTCATGTTAAAACTGACAATACCTCATTATATTCTTTCTCTTACTTTAATACCCCAGCTGGGCTCTTACCTCTTCAGTTCTTCCTTCTGATGACCTCACCTGAGATATAAACAAAAGCTTTAAGGACCTAGGTGTATACAAGATAGGTCCTACAATCTATGGCTGAATCCAGTTTCTATGACAGACATAGCTACTCTATCTAAGGCAAGGTTGGAAGCTAGACAGTATTAAAATAAGACAGCATAAAATAAATAACCACATACTGATAAACAAGAAGTCATTCTTCCTGAGAAAAACAGGAATTGCCTGGACCAAAGACCATCCTCCCAATTCCATGGGATTACTCTGGCAAAGACATTCTAATTGTGAAATCCCACTGTCAATTTTCAGTCTTGATCTTAGTTGACCTTGCTGTAGCACTTGACACAGTTGAGCATTCCCTTCCTTCTTGAACCTCTCTAGCTGTTTGGCAGATGTGAGGGCAGTACTAAAGATGCCCATGCTTCTTCCTTTTAAGGACAAGTGTCGCTACCACAGCCCCTCCTGAGAGACAGGAAGAACTTTTGTCCCAAATGACCAATTTTAAAGAAACCAGAGTGAGTCCCTCCTGGGACCCAATAATCTATACTTTATTGAATGGTTTGGAAGCTGTGTGTCAAAATCTTCTATTTCTAGTAACATAGTGGAGTCAATATCTGAAAAACCACCTGATACTGAATTATTGAATTATTATAACTGCTAAACAAAATATTACCAGTTTCTTTTAAAATGCACAGTTGAGTTCTCAAGAAAGAAAAGAAAATCCCCAGGAGCTAAAAATCAAGTGGGAGCCAGAAACCAGAAAAAGTAGAAACTGAGGCTATAGAGACCCTGGGAGCACTTTCTGGTGTTAGTATCAAGAGTGGTTTAAAGCCGCAGAGGGACTGAAGACTCTAAGGCTTTGATGATACAAAATGTAGAAAGGTTGAAGTGAGCCCCTTGGAAAAAACTCAGACCCTTGAAGGGGAACAATCTCAGTGAGAAAATAGGCTAGAAAAAATACACCAGCTGGTGAAGGAAAAAAAATCACAGGTGTCTGTTTTGATCTAGGTTCCATAGGAAAGTCTCCTCTGAACATTCAGAACCCAGGATTGTATTCACACAATAGGGTCCAGCTAATGAACCCCAAGCATAGAAACGAACTTAAAGTGATCCTAGATTGGTGGCACCCATTGCTGAACCAAAAACTCCTCTCAGAACTATTTGCTTCAGAATATGCCTACAGTCAAAAGCCTGCTAAATGCTTACAAAGCACATAAGGAAAGAGCCATCACGATTGACAGTCAGAAAGAAAAAATAGCAAAATGTAGTACAGAATAACTTCAGGTCTTAAAAAAAGACAACTACAGAATATTTTTAAACAATGTATATAAAGTAATGAAAGGGCCCAATGGCTCACACCTGGGAGACCAAGGAGGGCAAAACACTTGAGCTCAGGAGTTCGAGACCAGCCTGGGCAAAATAGTGAGATCTCGTCTCTACAAAAAGTTAGCCAGATGTGGTGGCATGCACCTGTAGTCCCAGCTACTTAGAAGGCTGAGGTGAGAAAATCACCTGAGCCTAGAAGGTTGAGGTTACAGTGAGCCATGATAATGCCACTGCACTCCAGCCTGGGTGACAGAGTGAGACCCTATCTCAAAAAAAAAAAAAAAGAAAAAGAATGAAAGAAAAAAAGAAAAGAAAAAATAAACACAAGCGAAAGAAACTTACTAAAATATAAATTTTGAAAGAAATAGAATTTTACAAGTAAAAAGTAACTAATGTTGGAGAGTAACTTTATAGTTAAGTGTACTAGTACTAGACTTTCTCCTCTTGAGTTTTTAAAATTACATTAGGTAATTAAAAGCAAAAGTATAATATTGTCTGATGTGGTTTTCAATGTATGTAACTATAAAGCAGGGAGGGTAAAGGGGCCTAAATCGTGGTAAGCTTCCTATGTTCCACCTAAAGTGGTAAGCTGTTGACACTAGTAGACCATGACATAGTAAAGATATCAATTCTCCCCAAACTGATTTATACATTTAACATAATTCTTAGCAAAGTCCCAAGATCTTTTGTAGATACAGACAAGCTTATCTTAAATTTTATATAGAAATGAAAAGGAACTAGAATAACTAAAATAATGAACGACCAAAAAAAATAAAGTTGGAGGAATCATACTATCTGATTTTAAGCTATATAGCTATAGCAATTAAGACTGTGGTATTTTCAGAGGGACAGCCACCTAGACCAATGGAACAACAGAGAGATCCCAGAAATAGCCCCTTACAAATATGTCCAACTGATTTCAGACACAAGTGCAAAAGCAATTCAAGGGAGGAAAGATAGCCTTTTCAACAAATAGTGCTGGAACAACTGGACATCAATAGACCAAAAAAAAAAAAAAAACCAACAAAAAATCTTGACCTTTGCCTCAGACCATATATAAAAATTAACTCAAAATGGATCCCAGATCTAATACAAAAACTATAAAACTCTTAGAGGAGAACATAAGAGAAAAGCATCATGACCTACGATTAGGTGAAGAGTTCTTAGGACATGAAAAGCATGATTCACAAAGGAAAAAAAAGATAAATTGTTATTTTTTTCATTTCTAGAACCTGTCATTGACATAGATGAATGACAACTTATTCAACAATGACATTCTTATTCAACAATGTTAACCGTTAGAGCTCTTCTAAGAAGACCAAAAAAAAAAAAAAAATGCAGTTGGAATATGAGCTCCTGTTTTATCCTTAAGTATTAAAGTGGATGAGAGGGAGGGACTTAAATGTATATTAATTATTTCATTTTAATGAAAGACATTACCTGGACACCATTTACCTACAATATATCATTTTAGGATCTGTGTGAAATCTCCAGGTAATTAAACCTAAGTGATGCAGACCCTCAGAGGTAACTGGGGGACTACTGACCTCAGTCAAGGATTACTGATAAAGAAAAAAAGCCATCTCAGCCAGGCGCGGTGGCTCACACTTGTAATCCCAGCACTTTGGGAGGCCGAGGCAGGTGGATCACCTCAGGTCAGGAGTTCAAGCCCAGCCAGGCCAACATGGCGAAACCCTGTCTCTGCTAAAAATACAAAAATCAGCCAGGCGTGGTGGCTCACACCTGCAGTCCCAGCTACTCAGGAGGCTGAGGCAGGAGACTTGCTTGAACCTGGGAGGCAGGGGTTGCAGTAAGCCAAGATCGTACCACTGCACTCCAAGACTCTGTCTCAAAAAAAAAAAGATAACTTCATATTTTCTAGCTTACATAATTGGATGGACGGGAGTTACATGCACCAGGACAGGGTTATTGAATGAGGATAGAGGGGTAGAGATCATCAGCCAAGAATTGGACGTGCTGAGTTTGAGGTGACTGCAACACCAGGCAGCTGGACACAAAAGTCAGGAGCTCTGAAGAACATCTGGGCTGACAGCAAATTTGGGAGTCACCAGAGAACAAATCATAACCAAAGCAACTGAAATTGAACACAGATGCGATCAGCCTAGGAAGAATATCGAGAAAAAAAGGAAGGGACCTAGGATTGAGACTCTGAGGAGCCTCAAAGTTCAATAGCCAGGGAGAAGGGAACAGAAATTGCAAAGACTGAGAAAAAATGGCCTCCTAAGAGGGAGATATAAGAGAAAACTTGGAAGAGTGTGATGTCAAGAAAATGTCTTTTCTCTACTTCCTGGAGGCTTGGCAGCAGGGAAAAGAGAAAGAAAATCAAGATTTCGAGAAGACAGAGGGCAATGAAGCCCTATGTCACTAAGAGAAGTGAAATAAGGCATTAAGTGTTCATTACACTTAGCAGGATGGATATCACAAGGGGCTCAGTGAGAGGTGCAAGGGGGAAGCAATGGGGATAACACAAAAAAGAAATCAGCTGAGAAATGAATGGGCTGGGGGGATGTGGAGTTCGTGAGCTGTTGATTGCTTGTGAAATTTAGCCATGAAGCGGGAAAGGTGGAAGCAAAAGACAGTTTGCCTTTTTGTTGGTGTTTTTATGAAAGGAGAAACTTGAGCATGTTAAAACACAGAAAGCATGGAAGAGGTGACACGGTGGAGCCAAGGACAATGGGTAGCTTCTGTGAGGGTAGGAGGGGAGGCTGGGGACAGGTGCATTTTGGGTAGCATCCCCCAACATGGCCCGTACTCTTCAAGCTCCCTGCACATTCTCACACAGTTCACTCACCCTCTACTCCAACCTCACTCTTAAAATTTTACCCATTAAAGAACAGCTCAAATTCCATATCCTCTCCCCTACTGTCTCACCTAATTTCTCCAGCTCTTGGGATGCCTTCTCCACAATCCCAAGTGGGTCATGTTTTCCATCTATTTGACCACGAAATCTTTGATAGCAGGTTCCACAGAATACACAGTGGGAAATGAACAGTCTCACGCCTGTCCAGCTCCAGTCCTCATCCCTCAATACAGCCTTCCCAACCATACCACAGCAAAGTAATACCTCCCCTCATAAGGTCCTTAACAATTTCATCATTTAGCACGTGAAGTGTTGAGGGTTCCAGTATGTAAATTCCAAGAGTGTAGAGCCTTGTATGTCCCGTTCATCACTGTATCCCCAGTTCCTGGAAGGGCTAGCACACAGTGGATACTCAGGAAATGCTTACTGAATGAAGTCATTAAAAGAGATGCCCTGTGTACTCTCAAAACCTGTAAATTACTGAGGAGCAGGGATCATGTCTTCTGCCTACTTCTACACCATGCCCACAGGGTACACACCTAATAAATGTTCTTGATAACAGGAGAATTTATTACGGCCTAATGTCACATCAGGAATTACAGGCACAGTTTGGCAATATACCCTAATGCAAATAATATGATATACCCTGATGGAAAATAATGAATAGCCTCTGTAATGTTTTTCAACTCTAAATTTAAAAGACAATTAAGGCCAGGTATGGTGGCTCATGCCTGTAATCCCAGCACTTTCGGAGGCTGAGGTGGAAGGATCCTTTGAGCCCAGCAGTTTAAGACCAGCCTGGGCAACATAGCCCAACTTCATCTCTACCAAAAATCTAAAAATTAGCCAGATGGTGGCACATGCTGTAGTCCCAGCTACTCAGAAAACTGAAGTAGGAGGATCATTTGAGTCCAGGAGTTCAAGAGTGCAGTAAGCTATGATAGTGCCATTGCACTCCAGCCTAGGAGACAGGGTTAGACCCTGTCTCTAAAAAATAAAAATAATTTAAAGACAATAATAGTTGCCGTCAAAATATTAAACATTTCCCACATTACGGAATTTAAGAAAACTCTTAGGCTGGAGTGGGCTGACGCCTGTAATCCTAGCACTTTGGGAGACCGAGACAGGCGGATCACTTGAGGCCAGGAGTTCAAGACCAGCCTGGGCGACATGGCAAAACCCCATCTCTACAAAAAAATACAAAAATTAGCCGGGCACAATGGCTCATGCCTATGGTCCCAGCTTCTTGGGAGGCTGAGGTAGGAGGATCACTTGAGCCCGGGAGGCAGAGCTCAAAAAAAAAAAAGAAAACTCTTAAAGACAACTAAACTTTCTCTCGCTTCTGAAATTCTCTTATAAATTCATATAGCACTCCAAAAACTCGGAGTCTATTTAAGATTTATTTGAATGCTGGAGTTTAGTATATTCACATCTTGGTAATACACAGGACATCGGTAATGGCAGGAAGTACATGAAGGATACTGCTTGAGTGGATCTACAGTATCATTACTTGCCTAATAAAGACAGAATCATCTTAATGCCACTGAAGTACCAGAGTTTTGGCCATAAATCACACAATAACAAATTTAAGATTTGCAATGACAAAACATACAAAACCAAAATTGAAAGAGATCTCAAATACAAGCTTTGCTACCAAATAAGGCCCAAAAATGTTATAAGGTGGAAATTGTTTCAACAAATAGCTTGATTTCTCATGTGTACTCTGTACAGTATAACATTATAAATTCAATCTCATGTTTCTTTCCCGCATTTTATTACTACGATTAAAGTCATCTACAGAATTATTACACTGAAGCGACTAAGATTTCTTCCTATGCTTTAAAGACTTTCGTATCAAACTGGCATTTTCAACCCTCTGAAATTTATTCTAACCTTTCTTTTTGGGAAAAATGTGCAGACTTCGGAGACAAATTCTAGGGAGAGTGGCAAAAAGCACAAGTCAAACACAAGTACTTTAGAAACAATAAGAAACCACTCTCCATCCATCCAGTGAAGGAAGGAACAGAGAGAAACACTTGCAAAACAATAGAGACTAATTAAAAGCCTCATCTTAAAACCTCATCTTTAAAAAAAAAAAAATCAAAACCTAAAGAAGCATGGGAAGGTATTGGTGTCAGAATTCACACTTGGCTCCAAATATCAAATAAAAGGATCTTGTGGAAAGAAAACACAAAGGGTTTCTTTTTGTAATGTATGGGCAGCACACTGGAATACCTCTGCCATGATCAGTAAACCTAGGCAACAACAGTAAAATTCTATTCTCTCTCCTGAAGTAACTCAGGGGCAGTACTTCAGCACCACTGAAAAAGCCACCCTGGAAGGTTTTAGAAATCATGACATCTATTTCATTGACCCTTGTCTCTACTCCCTAGCAAATAAAACCTACATCTTATCTTTTTGTTGTTGTTGTTGTTTGAGACAAGATCTCATTATGTCACTCTGTCACCCAGGCTAGGGTGCAGTGGTACGATCACAGCTCACTGTAGCCTCAACCTCCCGGGCTCAAGTAATCCTCCCACTTCAGCTCCCGAGTAGCTGGGACTATAGGCGTATACCACCACACCCCACTAATTTTTTCTACTTTTTTGTAGAGACAAGGTCTCACTATGTTGCCCAGGCTGGCCTCAAACTCCTGGGCTCAAGCGATCCGGCCTCAGCCTCCCTCAGTGCAGAGATTACAGGTGTGAGCCACTGTGCCCAGTCCCCTGTCCCTTTTCTTAATTACCGTTTGGGGAGACTCTTTTACTCTTTATTTTGGAAATTTTAAAACATCCATGAGGTAGAAAAAATGTAAGAAACTACCATACATTCATCATCAAATTAAATAATTTTCAATTAATAGCCAAAGATTTTTCATCTACGCCTCTATACAAACACACACATACACACACACACACACACACACACACACACACACAATTATACTGACACATACATTTTTAAAACTCCCATTTACAGGTCACACTGGCAAAATATTCTATTTAGCAAACAATTCAGCAACAACTACTATCACTTAGGGCCTTTACTTACAGAAAGCATAAATTTTATTGAGCAAGGTTACCACAAGCTCAATCCAAATTTCATGCTGTGATACAGAAGCAGTTATTTAAAAATAAAGCTGAGAAAGAACTCACCCACTATCTACACGCATAATTTCAACGGTAATCCGAGCCATCACATCTCCATACACTAGTCTCAAAAGTAATAAGACAAAGGAAAAAAGGGTTGCAAAGCTCATCCACGTGGCCAATTTTACCATGGCAATTTGGAAAAATATGTGACTTTCAGAACCTATAATCAACTGAACAAAATGACTAAAACATACAAGAATTGAAAGTAATTTTCCCTAGGTTCATATCAGTTCAAATAAAATGTCAGTGTTCATAAAAACTTGTTTTTATTTTACACAAGAGATTAACATCAATCTAGCTTCTGTGTTAGTTATTTATTTTTTTCAAAAATGTCAGTTATATCATGGCCTTAGTCTTGGGAAAGTATTGCTACAACAATGCCTACTACTCTCAGGACTGCGGCTGCAAACATCTGGAAGTTACTACCAACAGACTTTCAGCCCTAAGCACGGTAAGGCCTTGCTAAGAACCATCTTCCTGCCTACACACAAGATCCACGTCATGTCTTGGAGAACACTCCTGTAAGATGACATATAAAGTCACAACCAGTTGTAATTTACCCTCAAAGTCACGGAGAAGTCTAGTGTTATTCAAGGAATCTGGAGGAATGGAGGACACAAAATTCTAAACAGTAAAATGACTAAGATACTAAAACAGACCACAGATAGATAGGGAAAGCTTGATGACCTCTAAGTCAACTTTCTGATTTTGGTCTGTCAGCTAAGCACGTGGCACTGGTGGACCTGAGAGAGGCCCTACAAAGACAACCCTCACTCTAGCTCCACTTTCCGTGGAGAAATTAAGTTCCACATTCATGCCCTTCAACATGAGTGAGTTTGAAAGATAGTGATTCTAGGGTTTGGAGCAATCCAAAATTCTAGATTTTCCACGTAAAAACCACTACCACTCTCAAGGACCATCACCATGAACTTAATAGTTATAAAACGTCAGGTAGACAGCAGAGAAAACAATCTAAGAAAAATAGGCCAGGTGCGGTGGCTCACGCCTATAATCCCAGCACTTTGGGAAGCCGAGGCAGGTGGATCACCTGAGATCGGGAGTTGGAGACCAGCCTGGCCAAAATGGACAAACCCTGTCTCTACTAAAAATACAAAACTAGCTGGGCGTGGTGGCACATGCTTTTAATCCCAGCTACTTGGGAGGCTGAGGCAGGAGAATCGCTTGAACCCAAGAGGCAGAGGTCGCGCACAGTGAGCAGAGATCGTGCCATTGCACTCCAGCCTGGGCAACAAGAGCGAAACTCTGTCTCAAAAAAAAAAGAAAGAAAGAAAAAGAAAAATGACCAAAATCATTCCCAAAACACCAAAGTACAACTATGACAGACCTGGTGTACTTCTTCTCCCTACCACTTCAAAAAAAGAAGTCAAAACACCAGCACTGTAATCCCTGCTTCTCATGGAGACAAAACAAACCCAAAGTCTACAGACTCCAGGGAAATAAGCTGGGCCTCCAGCTCCACTAAAGAGCTCCAGATTCCCAGTGCTTACGCATGCCTTCTAAACTGAGGGTCAAGGTGCAGGACCTCAGTTCCGTGGCAAAGTTCCTAGCCTTGGGATTACCTTAAACCTTCAGCTAGCAAGTGTTCAACTTGTCACTTACAGGGAAACTACATCACTAAGACCTTGCTGCCTCCAGATGCACATTAAATATAAAACCTATATTCATGCAGAGCCTTTGTGCACGCTTCATTAACCCAGATGTGATTAAATCCAATGTTATGATTCCCACGGAAACTGCAATCTTGGCAAACCCATACACATGTATTTCATATTACTTCAGATGGTAGTGACGTTAAAAGAATCTTAGAAAGAATAAGGCACATTTTAATTGCCACATCTTATTACAAAGAAAACCTTCCAGAAAGATGAGAGATTAGAAAACTGCCTTCCTCCAGGGATAGTGGAGCTCTTTCTTTGAGACAATTAACAAAGACTAGACCAAGCCCTGAAGAATGTCCTGGAAGAAACTATCCTTATCTGGCCTGAAACACACAGCCCAGACAACTTAGGGTTTCCTATAAACTCTATTTCTAATATGCAAGACAACCAGCTGCTTGATGCTTAAAACTTCATTTAAACTATTTAATACTTCCATAAAGTACCATAAATGTTAATCAGATGCAGACCTAACTTTAACTCCAACTAAAAGCAACAGATGAAATATCTGAAGTCATCACAAAATGGATCATCTACTGTAAAACAAATTAAATACTTGTTTATGTCAGCCAATATAGAAAATAGTTTCCCTGGTTCTCAGTTTCTGAAAGGTCAAGTGCTACTACAAACAGGCTAAAAGATTAATGAAAGACAGTAGAGCTCAGTGGTTAAACAGGCTTCTGAAGTCAAAACACCCAGGTTTGAATCCAGGTTCTACCATTTAAGATGACTTGAGCAAATTATTTCATCTTTCTGTCCCTCTCATCATCTAAAAGAGGCGATAATAATAAAAGCTTCTTTGTAGAGCTGTCTTAAGTACTAAAGGAGACAATACATGTAAAGTTCTCATTTTTGCTTCTTCAAAAATGCCAATGTCACAGAAGACAATGTAAAGAGCTGTTCCCAGATTAAAGGAGGTAAAGGAAACATAACAATGAAACACAATATGTGGACCCAGACCAGCCCCTGTACTAGAAGGGGACAAGATGCTAAAAGGGACGTTGCTAGGCGAATTGACAAAATTGTTATAGATGATAGATCTGATAAAAGCTATATCAAAAGTTATGTTAAATTAAGTTGATAACTTTCCTGTGGGTATGTGTACTAATCAGGGTTCTCCAGAGGGGCAGAACTAATAGTTTATATGCATATATGAAAGGGAGTTTATTAAGGAAAACTGGCTCATACAATCACAAGGCAAAGTCCCACTACAAGCCATGTGCAAGCTGAGGAAGAAAGAAGCCATTAGTGGCTCAGTCCATGTCCAAAAGCCTCAAAAGTAGGGAAGCCAACAGTGCTGCCTTCAGTCCGTGGCTGAAAGCCCAAGAGCCCCGGGCAAACCACTGGTGTAAGTACAAGAGTGCAAAGGCGGAAGAACCCAGAGTCTGATGTCCAAGGGCACCAGGAGCGGACTGAAGCATCCAGCATGGGCAAAAAATAAAAGCCAGACGACTCAGCAAGCCAGCTTACCCGACTTGTTCTAGACGCACTGGCAGCCAATTGGATGGTGTCCGCCCACACAGAGGGTGGGTCTTCCTCTCCCAGTCCACTGACTGAAATGTCAATCACCTCTGGCAACACTCTCACAGACACACCCAGAAACAATACTTTACCAGCTATCTAGGCCTCAATCCAATCAAGTTGACACCTAATATTAACCATCACAGTATGTAAGAAAATATCCTTAATTCTTGGAAATACAGAAGTATGTGGGAGTAAGGATGTAGTCAAATTTACTCTCAAGCAGTTAAGGAAAAATTTTAGTTTATATTTGTGTGTGTATGGAAAAGTGGAGAGAGAGAAAGGAAGGAAATAATAAGCAAATGGGACAAAATGTTACCAACAGATGAGTCTAAGTAAAGGGTGTATGCACTCATGAGCATTTATTCCAGAGAAATGAAAGCTGCACATGAACGCTGACGGCAGCTTTATTCATAATAGCCAAATCCTGAAAACAACCGTCATTCAACAGATGAATGGTTAAGCAAGCTCTGATGCATGCATGCCATGGAATACTACTCAGCAATGAAGAAAAACAAACTATTGATACATGCACCAATCTGAATGAATCTCAAAGGAATTACACTGAATAAAGAAAAGTCAATCTCAAAGGTTACATACTATATGATTCTGTTTATATAGCATTCTGGAAATGACAAAATTATAGAGTTTAGTGCTTAGATGGGGTTAGGGAGGCAGAGAGAGAGGGCAATGGCTGTGGCTATGAAAATGTAGCACAAGGGATCTTTGTGATGGAACTCTTCTTTATCTTGACTGTGGTGGTGGTCACACAATCTACAGATGTGACAGAACACACACACAAATGAGTAAAAGCAAAACTGGTAAAATCTGAATACGGAGTACAAGTGAAAATGGTAGAATGTGAATAAGGTATGTGCAGTTACCTGATGGTGATACTGTACCTTAGTTACACAAGAAAAAACTAGGTGAAGGGTACACGGGATTTCTCTACATTATTTCTTACAATTGCATGTGATTCTACAAGTAGCTCAAAATAAAAAGTTTAATTTGCCGGGCACAGTGGCTCATGCCTATAATCCCAGCACTTTAGGAGGCTGAGGCAGGCAGATAACTTGAGGTCAGGAGTTCAAGACCAGTCTGGCCAACATGGTGAAATGTTGTCTCTACTGAAAATACAAAAAATTAGCTGGGTGCCGTGGCGCACGCATGTAATCCCAGTTACTCAGGAGGCTGAGCCAGGAGATTTGCTTGAACCTGGGAGATAGAAGTTGCAGTTGGCTGGGCGCGGTGGCTCACGCCTGTAATCCCAGCACTTTGGGAAGCCGAGGCGGGCGGATCACGAGGTCAGGAGATCGAGACCATCCTGGCTAACACGGTGAAACCCCGTCTCTACTAAAAATACAAAAAAAAAAAAATTAGCCGGGCGTGGTAGCAGGCGCCTGTAGTCCCAGCTACTTGGGAGGCTGAGGCAGGAGAATGGCGTGAACCCGGGAGGCGGAGCTTGCAGTGAGCCGAGATCGCGCCACTGCACTCCAGCCTGGGCGACAGAGCCAGACTCCGTCTCAAAAAAAAAAAAAAAAAAAAGAAGTTGCAGTGAGCCCAGATCACGCCACTCACTCCAGCCTGGGTGACAGAGTGAGACTCCATCTCAAAAAATAAAATAAAAATAAAAAGTTTAATTTAAAAATAAAAGCTAAAAGGAAAAATGTTTAAACAAAAATTAGCAACATAAAATAACATATGAATAATGATAAAGCACCAGAGGCATTCCTATTAACTTAAGAATAGGAAAAGCCTGCTATTTGTTATTTAATAATGTTCTAAAGGAGATAGTCTGCTACATAACAAAAAAGGTGATATAAATATTAGAAATGAGACAAAATGATCAATTATAAATGAAATCACTATCTAGAAAATCCAATACGCAAAAAGTATTAGAATATAAGTTCAATAATGCCCAAAAACAATACACAAAAATAGCCTTTTTATTATATCCCAATAATAATTAGAAAACTCTGTTATAATAAAGAACTTTGTTCCACTTATACTACATTTAATTCTTTTCTTTTTTTTTTTTTTTTAAGATGAGTCTCACTCTGTTGCCAAGGCTGGAGGGCAGTGGCGTGATCTCGGCTCACTGCAACCTCCACCTCCCGGGTTCAAGCGATTCTCCTGCCTCAGCCTCCTGAGTAGCTGGGATTACAGGTGCATGCCACCATGCCCAGCTAATTTTTTGTATTTTTAGCAGAGACGTGTTTCAACGTGTTAGGCAGGATGGTCTTGATCTCCTGACCTCGTGATCCACCCACCTTGGCCTCCCAAAGTGCTGGGATTACAGGCATGAGCCACTGTGCCTGGCCCTCAATCATCAGGCATTAGATTCTGATAAAGAGCACATAACCTACATCCCTCACATGCAGTTCACAACAGGGTTCGCACTCCTATGAGAATCTAATGCCACCACTGATCTGACAGAGGTGGAGCTCAAACAGTAATGCTTGCTCACCACTCATCCCCTGCTGTTGTGGCCCAGTTCCTAACAGGCCACGGACAGTTCAGGATCCCTGTTTTACAAGCCAAAGATTACCAGCCACCAACACAGGCTAACAGAGACATGCAACAGATTCTCCTTCAAAGCCTTTGGGAGGAACCAGCCCTGCCAACACCTTGATCTCACACTTCTATCCTTCATAGCTGTGAGATAATAAATTTCTATTGTTATAAGCCATTCAGTTTGTGATACTTTCCTATGGCAGCCTCAGTAAATCAATACACCACTAAAACCAAGCTTAGGAGATCCACTGAAAACTCCTCTCTGATGATCTCAAATAACTTTTCCAATAAAGGCAGAGGAATGTAAAATACATAGAGTGAAACTAAAGCAAAGCCTGATTAATTAAAATGCATTAAAGTCAGCTTAAAAATATACTTGTCTTTCAATCTAGTTTTCAAAAGAGTTTACCAAAAATTATCTTTAAAAGATGCTTGAGGCTGGGTGCAGTGGCTCACACCTGTAATCCCAGCACTTTGCGAGGCCGAGGTGGGTGGATCATCTGAGGTTAAGAGTTCGAGACCAGCCTGGCCAACACGGAGAAACCTCGTCTCTACTAAAAATACAAAAATTAGCCAGGTGTGGTGGCGGGCACCTGTAATCCCAGCTACTTGGGAGGCTGAGGCAGGAGAATCACTTGAACCCAGAAGGCAGAGGTTGCAGTCAGATGTGATATTGCCACTACACTCCAGCCTGGGCAACAGGGTGAGACTCTGTTTCAAAAAAAAAAAAAATGCTTGAATAAAACACTAAGAAACAAATCCAAATGTAGAAATTATTTAGTATATGATAAAGGAGGCATTTCAGATCAATAGAAAAAAGATTTCTCACTAAATGGTAATATAATAGTGGAGCTATACAGGGAAAAGAAATAAAACATTCTTTATCTACTTCACACTAAACTTGACAGATTAAAGAAGTTATCATAAAACACAAAACCATAAAAAGATTGAAAGATTTAACTGCAGAAAGATGAAATACGTAAGTATTGAATATATAATACATCATAAACAAATGTAAAGACAAATATAATATCTTGCTTCCCATGTTAGGTAAACTATTCCAAAGCACAGACTAAGATGAAAAACCCGCTACCATGCTGTAAGTAAGTGTATTCTAGATTGCAAAGCCAAGTAAGGAAAGCAAAGAATACAGGCCAATCTCATTTATGAACATAGATGCAAAAATCCTAAATAAAATATTAACAACATGAATCCCCACAATATATTGAAGATTACACACTCAAGCAAGTATATCCTATAAGAGTCTATCTATTAAATATAACTCACTATATAGCAATAGGGGGAGGTGAACTTAACAAATGTCCAAAAAAGAATATGACAAAATTTATCACCAACTAGTATTTCTTTTTTTTTTTTCTTTTTGAGAGAGAGCCTCACTTCTGTCACCCACACTGGAGTGCAGTGGCACAATCTCAGCTCCACAACCTCAGCCTCCCAGGTTCAAGCGATTCTCATGCCTCAGCCTCCCGAGTAGCTGGGATTACAGGCACGCACCATGATGCCCAGCTAATTTTTGTGTTTTTAGTAGAGACGGAGTTTCTCCATGTTGCCCAGGCTGGTCTTGAACTCCTGGACTCAAGCAATCCACCCACCTCAGCCTCCCAAAATGCTGGCATTACAGGCATGAGCCACCACGCCTGGCCACCAATTAGTATTAAACATCTAAAAAAAAGGACACTTAATAAGCACTTAATTAAAATAAACATATGTTAACTTATTTATATATAAATATGATATATAATATGTAAATATGTCTCATATATATATATATATATATATATATATATATATATATAAAATACTTAACAGTATAACATTACTGACATTCCCATTACAGTTAGGAGGAGATACCACCTACAACTCAACACTAAGCTGGAGCAGCCCTAGCCAACATAATCAGAAAAGGAAGAGGAATAAATATTGGAAAAGAGACTATGTGTTTATTATTTACAGATAAAATGACTATCTAGAACATCTAAAATGACATACTCACAAATTATATTATTGATAACATGCCTATATGCCAACAATGATAAATTTGAAAATGCAAGGAGAAAAAAAGATCAATTCTAAGTAGCAACCAAAATCACAAGCTAGTAGGGTGTGAAATCTAATTTGAATTTTAAAATTATTTTTAAAAACATGAAGGAAGGCTGGCCACAGTGGTTCACGCCTATAATCCCAGATCTTTGGGAGGCCAAGGTAGGCAGATCACTTGAGGTCAGGATTTCAAGACTAGCCTGCCCAACATGGAGAAACCCCATCTCTAATAAAAATACAAAAATTAGCCAGGCATGGTGGTGCATGCCTGTAATCCCAGCTACTCAGGAGGCTGAGACATAAGAATCACTTGAACCTGAGAGGCAGAGGTTGCAGTGAGCCGAGATCGCACCACTGCACTCCAGCCTGAGCAACAGAGACTTTGTCTCAAAAATTAAAATTTAAAAAAATTTAAAAATTAGCCAGGCGTGGTGGCACATGCCTGTGGTCCCAGCTATTCAGGAGGCTGAAGTAAGAGGATCACCTGAAAACATAAAAGGGACCTAAACAAATAAACCCTGCTTTTGATCAAAAAAGACTCAATACTATAAAGAGGTCCATTAAAAATGAGTTGAAAAAGTCAATGTGATCACAAATTCCAATCATGACCTTTTAATAGAAATTAACAAGCTTATCTTTTTTTTTTCTCTCTCTCTCGAGACGGAGTCTTGCTCTGTCACCCAGGTTGGAGTGCAATGGCACAATTTCGGCTTACTGCAACCTCCACCTCCTGGGTTCAAGTGATTCTCCTGCCTCAGCCTCCCAAGTAGCTGGGAATACAGGTGCATGCCACCACGCCCAGCTGATTTTTTGTATTTTTAATAGAGATGGGGTTTCACCATATTGGCCAGGCTGGTCTCAAACTCCTGACCTCATTATCTGCCCGCCTCAGCCTCCCAAAGCACTGGGATTACAGGCATGAGCCACTGCGCCCAGCCTAACAAGCTTATCTTAAAAATCAAATGAAAAAAAATGGGAAAGGATCTGAACAGGCATTTCTCCAAAGAAGATATAATTACAGCCAATGAGCTTATGGAAAGATGCTCAACATCATCAGACATTAGGAAAATGTAAATCAAAACCACAAGAAGTACTACCAGTCACACTCACTAAATTGTTTCCTTTAAAATGACTAACATTATGTGATGTGAATTTCACATTGATAAAAAGTAATTTTTAAGATCTAATAGAAGAATGCCCAAAATAGATGAGAAATGTTTGCAAAAGAGTAACGAGAAAAGACCTGCTCTATCAAATTGAAAAACATCCTATGACACACTAGTAATTAAAAGATTATGATATTCAACTGGAAATTGGCAAAGACATCATTAGAAGGAAACAGAGAGTCTAGAAACAGACCTTAGGGAAATTATTTTAAAAGTATTTCAAATCACTAGGAGAGAGAACCACTCAAATGGTAATAGCACACCTGGCTATCTGTTTGAAGAAAAGTTAGATTCTTACTACACATAAAAAATAGGCCGGGCGCAGTGGCTCACGACTGTAATCCCAGCACTTTGGGAGGCCGAGGTGGGTGGATCACAAGGTCAGGAGATTGAGACCATCCTGGCCAACATGGTGAAACTCCATCTCTTCTAAAAATACAAAAAGTAGCTGGGTGTGGTGGCAGGTGCCTGTAATCCCAGCTACTCAGGAGGCTGAGGCAGGAGAATCGCTTGAACCCAGGAGGCAGAGGTTGCAGTGAGCCGAGATCACACCACTGCACTCCAGCCTGGCAATAGGGCAAGTCTCTGTCACAAAATAAATAAATAAATAAATACCTGACTCCGTCCCTAAATAAATAAATAAATAACCTTCAGGCCTGGCACAGTGGCCTTGGGAGGCCAAGGCAGGTGGACTGCTTGAGCCCAAGAATTCAAGACCAGCCTGGGCAACATGGTGAAACCCCATCTCTACAAAAAATACAAAAATTAGCCGGGCATGGTGGTGAATGCCTGTAGACCTAGCTACTCGGGAGGCTGAGATGGGAGGGGATCACCTGAGCCCAGGAGGTCAAGGCTGCAGTGAGCTGAGATCATGCTACTACACTCCAGCCTGGGTGACAGAGTGAGACCCTGTTTCAAAATAAAAAAATAAATTAAATAAAAATAAATAAATAAAATAAACTGTAGGTGGCTTAAAGTGCTAAATGTTGGAAGTAAAATTATAAATACAGTAAGAACATAGGAAAAATAGCTTAAAACCTAGGAGTAAAGAAAGTCTTCTTAGTTAAGACGCAAAATACAGATGTCATAATGATGAAGTCTCAAATTTTAAAAATCAAAAACTTCTGTAAGCCAAAAGGAATCATAAAGACAAATCAATTGACTAGGAGAAAATATTTCTAACACATAGGAGTCCAAGGATTAATATACAGAATATGTAAAGACCTACAATCAATATGAAAGAAGCAACTCCATTAAAACAAAATTGAAATTTTAAATGTAAAAACAGGTAAAAGAAATATTCTAATTTAATTGTATGTAAAGGAGACATTCTAATTTAATTGGTCAGTGTTTGCACACAGGTGTGAATATTCTTAAAGCTCCCCTCCCCTGGTGATTCTTATACACAAGGTAAAGAAGCACTGGGCCACACCTATTTGAGGAGCAGGAGGTGTCTCAGCCTGCCCAAGGCGAGGTAAAAGAGGAAAAAGCTAACACCCCCTTGAAGAGCTCCTCTGCAATGGGTTCCAGAGTGAGGATGGTGGAGTGCATGGAGACAGAATGCCTTAAAGGAGACTGGTTTCTTTTTATCCACTAGGAAATCATTCTCTTTTACTTCCACAAGACCGAAACATATAAATCATATTCTCTGAGATGAATAAGGAAAATTACTACAAAATAAACTTATACGTCTATGTGGAAGCAGCCCACGATTATTTGCAAAATCTGACCAAAACAAACACATTTGACGCTATGGGAAAAAAGCAAATCACATAAAAATATCTGCACTGTGATTCCATTTGATTAGTGTCAAAAACATGTAAAATTAAACCACAGTTTAGGGATACAAACTATGTGGTTCAAGTATAAAGAAAACACAAAATTCAGATTACCTCAGAAAGGAGAAAGGCACGGAGATCTTCAATGGCAACGATAATTTTGTTTTCTTAATCTGGTGGTTGTGTACATTGGGTATTCATTGTCCTGCTATTCTATATACCTTACACATATTTTGCATACATTACTTTGTAACTTTTCAATTACCAACAAATAAGACTATAGAATGCATATAAAAACATACATAGTCTTTTAATTCTAGACTCAATCTTTTCCACTGAAAATCTGCCAGGTTCTATCATGTCCTTCTATCACCTTCTAGGAGTTAACAAAAACCTCGATTTTCATCTTTTCTTCTGAAGTTGTATCACAAGGAGACTCATGGAGGTAGGGCAGGGATACAAGAAAGGGCAATGGATCTTCTGATCAAACACAAACCACTGACAATCACTTCAGACCAGAACTCAAGAATAAAAACAAAAAACATGTGTAACACAATTAAAAGCACTGCAAGAAGAATGAGACAATTTTAACAGCTAGATAGTTTTCCATTAATTATTTTCTAACTGATCAAAATTCCATGAAACCCATTTGAAATCTCAGCTTTCAATTCCTTTGAGATACAAATATTACACTGAGTCCAATTGAGTATTTGCAGTGTCAGAGCAAATTCTACATGTGGTGGGTAGTTTTGAGTTCAAGGACAGTGTCACATGTATTCCTTCCTACTGGCCAGAAGTTTCGAAGTCCCCGAGAATCAGGCCTGGGCTCTGCCCACAATACTATAATCTGAGTGTTCCTTTCATTAGCACAGTACAAGATCACACAATGACCCTTAAGCTGAGGCAGGATCCTGGATGCCTGAGGAAGTGGGATACTCTTTGGGTATGGTAAAAGCCAAAGGCTGAGACAATCAATAAATTAATTAGCATGAAGTATGCTGACTTCTTTGGAAGGAATTTTATGAACACAGGATTTAAGACTTCTTATACAATAAACAATACAATCACAAGTGCTAATAAAGTAGAACTAAGGGTGCTACAGCATGAAAATGTTATCAATCAATCAATAAACCTCTGAATTAATTATATATAAGATTGTACAGACAGACGGTCCTCAACTTATGATGGTTCAACTTACAATTTTTCAACTTTACAATGGTGCAAAAGCTATATTCATTCAGTAAAATTGTACTTCAAGGACCCCATGACCAGTTTTTCACTTTCAGTGCAGTATTTAATAAGTTACATGAGGTATTCAACACTTTATTATAAAAAAGACTTTGTGTGGCCGGGCGCGGTGGCTCACACCCGTAATCCCAGGCGTGGGAGGCTGAGGCGGGCGGATCACGAGGTCAGGAGATAGAGACCATCCTGGCTAACATGGTGAAACCCCATCTCTACTAAAAATACAAAAAATTAGCTGGGCGTGGTGGCGGGCACCTGCTGTCCCAGCTACTCGGGAGGCTGAGGCGGGAGAATGGCATCAACCCGGGAGGCGGAGCCTGCAGTGAGCCAAGATCGCGCCACTGTACTCCAGCCTGGGCAACAGAGCGAGACTCTGTCTCAAAAAAAAAAAAAAAAAAAAGGCTTCGTGTTAAATGATTTTGCCAAACTTTAGGCTAACATAAGTGTTCTGAACACATTTAAGGTAAGCTAAGCTAAGCTATGATGTTCAGTAGGTGTATTACAATCATTTTCAATTTGTAATTTTTTTTTTTTTTTGAGAGAGGGTCTCGCTTTGTTACCCAGGCTGGAGTACAGGGGTGAGATTTCAGCTCACTACAACCTCCACCTCCCAGGCTCCAGTGATCCTCCCACCACAGCCCCCCAAGTAGCTGGGACTATAGGCACGCACCACCATATACCCAGCTAATTTTTTGTATTTTTGGTAGAAACAGGTTTCACGTTACCGAGGTTGGTCTCGAACTCCTGAGCTCAAGCAATCTGCCCGCCTCAGCCTCCCAAAGTGTTAGGATTACAGGCGTGAGCTACCGTGCCTGGCCCAATCTATGACATTTTCAACTTATGATGGGTTTATTGGAATGCAACGCCATCAGAAGTCAAGAAGGATCTGTATTAGGGAATTAAAGGAAATTTTAAAAGATACCTTCCCTGGATCAGAAGCATACAGTAGTTAAATAGAAAAGAGTTGTAATGTACACTATAGGGGTGATGGGTACACTAAAAGCCAACACTTCGCCACTATGCAATTCATCCATGTAAAGAAAGCCTCTTGTACCCCTAAAACTATTGAAATAAAAACTGAAATAAATACTCCACAATTCAATCCAACCTCCCTTCTCATCTGCTTTCCATATTCACATTTACTTCTTAAACAGGGGTGTGTGTGTGTGTATGTGTGTGTATGTCTAAGAGAGAAAGAGGAGAGAAAAAGAGAGTAAGAGAGAGAGAGAAGAAGAAGGAGGACTGGGAATGAGAACATAGAAATAAGTGAGAATAAAGAACAGGAAAGTAATAGTTATTAGAATTGTATTCCAGAAAAGCATTACCTCCAGGGCCTCTAAGGGAGCTTTCTTTCTCTAACCACATCCCTCTCCTCACTCCCTCAAGCTTGCAAGACTGCTCTTCCTTCTTCTAACTTCTGGTCCTTCATCCCTCATCTTTTTTTTTTTTTTTTTTTTTTTTGAGGCGGAGTCTCGCTCTGTCGCCCAGGCTGCAGTGCAGTGGCGCAATCTCAGCTCACTGCAAGCTCTGCGTCCTGGGTTCACGCCATTCTCCTGTCTCAGCCTCCCAAGTAGCTGGGACTACAGGTGCCTGCCACCACGCCTGGCTAACTTTTTTGCATTTTTTTAGTAGAGATGGAGTTTCACCATGTTAGCCAGGATGGTCTCAATCTCCGGACCTCGTGATCCGCCTGTCTCAGCCTCCCAAAGTGCTGGGATTACAGGCGTGAGCCATGGTGCCCGGCCCATCCCTCATCTTTTTTTTAACCTCTCAGTTGAGCAACCCCATTTCTGCTTTCCCTTCCCTGGATTCTTAGCCTCAAAGAGATATAATATATAATAATAATATTGGAAAGAAATTATAGAATCCTGTTCCAACTGCCTCAGAGTCCAGAGCTCTTCATGCTAGTGACCTCATTATTTTGCACAGAGTCCCCTGAAGGGCCTGGTCAGAGGTTTCCTACATTCTTTTAGCTTGGCACTCTGGCATGGGCATAGTCCAGGGACACATTCCAATTTCCTAAAGCTGAAAAGTCCCATCTGAGATTCTAAGATCTTTACTAAAACTAACCTTAATTGAATGCCGTTCAAAAGTGTAAACAGTAGATAAACCAGTTCAACTCTATACCCAAGTATTTGTTAAATTATGGTGAGACAAACGATAAAACTACTCATTTTTCAATAATTATTGTATTGTATTGAAGACTTTCCTTTATAAAAGGAAAGCAACCAAACGGATACAATAGTCTGAAGGGCATATATGTTTTCTAAATAAATAACATTAGTAATTACTTCTCTGAATACTATATCACTTTACTGTATTTTTAAGAGATGATTTGTTTATTCTATTAGCCTAAGAGATCAGAAGATTATAATACATCCTTTTATCACTTATAATTTGAATAGCTTTATGTTCTGATAGCATTTACAATCAAGAAATATAAGCATTATTGATTCTAACATCTCCAAATCCCAGCATTTCTAAGTAAATAAATACATATACCTTACATGTTTGAGGAGACAGCTATGTAAAAAAATTTTTTTAAAAAAGAATTGTATTCCATATGTTCAAGAAGCTAAAGACTGGCTATGTTAAGAGACCTGGGATATTAAAAAAAAAAAAAAAGATCCAAATTAAACTTCTAGAGATAAAAACCATGTCAACTGAGATGAAAAATACACTGAATGGGACAACAGATTAGACACCACAGAAAAAAAAAATTAGGAACTTCAAGATGTAGCAAGAGAAATTATCCAAAATGAAACAAAGAAGGAAAAAAGACTGAAAAAAAAATTGACAGCTGAGACCTTGAGGCTATTCCAGCCAGTCTGCTGCCAGGGACCCATGTTTTTGCTCCACTACTTAGAGCCTCCTGCCTTCCCCTAGGGAGGTGTCCTTCTGCTCCAGCTTCCCTCCCCTGTCCCTTTTTGGCCCCTATGTGCTCCTCTTTTACTTAGACTTGTGCACACAGAGACAAGCACACCCCCTTGTCCCCCACTTCACCAATTTCTGGTGGCTGAAATCCACCCTCACAGACTTCAAAGGAAGATATTCTTGAGATAATGAAAAGTAACATCTTTGCATATGAAAGGAAAAAGGTTAAAGTATATATATATATTTTTTTAACTGTATTAGGAACATGGGAAGCTTTTTAAAAACAAGGTTTTATTTACTGTAGAGATGAATGCAAGTCAGAACCAGTATCTCTTAGTCTACTTAATTAAAACCAGCTCATACATCCCTTAGGGGTTTATTATTAATTATTATTATTGTGGTTGTTGTTATAGTTGTTGTAATTATTAGTTGGGGTTTCTTTTGTTTTTCTTCACAGTTCTCCACATTAAACTCACAATATTGTGGGGAAAAGCCATAACTAAACTCTATGCTGCAGTGAGATATAGGAGTAATCAGCTCCCAGTAACATATGTAGCCCGAGTTGCAGCTTGTAATAATCACCAATGATTTAAAGCTTTTGGCTGGGTGTGGTGGCTCACACCTGTAATCCCAACACTTTGGGAGGTCTACGCAGGAGGATCCCTTGAGCTGAAGGAGTTCAAAACCAGCCTGGGCAACACAGTGAGACCCTGTCTCTATAAAAATAAAATTATATTTTAATGTAAATAAATAAAGCTTTATTTAGCCTTGATCTCTACCCTCATAGTCAGGTCTTCCCATATTTTATTACTGAAGTGGGAAAATGTATTATTTGTTTGTTGTTTTGCTTCTGTCCCAATATTAAACTATGAAATTTGTGATTTGTTTAAGTTCTGGGTGAATCACAGCTTTATCTGTATGTCCAGCTCATTTGTTTCTATGTATTTTGTTTGATTCTCTCTTTCTTTCAAGGCTTCTACAAAAATATATACGTGTGTGTGTGTGTGTATAAACATGTAAATATATACATACGGATCTTCTGAAAAGTGTGTTAAGTTCGTTCAAGTAATAGATAACTTTAATAGCCTTATATGGCAAAAAGGAATTGAATTTGCAGTTAAAAACTTTTCTACAAAGAAAACTTGAGACCAGATGGATTCACTGGTAAATTCCACTGAACATTTAAGGAAACTATACCAGTTCTATGCAAACTGTTCCAGAAAACCGAAGAAAAGGAACATTTTCCAATTCATTCAAGGTTTCCAGCGTTACCCTGATATCAAAAACAAAGATATTACAAAACACAGTTCAAACCAGTATCATTCATAAACAGAAATGCAAATTTTTTAAACCAGATTTTAGGAAATCAATTGCAACAATATATAAATAGAATAAGAATATGGCAGAATCAAGTGGGGTTTATCCCAGGAATGAAAGGTTACTTTTAGGACCAGGCATGGTGGTGCACACCTGTAATCCCAGCACTTTGAGAGGCCGAGGTGGGCAGATCACCTGAGCTCAGGAGTTTGAGACCAGCTTGGGCAACATGGTAAAACCTCATCTCTACTAAAAACAGAAAAATTAGCCAGGCCTGGTGGCACACACCTGTAGTTCCAGCTACTCGGGAGGCTGAGGCAGGAGAATCGCTTGAACCCAGGAGGCAAAGGTTGCAGTGAGCTGAGATTGCACCACTGCACTCCAGCCTGGGTGACAGAGCAAGATTCCATCTCAAAAAGAAAAAAGAAAGGTTACTTTTAATACAGTCATGCATTCCATAACGACATTTCAGTCAATGACAGACATATATGCTATGGCAGTCCCATAAGATTATAGGGAAGCTGAAAAATTCCTAACACCTGGTGACAGTACAGCCATCCCAACAGTGTAGCACAACCCACTAGTCATGTGTTTGTGTTGATGCTGGTGTAAACGAGTCTACTGTGGTGCCAGTCTCATATAAAAGTATGGCAGATACAATTACATACAGTATGCAATACTTGATAATAAGTGGCTATGTTACTGCTTTATGTATTTACCATACTTTTATCATTATTTTAGAGTATACTCCTATTTTTTATTTTTATTTATTTTTTATTTTTTTATTTTTTGAGACCGAGTCTCGCTCTGTAGCCAAGCTGGGGTGCAGTGGCGCGATCTCGGCTCACTGCAACCTCCGCCTCCCAGGTTCAAGCAATTCTCCTGCCACAGCCTCCTGAGTAGCTGGGATTACAGGTGCACACCACCACGCCCTGCTAATTTTTGTATTCCTAGTAGAGACAGGGTTTCACCATGTTGGCCAGGATGGTCTCAATCTCTTGACCTTGTGATCCATCCGCCTCGGCCTCCCAAAGTGCTGGGATTACAGGCGTGAGCCACCGTGCCTGGCCACTCCTACTTATTTAAAAAAGATGGGCCGGGCGTGGTGGCTCACACCTGTAATCCCAGCACTTTGGGAGGCGGAGGCAGGCAGATCACGAGGTCTGGAGTTTGAGACCATCCTGGGCCAACACGGTGAAACCCCGTCTCTACTAAAAATACAAAAACTGGGCAGGGTGCGGTGGCTCACGCCTGTAATCCCAGCACTTTGGGAGGCCAAGGCAGGCGGATCACAAGGTCAGGAGATCGAGACCATCCTGGCTAACACGGTGAAACCCGTCTCTACTAAAAATACACAAAATTAGCCAGGGGTGGTGGCGGGCGCCTGTAGTCCCAGCTACTCAGGAGGCTGAGGCAGGAGAATGGCGTGAACCTGGGAGGCGGAGCTTGCAGTGAGCCGAGATGGCGCCACTGCACTCCAGCCTGGGCGAGAGTGCGAGACTCCGTTCAAAAAACAAACAAACAAACAATGAGCTGGGCGTGGTGGCACACACCTGTAGTCCCAGCTACTCGGGAGGCTAAAGCAGGAGAATCACTTGAACCCGGGAGGCAGAGGTTGCAGGCAGAAGTTGCAGTGAGCCAGATCGCGCCACTGCACTCCAGCCTGGCGAAAGACTGAGACTCTGTCTCAAAAAAAAAAAAATGACAAAATAAACTGTACACCAAACCCCGACAACACACAATTTACCCATGTAACAAACCTGTACACGCACCTCCAAACCTAAAGTACAATTTGGAAATCAAATAAGTAATTTAACTGTAAAATGTTAACTATAAAACAGCCTCAAGCAGGTCCCTCAGGAGGTATCCAGAAGAAGGCACTGTTACTGGAGATGACAGCTCCATGCATGTACTGCCCCTGAAGACTTTTCAGCAGGACAAGATGTCAAGGTGGAAGAGAGTGATACTGATGAACCTGACTCTATGTAGGCCTAGGCTAACGTGTGTGTTTGTGTCTTAGTTTTTAACAAAAAATTTTAAAAAGTAATAAATAGAAAAAAGTTTATAGAATAAGGACATAGAGTATTTTTGTACAGCTGTACAATGTGTTTGTGTTTTAAGCTAAGTATTATTATAAGAATCAAAATATAAAAAATTAAAGTTTATAAAGTAAAAAAAGTCACAGTAAGCTAAGGTTAATTTATTATTGAAGAAAGAAAAAATGTTTTCTATAAATTCAGTATAGCTTAAGTGTACTGTGTTTGTAAAGTCGACAGTAGTGCACAGTAATGTCCTCGGCCTTCACACTCATTCACCACTCACTCACTGACTCACCCGAGCAACTTCCAAGCCTGCAACTTCCATTCATGGTCAATGCCCTATACAGGTGTACCATTTTTTTATCTTTTATATTGTATTTTTACTGTACCTTTTCTATGTATAGATACATCTAGATACATAAATACTTAGCATTCTATTACAATTGCCTATGGTATTAAATGCAGTCACATGCTGTACAGTTTTGTAGCCTAAGCGCCACAGGCTTTACCATATAGCCTAGGTGTGTAGTAGGCTACAACATCTAGATTTGTGAAAGTACACTCTATGAGGTTTGCACAACAAAATTACCTAACAATGCATTTCTCAGAATGCATCTCCATTGTTAGGCAACAAATGGCTGTATTTGAAAATCGATGCGATATTTCACCATATTAACAAATGAAAAGTGGCTGGGTGCAGTGGCTCACACCTGTAATCCCAACACTTTAAGAGGTGACAGTGGGAGGACTGCTTGTGCTCAGGAGTTCAAGGCCAGCCTCGACCACATAACAAGACCTCATCTCTACTAAAAAACAAACAAACAAAAAAAAATCAGCCAGGTGTAGTATGTGGTCCCAGCTACTTGGGAGGCTAAGGTAGGAGGACTGCTTGAGCCCCAGAGGTCAAGGCTACTGTGAACCACAGTCATGCCACTGCAGTCCAGCCTGGAAAACAGAGCAAGACCCTGTCTCGAAAAAAAAAAATCATATGATCATCACAGTAGATTCAGAAAAAGCACTTAACAAAACCCAATGTTCACTCTCGAAAAAAAAAAAAATCTCAGTAAACTAGAAATAGAAGAAAACTTCTCCAGTGATAAAATGCATATACAAATGGTGAAAGACTAAATGCTTTCTCCCTAAGAGAAGAAACAAGACAAGTAATCTGCTCTCACCATCTCTATTTAACATTGTTACTTGGGGATTGCAGCCAGTGCAATAAGAAAAAGAAATAAAAGCCTGGAAAGGAAGAATTAAAACTGTATTCACAGATGACATAATCTTTACATAGAAAATCCAATGGAATCTATTAAAAAGCTCTAGGACGCCAGGCGCAGTGGTTCACGCCTGTAATCCCAGCACTTTGGGAGGCTGAGGCGGACAGATCATTTGAGATCAGGAGTTTGACGCTGGCCTGGCCAACATGGTGAAACCCCGTCTCGACTGAAAATACAAAAATTAGCCGGGCGTGGTGGCACACACCTGTAATCCCAGCTACTCAGGAGGCTGAGGCAGAAGAATTGCTTGAACCTGGGAGGTAGAGGTTGCAGTGAGCCAAGATTGCGCCACTGCACTCCTACCTGGGCAATAGAACGAGACTCCAACTCAAAAAAAAAAAAAAAAAAAGGTCTAGGACTAATAAGAACTAAGTGAGCTTAGCCAGATTGATGGAGAAGATTAATGTAAAAAAATCAATCATATTTCTATATACTAGTGTCAATCAGAAATATAAATTTTAAAAATATAATTTTAATAGTGTATTAGTCCATTCTCACACTGATAGAAATACCCAAGACTGGGTAATTTATAAAGGAAAGAGGGTTAATTGACTCAGTTCCACACGGCTGGGAAAGACTCAGGAAACTATAATCATGGTGAAAGAGGAAATAGGCATGTCTTACACGGCGGCGGCAGGCAAGTGAGAGAGCATGTGAGAACAAAGGAAAAACTACCATTTATGAAACCATCAGATCTTGTGAGAATTCACTATTACAAGAACAGCATGGGGGAAACCAGCCCCATAATCCAGTTACTTCCCTCCCTCGACACGTAGGGATTACAATTCAACATGAAATTTGGGTGGGGACCTAAAACCAAACCATATCAAATAGCACCAAAAACTATGAAATACTTACGGATAACTAAACATTGACAGTTTTCTTAAAGGTTAAGCATATACCTATTATATGATCCAGCCATTCTACTCCTAGGTATTTAACCAAGAGGAATAAAAACATATGTCCATACAAAGCCTTGTAAACAAAATTTTTATAGAAGCCTTATTTGTTAATAACTAAAATTGGAAACAACCAACATGTCCATTGGTAGGTAAATGTATTAATAAACTGAGGTACATCCATACAATGCAATATTACTCAGCAATAAAGAGGAATCAGCTACTAATACACTTAACAACAGGGATGACTCTCAATTATGCTGAGTGAAAGAAGGATAACTACATATTGTGTGGTTCCATTTATATAAAATAAGAGGAAATTCTAGGAAATGAAAGTTAATGTACAGTGATAAAAACATCAGTTAGGCCAAGCGCAGTGGCTCACGCCTGTAATCCCAGCACTTGGGAGACCGAGGCGGGCGGATCACGAGGTCAGGAGATCAAGACCATCCTAGCTAACACAATGAAACCCCGTCTCTATTAAAAATACAAAAATTAGCTGGGCATGGTGGCAGGTGCCTGTAGTCCCAGCTACTGGGGAGACTGAGGCAGGAGAATGGTATGAACCTGGGAGGCGAAGCTTGCAGTGAGCCAAGATCATGCCACTGCACTCCAGCCTGGGTGACAGAGCAAGACTCTGTCTCAAAAAAAAAAAAAAAAAATCAGTTATCTGGGATAGGGATCAGGGAGCCAGGGGTATGAAAACAGCTTTGGGCATAATAGATATGATCAATGTCCTGTTTGTGATGATAGTCTTACAAGTACACACATATGTCAAAACTTAACAAACTGTACACTTTAGAGTTTATAACCTGTCAACTATACCTCAATAAATCAGTCTTAAATCAATCAAATAAATTTTTTAAATAAATCAAAAAAATATGGTCTTAACCAATAATAATCCTACACAACACAAATTGGGCCCTAATTCATTTATTAAAAATTGTTTTTTGTTAATAAGACATATTTCAGTCATAAAACTTATAAGGCATCCTTACTTGCAAACTATTATAAAAGACTGATTTGAACTGGCAAAAATTCAGTGAAACATAAAGAAAATAAATGCATTATTTCAACAAAAAAATCTCAGAACAATTCTTTTTTTCATTTACAAAACTTAACTAAAATTAAAAAGAAACATGTAAATTTCTGACCTTGTTTAATACTGTGCCATAAGTAAAAGGATTAAACAAAAATAATAATAGCTCCTTCTTGGTATAACTGTTGCTAGAGTTTTGCATTCAACCTTTTAAAAGTGATTAAAGCTAACAGTGGCAGACATCAGAGAAAAAGGCAACTATTTCCCATGTGGAAAGCTGGTCCCTAAAAAAATGAAGTTAAACAGAAATGTTTGGGGCTTCTCTCTGAATCCCTCAGCATCTAGATAATCACCACAAACTTCTCCTCACCAAAGCCTAATGGGAAATAGAAACAATCCAATTTCATTAGAGGAGGACCAAAAAGGAACTTATAATGCAGAATTCTTCAATTAGCATTATATAACTTCCTGCCTCATCCGGTTTGGGTCACACAACCTCTCCGTGTCTACCAGACACTCCACCAATACTTTACTGAGGGCAGGGTACTTCATCAGCCCTTCTCCCCTCATGATTTCATCAGAGATAATTTCAAGGTACTTTGCACCACATGAAGTCCCTTCCTACCAGTGTGACCAGTGTCTCATCTGTCATCATTAGTACATCCCAGAGGCAGCCTGTTATTAGGGCAAGAAAGAAATCAAAAGTAGGTGGACTAACAGTTGACTAAACTTCATCAAGTCTTGCCTCAACATAACTGGTCACGTAATAACTACTCTAAGGCATCAAGTTCTTGCTATGGTTCCAAATAAAATACCTTCTATACGAAAAACCCTTCAAATCCTTCTACTTCATGTTACATGACAAAAAGGAGCATCTTCTGCCATTCTACCACCACTCTCAGTTTAATAAAGACAACAAGATTTCTGGGATGGGCACAGTGATTCATGCCTGTAACTCCAATATTTGAGAGGCTGAGGCAGGAGGATCACTTGAGGCCAAGAGTTTCAGACAAGCCTGAGCAACATAGCAAGACCCTGTCTCCACAAAAAAAAAAAAAAAAAAAAAAAAAAAAAAAAAATGTTTTTTAACTAGCTGGGCATGGTGGCTCATGCCTGTAGACCCAGCTACTCAAGAGGCTCAGGTGGGAAGATCACTCGAGCCTGGGAGTTCAAGGTTACAGTGAGCTATGATCACACTACTGCACTCCAGCCTGGGCAGCAGAGTGAGATTCTGTCTCAAAAAGGCCAGGCACAGTGGCTCAGTGGCTCACGTCTGTAATCCCAGCACTTTGGGAGGGCAAGGCGGGTGGATTGCTTGAGGTCAGGAGTTTGAGACCAGCCTGGCCAACATGGTGAAACCCCGTCTCTACTTAAAATACAAAAAATTAGCCAGGCGTGGTGGCGTGAGCTTGTAGTCCCAGCTACTCACGAGGCTGAGGCTGGAGAATCACTTCAGCCCACAAGGCGGAGGTTGCAGTAAGCTGAGATCGTGCCACTGCACTCCAGCCTGGGCAACAGAGTAAGTCTCTGTCTCAAAAAAAAAAAAAAAGAAGAAGAAGAAGAATTCTGGTCAAGTCTCCACTCCCTGACATCAGCAAAAATGGTATCGATGGCCAGACCTCAGAGGGATCTATCCACTCATTCCAGGCCCAGTTTTACTTTTACTCATGCTCAATAGCATTTCATGAAACTCCTTCTGTAAAACAAAAACTTTTTGAAGGATAAAATAAAAGGACAGGCTGGGCATGGTGGCTTACATCTATAATCCCAGAACTTCGGGAGGTTGAAGCAGGAGGATCGCCTGAGCCCAGAAGGTCGAGGCCACAGTAAGCCGTGATCTCACCACTGCACTCCAGCCAGGGCAACATGGACGTGGCATCAGAGGGTCTGCTTTGATTAGAGCACTGTTCTCTTCCTGTGCATCTTGTAGACATCAGTTAAAATGTCATTTCAGTGATTTCTCTAAAACACTTGTCACAGCCATAGTTTTGCATTTGTGTGATTATTTGAGTATCATCTGCTGAGGACAGAGATCATATGTGCATTCACTCTCCCCCATCTCCAAGGCCAAGCATAGTGCCTGGTACCAAGTAAGCACTCAAATATTATATTTGATGATTAAGTGAATAAATGAACACTAAGTCTATAAGAAAGCAACAAAACATCTTTTAAGAGGACTTAAAAGTTTGATCATCTTCACAAATGTATCTTTGGTGGATGCCCAAAGCAACTGAGTCCCCTTATTAAACATTAAACTCAAAAAAAAAAAAAAAGTCAATTCAGATGTCTACATAAATTGCTCTGGCCTTCAATGTCTCAAGGCAAATGCTGAGCATCAAAGGCTGATAGGCTAAACACACACACTCTCCTTATGTAAAGCATACCTACTGGTTGCTAAGTAACAGTTGTTTTTGGTAATTCCTGATACTACCGCTGCTACATAGGAAGCACTTCAGAAATACCAGTCAAATAAAAAAGAGCAACATTTCACAAGACTCTTGAGCATGAATGAAACAGTAACTACTTAAACTGTGGTGTTTCATATAAACCTAACACCAAATGCAGAAGCAAAGAAACTCTAAGTGGCAAAGCCCTCAGCTAGTAACTTCACTATTTTAGATGTCAAACAGGAAAAATGTCATATAGATTTGTACTAAGACTATTTGAAAGAAATAGGTCACAAATCAAGTGACCTGAAAGCATTAAATAAGAACTTCGAAATGCCACATGGAACTATTTCCCAAACTCTTAAGAATATAAGGAAAGGAATTAGGACTTCCTGTCCTCTCCAATACAAATACAAATTATATCTGTACTTTAGAGACAAATCAAGTCCCATTTAATCCAGAAATGATTTCTCCACCCTCTGACCTACTACAGCACTTAATATCCGTACCACATATTTTGCATTTAAACAAATGTCCATTTCATTGCTTTCCTAATAATTTCATGTGTGCACTTTTCTTTTATATCCTTTAAAGTGTATAATGCTGTAGATGCTTAATAAAGTTATTAAATTGGAATGAAATTATAGTTTTAAATGAATTTTGATATAGAAACTCCCACATTTTATTCCCAAATAATGTCATTTCCAAAAACGGTTCACACGCCTCAGTTTTAGCTCCATCATCATCAGATTAAAAATAAAGTCGTTATCCAACCATGTTCAAATAAGGCTTACAGTTTTCTTAGTACAGCTCATTCAAACTCAAATCAGGGGAGGTTTTCCAGTGCCATAGTGTCTTCTGAAGTGTAAGTCCATGCTATTAACAACACCTGCTCCTACTTTCTTCAATGTAGCAAATTTCACTTGAAATATTTCTCAAACCTCAAACCTAGTCAGTCCCGGGAAGATTTCCTTCTGCAGAAAACTTGTAAGCACAAAAATCTAAGCTACAGAATATACTAACCACACCTCACTCACAACTGGGAAGCAAATTCCCCAGAAAAGGATCAGTTCAAGATGTACAATTAAATGAGTCTCACACCTATAGAACAATGGAACAGAACAGAAAACTCAGAAATAAAGCCACACACCTACAACCATATGATCTTCAACAAACTGACAAAAAACAAATGGAGAAGGGACTCCCTATTCAATAAATGGTGCTGGGATAACTAACTAGCCACATGCAGAAGATATAAAACTGTATATATTTCATGATATACATAATGGGTTAAAGATTTAAATGCAAAGACCTCAGTCAGGCACAGTAGCTCATGCCTGTAATTCCAGCACTTTGGGCAACTGAGGCAGGCAGATCTTTTGAGCCTAGGAGTCAGAGACCAGCCTGACAACATGGTAAAAACCACATCTCCATAAAAAATACAAAAATTAGCCGAACGTGGTAGTGCGCACCTGTAGTCTCAGCTACTCGGGAGGCTGAGGTGGGAGGATCACTTGAGCCTGGGAAATCGAGGCTGCAGTGAGCTGCAGTCACGCTACTGCACTCCAGCCTGGGTGACAGTGAGACCCTGTCTCAAAATAAAATAAAAGACCTCAAGCTATAAAAATCCTAGAAGAAAACCCAGGAAATACACTTCTTGACACTGACCTTGGCAAATTTTTGGCTAAGTCCCCATAAGCAACTGCAGCAAAAACAAAAATTGACAAGTTGGAACTAATTAAACTAGAGCTTCTGCACAGCAAAAGAAATTATCAACAGATTAAACAGACAACCTACAAAATGGGCGAGAATATTCACAAACTATGCATCTGACAAAGGTCCAATATCCAGAATCCCTATGGAACTTAAATCAACAAGCAAAAAACAAATAAGCCCATTTTTAAAAATGGCCAAAGGACATGAACACTTCTCAGAAGAAATACAAAAAGAAAAAACCACGACATACAAGCAGCCAACAAATATATGGAAAACATGATCATGACTAATTATCAGAGAAATGCCAATCAAAACCACAATGAAATACCATCTCACACCAGTCAGAATGGCTATTATCAAAAAGTCAAAAAACAACAGATCCTCATTAGGCTCCCTTGGAAAGGGAACATTTAAACTACTGTTGGTGGGAATGTAAATTAGTTCAGCCACTGTGGAAAGCAGTTTGGAGATTTCTCAAAGAACTTAAAGAGCCACCATTTCACCCAGCAATCCCACTGTTGGGTATATAACCAAAGGAAAACAGACCATTATACCAAAAAGACATATGCAGTTGTATGTTCACGGCTGAGCTATTCACAATAGCAAACACACGGAATCAACCTAGGTGACCATCAATGGTGGACTGGAAAAAAAAAATGTGGATGTACAGGATGGAATACTATGCAGCCACAAAAAAGGAAGATATCATGTCCTTTACAGCAGCACAGATGGAGCTGGAGGCCATAATCCTAAACGAATTAGCACAAGAACAGAAAACTAAACACCACACGTTCTCACTTATAAGTGGGAGCTAAACATTGAGCACACTTACAAGTGGGAGTAGAAACATTGAGCGCACATGGACATAAACATGGGAACAGTCGGCCGGGTGCGGTGGCTCACGCCTGTAATCCTAGCACTTTGGGAGGCCAAGGCGGGCGGATCACGAGGTCAAGAGATCGAGACCATCCTGACTAACATGGTGAAACCCCGTCTCTACTAAAAATACAAAAAAATTAGCCGGGCGGGGTGGCGGGCGCCTGTAGTCCCAGCTACTCGGGAGGCTGAGGCAGAAGAATGGCATGAACCCAGGAGGCGGAGCTTGCAGTGAGCCGAATCGCGCCACTGCACTCCAGCCTGGGCGACAGAATGAGACTCCGTCTCAAAAAAAAAAAAAAAAGGTAACGGTAGACACTGTAGACTACTGGAAGGAGGGGAGAGATGGGGGATGTGGGTTGAAAAACTACCTACTGGGTTCTATGCTCAATACCTGGGTGCAATATACCCATGTGACTAACCTGCATGCGTATCCCCCATATCTAAAAGTTTATTAAAAAAAAAAACTCTCTATGATCAATAAAGGAGATAAAGTGTATCACTGTGGAAAGCGCAAACGTCAAGGACATGTTATAATTAAGCGGCTGCCCTTCAAGATTCCCGAGGCTCCCCATCCCTGCCAGTCCTGAACATCTCGATCAAGACCCTAGAGAACGCGTCCACAGGTGACCCGAGCCTCGGGAGGCGTCCTCTCTACAGCAACAGGCTCTAATTCTGGTCTCGCTCCCCTCACGCCATCCTAGGCTACAAGGGCCCCGGCGCTATAAGCGCGGCCTGGGAGGCCGGGTCGGTCAGGAGCGGAGAGTGGGGAGCTGGGGACATTGAGGGAGATGCGGGACAGGGAAGACGCGTGGGCCGGGGAGCAACGCCAGAGGCGGAAGACGCTCGTCCCGGGCCGCCACCACAGGTGCCGGGCGAAGCGCCGCGGAGCCCCCCAGAGGCCAGACCCCGGGTCGGTCCCGAGGGGGTCGTGCAGCACTAGGCGGTGCAGGGGGCAGGCGAGTGAGGGCCTCACCGTTTCTCCCCGGAGGCCGGCGCCGCCGCAGTCCCGCAGTTGCTAAGGAGAATGCTCTTCCGGGTCACGGGCGCGGCGTTCTAGAGAGCGACGGTGGCCGGGCGAGGCCGAGAGCGAAGCGCGCGGGGTGTGTGCGCGGTGCAGGAGCTCGTAGTCGGCGGTTCAGCTGCGACAAGGGCGAAATGGCCAGGCCAGGGGCCGCCGCGCCTTCTCCGGCCTCGCTCGCGGGGACAACTGGCTGCAACGGTTGGCTCCCAGTGGGCGGCCTCTGAGACGCCTTGTGCCAGGCGCCGGCTGGCTCCGGGCCCCTCTTCCACCGGAAGGAGCCTTCCAGACCCGGCTCCTGAACCTCCAGGCTCTGCTCCACTGGGCCAGGTCTTGCACGGCAGACGCCGCCGGCCCCTTTCCTGTTACAAGGCTTTGCTCATTCTTTCATTTACTCACTGCTCATTTATTGGACAACTGCTTGGGGCGAGGTGCAGTGCTGGCACTGGGGATACAGAGATGGACAACCCCCGCATGGTCCCTGCCCTCAGGATGTGAGGCTGATGGCAGAGCAAGCAGATGACGTCCTGCACGTGGGGATGATCGAAGGAAAGGAGACTAGGGGAGCCTGCCCAAGGGGCCCACCCAGACACGGGTGGGGAGCAGCTGATGTTGGAGACGTCGACCTAGTATAAAGGGTTGGGAAGAGGGTTTCAGGTGAGAGAGGAAGCGCAGCCGAGAAAGCCCCCGACAGTTCAGCCCGCCCAGGGAAGCGTGTTGAGAGGAAACAATCGTTAAGTACGGGACCTAGGAAACACCAATATTGTAGATGTGAGCAAAGGAAAAGGAAATCCAAAGAGCAGCCAGAACGTTCGGGAGAGCACAAGAGGAAAGAATGCCAGTGAGGGGATGGCCGCCATTCTCAAGCTATGGAGATCAAGTGTCCATTGGTGACCATAGAAAAATCAAACTTCCCTTTGGGAGGCCGAGGCGGGCGGATCACCTGAGGTCGGGAGTTCGAGACCAGCCTGATCAACATGGAGAAACCCCGTCCCTATTAAAAATAATAAATTAGCCAGACGTGGTGGCACATGCCTGTAATCCCAGCTACTCAGGAGGCTGAGGCTGGTGAATCGCTTTAACCCCGGAGGCGGAGGTTGCAGTGAGCCGAGATCGCACCATTGCACTCCAGAAAAAAAAAAAGAGAGAGGGAAGGAAAGACGGGAGGGCAGGGCAGGGTAGGGATCAAACTTCGGGAATACAATGTGGACAGATGCTTGAACCACCGTATGCTCCATATTGAAAAAGGAAAAGAGATGCATTAAATTGTGCCTATATTTCTCTTTTTTTTTTTTTTTTTTTTTTTGAGACGGACTATCGCTCTGTCGCCCAGGCTGGAGTGCAATGGTGCGATCTCGGCTCACTGCAACCTCCGCCTCCTGGGTTCAAGCAGTTCTCCTGCCTCAGTCCCGAGTAGCTGGGACTACAGGCGCGTGCCACCACTCTCGGCTAATTTTTGTATTTTTAGTAGAGACGGGGTTTCACCGTGTTAGCCAGGATGGTCTCACTCTTCCGCCCATCTTGTCCCAAAGTGCTGGGATTACAGGTGTGAGTCACCGCACCCGGCCAGTGCGTTGCAGTAGTCTAAGAAAATTCAGGGTTTCCCTTAGTAACTATGAGCTCCATGAAGGTGGAAAACTTTGCATCTGCAGTACCTGCCACACACACAGGCCTCAATCGATGTTTGCTTAAAGACTAAATGAACCCAAGGAACCTTTGTTTTTTAATGTTCACACAGACCTTTCTAGAACCCTCAGGAAAACTGTGATTTCAGCAAAACTTGTCTTTGAAATGTAGAGGGTAGAGGAAACCCAGCAAGGACAGGAGGCAGAGGGTGTCAGGCATCCAGGGATTCAGTGGATAGGAGAGGGGCCAGTGGGGACAGGAAGGGGAAGACCTAGAAGAGGAAGAGAACAAAGGATTGAAATAAAATCTGTGGCCGGATGCAGTGGCTCATGACTATAATCCCAGCACTTTGGGAGGCCAAGGCGGGCTGATCACTTGAGGTCAGGAGTTCGAGACCAGCCTGGCCAACATGGTGAAAACCTGTCTCTACTAAAAATACAAAAAATTAGCCAGGCATGGTGGTGGGGGCCTGTAGCCTCAGCTACTCGGGAGGCTGAGGCAGGAGAACTGCTTGAACCTGGGAGGTGGAGGTTGCAGTGAGCCTAGATCGGGCTACTGCACTCCAGCCTGGGAGACAGAGCAAGACTCCGTCTCAAAAAATAAAAAAATAAAAAGAAAACCTGAGATTTCAGGACTAGAAATAGGAGGTGAAGCCAAGGAAACCAAAAATAATTAAAAGTAGGAATAGAGAATCAAGGACAAGAGCAGAGGAAGTAGGGCTGAGACCATTATTTTCCTTAAGTTCAACGGACAAATCTCATTTTGATTGGTCGTTTGTCAAAGTGTGCTGCCTGCCTTTGTATAGGCTACAGGGCTAGGGTGGACATATCACTGTGCCCTCTTTTTTTTTTGTGGGGGTCGGGGGATGAAGTCTCACTCTGTCGCCAGGCTGGAGTGGAGTGGTGCAATCTCGGCTCACGAGGCACATCCCACCACACCCAGCTAATTTTTGCATTTTTAGTAGAGACGGGGTTTCACCATGTTGGCCAGGATGGTCTCGATCTCTTGGCCTCGTGATCCGCCCACCTCGGCCTCCCAAAGTGCTGGGGTTACAGGCGTGAGCCACAGCGCCCAGCGCACTGTGCCCTCTTAAGTGATGTGAGCCCTGGCTTCCTCACGTGGGCTAAAGGAAGATCACAACACACTCTGGAGTAGACTTGCGGCAAGAGGCTTATCCCACTAGCATATGTTCGTTCAGTCCATTACTTCAGTATGTTCCTATTGAAACAAGTATTACAATAAGCTCCCTGAAAAGAGATAGAAGTAATATTCTCTGAAAGACAACAGATCTCTCCATAACAGATGTGACAGGTTATCTGTGTCAGAAAACCAATAAATTCAAAATGTATGGCTGAAGAATTTAGAAACACCAAAATATGGGTCAAGTGGGCTATCTTGGTCCTTTAGGAGTGCTATAACACAATACCATAGATTGAGTGGCTTATGAACAACAGAAATTTGTTTATCGTGGTTCTAAAAGCTGTGAAGTCCAAGATCAAGGCACTAGCAGATTCCATCTCTGGCGAACCATTTCCTGGTTCATAGATGGCCTTCTTGTCCTGTTGTGACGTGATAGGAAGAAGGCTAGCTAGCTGGCCTCTCACAGGCCTCTTCTTAGAAGAACACTAATCCCATTAGTAAGAACTCCACTCTCATGACCCAAGTACTTCCCAAAGCCCCCACCTCCAAATACCATCACACTGGGATTAGGGTTTCAACATATGAACTTTGAAAGAACACAGACATTTAGTCCATAACAGTCTGTTATGAAGTCCAAGCCTTTCTGGAAGTTTAGGGCTTGTACACAGCTGTGGTTGCCCCAGAACCTCTCAGTCCCAGCCTGACCTGAATTCTTAGCAACCACCACCCCTAACCCAGCCTTCTGGACTAACATCTACTCAGTCACAAAAGCAGACACCATGGGGTCATCCCTGACTCCACTTTCCCTCATCACCACGCCCACACCCTAACAATCCAGTCCCTGAGCAGGTTCTGAGGATTGTCTCCTCCCCACCCAATTCCACTGCCACCAAGGACAGTGAAAGAAGCAAACAACCAAGCAACTCAGGGTCAATAACAAGTGTTGCAACCTCAGAGATGAGTCAAGGTGATAAAGGTGGGGTGTGTGTGTGTGAAAGTGTAATAACCAAATCAAACACCAAAACTCCAAGGAGATAAGATGGAATACATTCATTCAACATATTTTAGTTGCCTTTCACATGATAATTTTATCATAAAGGCAGTAAAAGATAATGAAAGGACTATTAAAAAGGGTAAAGAAAAACTAAGAATCAAACACATTCCAAGAACCAAAGTGAAGCAGGATTTGCTGGCCTTTTCGAGGCCCCAGTTCTGTTGAGGGATATGTTAAAGTGCCAGGAGCCTGGCCTTCACCAAGGCTGAGAGCGCCATGGTGAATAGAAAAGGTGTCTCACCATTCCCATATCTACTGTTTTTGGCGTCCTCAACTGCAACGACTACACCCATCCAGACCACTAATTCCAACATACAATTTTGGTCTGATTAAAGTCTATTTTTGCTCTTCTCTCAATTTAAACTTAATGTTTTTAAAAAATACATTTTCTTTTTTCTATATATAGTATTCTTTTTTCTCTTAAAATTTTTTTTTTTTTTTTTTGATACGGAGTCTTGCTCTGTCTCCAGGCTGGAGTGCAGTGGCGTGATCTCAGCTCACTGCAACCTCTGACTTCTGGGTTCAAGCGATTCTCCTGCTTCAGCCTCCCAAGTAGCTGGGACTACAGGTGCACACCACCATGCACAGCTAATTTTTGTATTTTTAGTAGAGACAGGGTTTCACCATGTTGGCCAGGATAGTCTGGATCTCTTGATCTAGTGATCCGCCTGCCTCAGCCTCCCAAAGTACTGGGACTACAGGCATAAGCCACCACGCCCAGCCTTAACTTTGAAAATCTAAATTCTATGAGAATATTTCTTTTTCTTTGGACTCTGAGGTCTTAGCTTAATTTCTCTTTTACCTTCTGGTTCCTATTTAAAATGTCATCTTTTTAAATATTTTACCTGTTAATTTTATTTTATTGGGATGTTATCAACATATTATGCTTAACTTTTTAGGTTTAATTTTTTTGTTTTGTTTTCTAGTGCTTTCCTATTTTCTTTTTTAATTTCATAAATGCTACTTTAAAAGTGGATTTTATGCTTGAACCCGGGAGGCAGAGATTGCAGTGAGCTGAGATTGTGCCATTGCACTTCAGCCTGGGAGACAGAGCAAGACTCTAAAAAAAAAATAAGAAATTAAAGTGGATTTTAGAAAATTCCCTGATTTACAGTGTTGCCCTATTCTTTCTACATTTTTATTCCCACGTTTTTAGCTTTAAATCTGTCTTAATTTTTATATTCTGTCATCATCCTATTTTATCTTTTCTTTCTCCTGTCTTCTATCTTGCATATTTTTTTCTGGTTTTGAAATTTCTCTTTTAATCACAGACACATCTCACCAGCTACAAGTGGCATCTAATAATTTTTACGCTTTAAAAGAGAAAAAAAGAATGGCATTCAATTCACAAAACCCAGAATGCTTGTACCTTTGTTTTGTTGGGGAATTCACTGAAGAGGGAGGTACAAGATTTTACTTTCTTCTGTACCTTACTGCCTGCCAGAGACCAGCCTCATATGAAGCTGGTATAACAAAAAGGGATTTCTTGTGTTGCAAATCCAATACAGCAGCAATTCAGCATAGCACTTAGGACAGAGGGAGCCAAACTGCTGGGTTCAAATCCAACTCTACCAGTTACTCACTGTGTGTGACCTTGGACAAGTTACTCAACCTCTCTGCCTCTCTGTTTTCCTTGCCTGTGAAATGTAGATAATGATAGTCATATCACCTCATGAGGTTGATATGAGATTTAAATGAGTCAATGCATGTAAAGTACTTAGAACAGTGCCTGAGCACATTGTGAATATATATTTACTAACATTGTCATTTAATAAGAAGAGGTCACTCTTAGGAGTGAAAAATGACTACGTGGCCAGGCACAGTGGCTCACTCCTATAATGCCAGCACTTTGGGAGGCCAAGATGGGTGAATTGCTTGAGCCCAGGAGTTTGAGACCAGCCTGGACAACATGTCGAAAACCTGTCGCTACCAAAAAAATACAAAAATTAAGTGGGCGTGGTGGTGCACACCTGTAGACCCAGCTACTTGAGAGGCTGAGGTGGGAGGATCACTTGAGGTAGGAGGATCGCTTGAGCCTGGAGGCAGAGGTTGTGGTGAGCCAAGATTGCGCCACTGCACTTCAGCCTGGGTGACGGAGCGAGACTCCATCTCAAAAAAACAGGACTGTAAATTGACCATCCATGGAGTATATGGATTAGGGGCCCACTGGATCCAATCAGTTGAGCCAAGGAAACAGATTTACTTAGCGGAATTATGACTGCCCAGGTCGTAGGGGCTGGGGGGTTATGTATGTATACTTATCTGGAGGGAGGTGGCAATTTCAATGAAGGGCATGTAGGCAGGGAGAAATAATAGTCATATGTAGCATAGCCTGATATCTCCACAAATATGCATATTCCAGTCTGAAAGCAGGGATATATAGGTGTAATAAAATGTAACAATCATATTTTAAAATATTTAACAGGATTTAAAGCTGAACTTGCTGGTGTACAAAAGAAGGAAAAATAATAAAATATTTAACTGGAGAGAAAAGTTTTCAGAATACCCAAACAAAACAAAATGAAACCAAGAGGACCTGGCTAAGAAGAGAGAGGATGAGTAAATGACTCCCAAAATTCTGTATCTCTATATAAGAAAGAAAAATGGTTTTGAGTTACAACAGATATGAAAAATGGCCGGGCACAGTGGCTCACGCCTATAATTCCAGCACTTTGGGTGGCCAAGGTGGGCGGATCACCTGAGGTCAGGAGTTCAAGACCAGCCTGGCCAACATGGTGAAATCCCATCTTTACTAAAAATACAAAAATTAGCCAGGCATGGTGAGGGGAACCTGTAATTCCAGCTACTCAGGAGGCTGAGGCAGGAGAATCACTTCAACCTGGGAGGCAGATGTTGCAGTGAGCCGAGATGGTGTCACTGCACTCCAGCCTGGGTGACAGAGCAAGACTCTATCAAAAAAGAAAGAAAGAGAAAGAAAGAAAGAAAGAAAGAAAGAAAGAAAGAAAGAAAGAAAGAAAGAAAGAAAGAAAGAAAGAAAGAAAAAGAAAGAAAGAAAGAAAGAAAGAAAGAAGAAAGAGAAAGAGAGAGAGAGAGAGAGAGAAAGAAAGAAAGAGAAAGCAAGCGCAGGCTGTTTGGGGATAGGTCAGTCAAGAGAGAAAAACATGAGGAAATGGAGTTGTTCAAAAAATGTTACGTTGGGCTGGGCACGGTGGCTCACACTTGTAATCCCGGCACTTTGGGAGGCCTAGGCGGGTGGATCATGAGGTCAGGAGTTCAAGACTAGCCTGGCCAACATAGTGAAACCCCCTCTCTACTAAAAATACAAAAATTAGTCGGGTGTGGTGGCACGTGACTGTAGTCCCAGCTACTCGGGAGGCTGAGGCAGGAGAATCATTTGCTTCTCCCTGGAGGTGGAAGTTGCAGTGAGCCAAGACCTCACCATTGCACTCCAGCCTGGGCAACAGAGAGAGACTCCATCTGAAAAAAAAAAAAAAAAAAAAAGTTAAATTCAATCTCACATAAATGAATTTTTAAAACACTTAAATGAATTTTTAAAATGGAAATCCTTATGTTAAGTTAAAGAGAAAACAGAGAATTTTATTAACTGAGAAAAATACCAGAAAACACAATTACAACAATTATAAGATTACATGTAAATGGACCGAATTCTCCTATTTAAAAAATAAAATTACAAACTAGATTAAAAAGACAAAATCCACACATGCATCTCATTTTAAAACACACACACACTTAAAGAAAAAAGAATAATTTAAAAGCCTAGCATAGATAAGTCATGTTTGCACAAAGCAAGTGTAGTGAGTCCCAGCTTGACTGATTAAGTTATTATGTTCATCCCAGGAGTCCGGCATACCTAGGCATGCCCAAAACACCAGTGGGAGGACCCGCTGGAGGTCTATTTGCGTGAGGATCCAGGCCGCTAGGAAAGAATTCCTTCTTCAGACAAAGCCAAACAGAGGACCAAGGTTAACAGGTCAGAATGATGCTTTGTGAAGCAGGGAGGCTGCAGAGAGGGAGAGCCCCCAAAACAGGATATTGGCTTAAGGCAGCCCCTGCTCTGTAGCTTTTCAACAGAAAGGAGCATTAGCAGGGGAGAGTACTGTTGAAGCATGTTGGCATAAACTCTCAATAATACTCCATTCAATGGCCCCAAGCACAGGCTGCGCCCCAGCTCCACTGAGGAATCACCAGCAAGTCCCTGCACCTCAGAGGCCTCCATTTTTTCTTCTACAAAGGGATGTGATTGAACGAACTGCTCCAAAGAGGAAAAATTGGGAAACAAAGAGCTTTCTCAAGTGTACATGAAGCTTGTACAAAAATTAATTGCAATTTTGAAGACAGGTATTATTAGAAAAGATTTCACACATTGATTCAGACTGCAATTCAATAAATTACAGAGAAAGGCAATATACCACCATTTTGCACATGGCCAGATAAGAATGGAAGAAATACTCCGTGATAGAACAATCGAGTTGAAAAGACAGTGTTAAATATAGAGGCATTAATTTAAAACCAAAAAAGGTAACAGGTACATATTCAAAGCTGTATCAGAGGTACTTTTGTATCTTTCATTCCTATAAGAACAAGAAAGAAAGATCTACATCTAAATTTTTAAAATATATATAAGCAATAAATTTTAAAAGGCAGTAATAAATATGAAATCATAGAAATTAGAAAAGAATATGCCAAATAGCAAAACTAAGATAAAAATTAATTAATACAATATTTACAAACCACTAATACTAAGGTATAACCAACTAAATACCCAAAAGAATATAAGGGAAACAAAATTTGAAAACTACATAATCATTAAAATTATTGGGAAATTCTATTCAAAGTTAAACTTTAGTGAGTTTGAAATGTTAAAGGAAGTGAACAATTTTCCATGAAAACACAAGTAGAATAAGAAAACTCAGGTAGAACAACAGAAAAATTGGTAAAAGGGAAAGTTCAAGGAAGAAACAGAAAACTTATGCAATGAATATTTATAGAATGCATTCTATAAATATAAATGAATATTTATAGAATGCATTTATAGAATGCATTTTCAGAAAAAGGTGCCTAGACATGATAATGTTGCCATTAACATTTTCAATATTAAATAAATAAACAAAGCCCCATTTCATTTTTGAGGCCAATGTGGTCATTTTCTATCTACTTGTAAACATAAAGATTACAGTAAAATTTTTTTAATTTTTTAATTCATACATAAATTTACCACTTTTGCATACTTATTTTCATTTTATTCTATTTTCCAGTACTAGTACCATATATTTATGTTGTATAGTTGCAGGATGTGCTGCTATTTTATATCCCTTCTTTTAGAAATTGAATCAATATCTTCCATGTTAATTTTAGACTTTTTAAAACTTTTTTATTTCACAAATTATAAATATTCATTCGAAATAACTTAGATGATACACTTAATTATGAAGAAGCAACTGAGAATGTATGTGTAATTTTACTGCCCAGAGATAGATGGACAGATAAACAGATAGGTAGGCAGATAGACAGATATGCATACATACACATATATACATTTGGATTGGATTCCTTCTTGAAATTTTAAAATTGAGATATAATTCACACAACATAAAATTCACCATTTTATTTTATTTTATTTTATTTATTTTTTGGTAGAGTCAAGGTCTCACTCTGTCACCCCAGCTGGAGTGCAGTGGTGTGATCTCGGCTCCCTGCAACTTCTGCCTCCCAGGCTCAAGCGATCCTCCCACCTCAGCCTCTTGGGTAGCTGGGATCACAGATGCATGCCGCTACATCTGGCTAATAGTTTTTGTATTTTTTTGGTAAAGACGGGGTTTCACCACGTTGCCCAGGCTGGTCTCGAATTCCTGAGCTCAAGTGATCTGCCCACTTCAGCCTCTCAAAGTGCTGGGATTACAGGCATAAACCACTGTACCTGGCTGAAATTCACCATTTTGAAGTATACAATTCAGTGCCTTTTAGTATAGTCACAGTGTTATGCAATCATCACCACAATTTTAGAATACTTTCAATCACACCATAAAGAAATCCTGCAATTACTAGCAGTCACTCCTTAGTTCCCTCCTGTCCTCCCAGCCCTAGACAACCACCAATCTACTTTCTGTTTCTGTGAATTTCCTTATCCTGGACATTTTATAGAAATAGAATCATATGATATGTGATCCCTTGTGACTTGTTTTTTTCACTTAGCATAATGTTTTCAAAGTTCATCATGTTATAGCATGAATCAGTGCTTTATTCCTTTTTATGGCTGAATAATATTCCTTTATGTGGATATACCACATTTTGTTCGTCCATTCATTAGTTGATGGACATTTGGATTTTTTTGTACTTTTCGGTTATTATAAATAATGCTACTATGAACATTCATATACATGTTTTTGCAGGACCATTTTTTTCAGTTCTTATGCATTCCATACATAAGAGTGGAATTGCTGGGTCATATAAGCTGGATCATATGGTAACTACACCATTTGACATTCCCATCAGCAATGTATAAGGGTTCCAATTTCTCCACAATGGCAACAATTGCTTTGTTTCATTTTTTTTATTACAGCCATTCTGGTGAAATGTAAATCATCTAGTAAAGTAGTATTTCTTTGTAGTTTTAATTTGAACTCCCTAATGGCTAGTGATAGGGAGCATCTGTTGTTTCGTGTACTTATTGACCATTTGTATATCTTTTTTGGAGAAATGTCTCTTCAAGTCTCTCGCCCATATTTCAATTGAGTTATATGTCTTTTTTATTGTTGAGTTGTAAGAGTTCTTTATATATTCTGGATACTAGACCTTTATCAGATTTGTAAATTTTTCCCCCATTCTGTGGGTTATGTACAGGAATTACATTCCATTTTCATTATCTATCTTGATACTGTCCTTTGATGAAACAAACAAACGTTTTACTTTTGATGAAGTCCAAATTATTCATCTTTTTTGGTTGCTTTTGCTTTAAGTATTATATCTAAGAAACTGTTGCCTAATTGAAGGTCGTGAAGATTTACAATTGTTTCTTTCTAAGCGTTTTATCATTTTAGCTCATACATTTAGATCTTTGATCCATTTTGAGTTCATTTTTACGCATGGTGTGAGGTCAGAGTTCAACTTCACTCTTTTGCATGTGGATATCCAGTTGTCCCAGTACCAATTATTGAAAAGACTCTTCCTTTCCCATTGAATGGTCTTGAGATCCTTTTTGAAATCAGTTGACCACAGATATACGGATTTATTTCTGTATCCCCATTCTATTACAGTGATCTATGTATCTATACTTATGACAATACCACACTGTTGTGATCACTATAACTTTATACTAAGTTTTGAAATTGAGAAGTGCGAGTCTTCCAATGGAATATACTTTAATACTCCTTTATAACTTTTTCACTCCAAAAACGTAGAAGTAGTCACATCTACATATCAACAAATGTAATTCTATAGTATCCCACATTATGAATTTTCCATTATTTATTATTTATATTAGTTATTTGCAAAAATTACACTATATTGTTGGACACATAGGTTATTTCCAATCTTTTATTATCATAAACAATGCTTAGTGAACATTCATGGAGATAAATCTTTGCACATGCATTAAATTATTTTCTTAAAGACTATTATATTCTATTAAGTTTATTTACAGTAATTACATTCAGTTTTTTAACATTATAAATAATGGGGGAATAACGTTTTTTGTATATTTGGTTCAGGGTCTTTTGGACAATTTCCTTAGACAAATTATACAAGCTTGAGATTCCTCAATCAAAGGATATGAAGGCTTCAATGACAATTGATATATATCAATACCTATTTCAAATACATATTGCATCAATTTAATGCTGCCTCAAAACACCACACTTTTGTCAGAATTGGGTACAGTGTTTTTTTAAAAACTAGTGATTAAAAATAGTGCCTCATTTACATTTTAATTACATTTCTATGATTACTACAGATGTTTGTCTTCTCTTGGGTGCTGTAAAAGTATTTTCTTCTGAGTATATTGTTTTTTTCATGAGTTTTACCCAATTCTCTATTAAGGCCCTCAATCCAACTAATTTGTAAAGTCTCTTATTAAAGTGCACTGTTGCAAATTAAAACCACAATGAGGCCCAATGTGGTGGCTCACACCTGTAATCCCAGCACTTTGGGAGTCCAAACCTGGCGGATCACTTGAGGTCAGGAGTTCAAGACCAGCCTGGCCAGTATGGTGAAACCCCATCTCTACTAAAAATACAAAACTAGCCAGGCATGGTGGCACATGCCTGTCTCAGCTGAGGCAGGAGAATTACTTGAACCTAGGAGGCAGAGGTTGCAGTGAGCCAAAATCATGCCACTGCACTCCAGCCTGGGTGAAAAGAGCGAAACTCTGTCTCAAAAAAAAAATTTAAAAAAAGGAAAATAAATAAACTGGTATATATACCCAATAGAATACTATTCAGCCTTAAAAAAGAAAGAAGTCGGCCGGGCGTGGTGGCTCACACTTGTAATCCCAGCACTTTGGGAGGCCGAGGCGGGCGGATCACAAGGTCAGGAGATCGAGACCATCCTGGCTAACATGGTGAAACCCCGTCTCTACTAAAAATACAAAGAAAAAAATTAGCCGGGCGAGGTGGCAGGCGCCTGTAGTCCCAGCTACTCGGGAGGCTGAGGCAGGAGAATGGCGTGAACCTAGTAGGTGGAGTTTGCAGTGAGCCGAGATCACGCCACTGCACTCCAGCCTGGGTGACAAAGTGAGACTCTGTCTCAAAAAAAAAAAAAAAAGAAAAAAGAAAGAAGTCATGTCATTTGCAACATGAATGAGCCTAGAGGATGTTATACTGAGTGAAATAAAGCAAAGGCCAGGCGCGGTGGCTCATGCCTGTAATCCCAGTACTTTGGGAGGCCAAGGCAGGTGGAGCGCTTGAGCCCAGGAGTTCGAGACCAACCTGGGCAACACGGTGAACCCCATCTCGACAAAAAATACAAAAATTAGCCAGGTGTGGTGCTGGATGCCTGTAGTCCTAGCTACTCAGGAGGCTGAGGTGGGAGGATCTGTTGACCCCAGGGGGTGGAGGCCATGGTGAGCCATGTTTGTGTCACTGTACTCCAGCCTGGGTGACAGAGTGAGACCCTGTCTCAAAAAATAAATAAATACATAATGAAGTTTTAAAAAGCAAGCACAGAAAGACAAATACTGCATGATCTCACTTATATGTGGAATCTAAAAATATTGAACTCATAGTTGTAGAGAGCAGAATGGTGGTTACCCAAGGCAGGGGCGGGGGAGAGATTGGGGAGATGTTAGTCAAATAATACAAAATTTCAGATAGGAGTAAGTTCTAGAGATCTATTAAACAGCATGGTAACTACAGTTACTTTGTATTGTGTACTTGAAAATTGCTGTAAGAATAGATTTTAAACATGTTCTCATCACAATAAAATAAGTATGTGAGGTAATGAGTATGTTAATTAGCTTGATTTTGTCATTCCACAATGCGTACATATATCAAACATCATGTTGTACACCATAAATATATATAATTTTTATTTGTCCATTTAAAATTAAAATAAATTATAAAATGAAATAACTATGTCCTGTCATTCTTACTGCAAACAATTTCCTGCCCAATTTTTGCCTCATTTCTTTGTAATGTACAAGAATGGAGCAGCAGCAGTCAGGGCATCTTGCTGGGCTTAGAATGTTTATTTCTGGAAAAATGAAAGCAGGAGCTAAGCTGATTTTAGATCCTTCAAAAGTGGTCTTTTATTCTGCTTGTAGGATATTAGTCCTCTTTGTCATTTTATGTATTTATTTTAGAAAGAAGCACTCAGTGCAGAATTCAAAAGTCACCAAAGGATATCCAGCAAAAAAGACCTGTCCCCGTTCCCGTTCAGCAGCACCCATCCTGGCATCCACTGTCCGTCCATCTGTCCAACTGGCATTTTGTTGGTTTCCACTCTGTATAGAGGTAATAGGTCCTGTGGTTCAGAGAGGTTGAAAACCCACCTCTAGCACCTGACAGCCTTTCCTTGGGTCAAGCCTCAGTTTTCTCATCTGTGAAATGGGGATAGTGATTGTTACCTCGTAAATTATTGAGAAGATGTATATAAGGTACTTGGCAGAGATCCGGGTCCTGTGGTACCTCTGTGAACAAACCAGGCATGGCCTGTCATCAAGAGGTCTGCTCAAGCATCGCTTTCAGGTCTACATCTTGGTTGCCACTTCTTTTGCCCCCACTATGGATCGGGCTATTTCTCTTGCTGCTGACCTAGAATCCTCCACGTCACCTCCCGTGAGGGGCCTCCCGTGGTAGGACCAGGCCCCTCAGGCCCCTATGAGATAGAAGTCTGGAGCTTTCCACTGCCCCATACTGGCCATGAAAATTTTTTTGTTTGTTTTGTTTTTGAGACAGAGTCTCACTCTGTCGCCCAGGCTGGACTGCAGTGGCACGATCTCGGCTTACTGCAACCTCTGCCTCCCGGGTTCAAGCGATTCTCCTGCCTCAGACTCCCCAGTACCTGGGATCACAGGCATGCACCACCACACCTGGCTAATTTTTGTATTTTTGGTAGGGATGAGGTTTCACCCTGTTGGCCAGGCTTGTCTCAAACCCCCGACCTCAGGTGATCCGCCCTCCTCAGCCTCCCAAATTGCTGAGATTACAGGCGTGAGCCACCGTGCCCAGCCCTGGTCGTGAACATTTTAAACCAACTTCTCGGACTTCATATTCACCAGATTTATCTTGTCAGATGCAACAAAAACATTTATACTCTTGTCTCAACGTTATGGAGGGCAAGTGATCAGCCAGGGGGAAAATAAGATTAATAATGAACTTGTTTGCCTTATTCAGGAGCTGCTTTTGTTCTCCTTGAAGAAAAATAGTCACTGAACTCTTCTTAAAAAACTGGCTGACCTCTTCCCCACCAACTATGCGTCTCTCTGCTGAGAAGAGTGCATCTTCAGCCTGAAAATCCCTATATCAAAACACTCGTTTATTGTTTAACAAAATGTTCTCATTGCTTTCCTGAACACAGTGAGGAAACTTGAGGAAGGGGAACCTTCTGAGGCTGGAGGGGTTCTTGGAACAGGCCAAGGAAGGGATGCTGGTGCATCTGACTGAGGGGCAGTCTGGAGGCCAGTCTCTCCCTCTATTCCTGACTTCAGTTTCTTCTGCCACCGGGGAGCTACCACGTATGAGATGACAAAGCTGTCCCCAAACTTCCCAGCCTCAGGAAGAGGCTGAGGGCTTTCCCCACCCCAACCCCAAGCCTGTTCCACCCACATGCTCAGTGGCTGAAGCGCAGGCAGCCCGGCCCAGGAGGGGACCGCCTTCAACCTCTGCAGGCACAGGAGAGTTGAACTTTCTCCAGGTCAGAGTAACTAGACCAGTGGGATCTTGGGGAACAGTTATGACAAGAACTGGAGGCTTAGTGGAAACCCAGCTGTAAAGCCCATCACCCTGTGCATACCGCCAGGACATCGCCAGAGTGGCTTCCTGGGCCTGAGGTTTTTCTCTGGGACTGGCTGTGAGGGTGCTTCCTAGAAGGGAAGCTTCTTCATCTTCACAGCCTGGCCTGTGACCCGTGACTCTGGCCGGTAAGCAGGGAGTCCCCGGTGCAGCAGCACGAGGCACCCACCGGCGACCTGGTTGTTCTGTCCAAAAGATGGCTTGTGAGCACGTGCGTGTTAGCTCTAATTCATGCATGGGAATTTTAACAATGCACTGGTATTATTTTATTTAATTTTATTTATTTTTTTGAGACAGAGTCTCGCTCTGTCACCCAGGCTGAAGTACAGTGGTGCAATTTCAGCTCCCAGGTTCAAGAGATTCTCAACCTCCACCTCCCAGGTTCAATAGATTCTACTGCCTCAGCCTCTCCAGTAGCTGGGATTACAGGCGCACACCACCATGCCTGACTAATTTTGCTTTTTGTATTTTTAGTAGAGACGGAGTTTCGCCATGTTGCCCAGACTGGTCTCGAACTCCTGAGCTCAGGCAATCTGCCTGCCTCAGCCTCCCAAAGTGCTAGGATCACAGGTGTGAGCCTCTGCGCCCAGCCCTCCCTGGTGTTATTTTAAATCTAGTCATCTGGCCCACTTCACTGAGAACTGTATTAACTTGGCCTTTGTCAGAAACTCCTATTTCTTTCACCTTATCTCTTCCTTTACCAGCAACACATCCTAAATTAGTATTATAATACTTTTTCAATCTAAGAGGATAAATATGTCTTAAGACTTTAAAAAACCTTCTTGGTTATTTGCATGTATTTATTATTCCTGAGAAAATTTAGAATCAGGTTTTCAGCATTCACAAAGCCATTGAGATTTTTGTCTGGAATCATGTTAAATTTATGCAGTACTTTGGGGAGAATTACTTCTTGATAATAGTACATCTTCCCATGCAGGCACATGCTCCAGTTCTCTACTTAGTTAATGTTCTTTTTTGTCCCTTTGGTGTTTCATTTCTGATATTACTATTGGTAATGGAATTTTTGAGATGTATTTGCTAATGGGTAATTGTTGTCAGGCAGGAAACGTTTTTATTTTTATTTAAAATTAAAAATAGACTGGGTGCGGTGGCTCACGCCTGTAATCCCAGTACTTTGGAAGGCTGAGGGGGGTGGATGACTTGAGGTCAGGAGTTAGAGACCAGCTTGGTCAACGTGGTGAAACCCCCTCTCTACTAAAACTACAAAAATTAGCCGAGTGTGGTGGTGTGCACCTGTAATCCTAGCTACTCCGGAGGCTGAGACAGGAGAATCACTTGAACCTGGGAGGCAGAGATTGCAGTGAGCCAAGATTGCGTCACTGCACTCCAGCCTGGGCGACAGAGCGAGACTCTGTCTCAATAAATAAATAAATAAGTGTTTTTTAAATAGATCCACTTGTATATGTTCTGTAAAAGACTATTTCATTAAACCCAATTATAAGAACTGGAAAATGGGAAACCATATCACCATTATTAATTAGTCAATGATTTGACTGTCTATCAAAAAAAAAAAAAAAAAAAAGCCCCCCAACAGGCCAGGCATAGTGGCTCACGCCTGTAATCCCAGCACTTTGGGAGGCTGAGGCAGGCAGATTAGTTGAGGTCAGGAGTTCAAGACCAGCCTGGCCAACATAGTGAAACCCCATCTCTACTAAAAATACAAAACTTAGCTGGGCGTGGTGGCTGGAACCTGTAATCCCAGCACTTTGGGAGGCTGAGGCAGGCAGATTACTTGAGGTCAGGAGTTCAAGACCAGCCTGGCCAACATAGTGAAACCCCATCTCTACTAAAAATACAAAACTTAGCTGGGCGTGGTGGCTGACACCTGTAATCCCAGCTACTTGGGAGGCTGAGGCAGGAGAATTGCTTGAACCCAGGAGGTGGAGATCGTACCACTGCACTCCAGCCTGGGTGACAGAGCGAGAGTCTGTCTCAACAGAAAAAAAAAAAAAAAAAGAGACAGACTACTTAATTAACGATATTTTGCAAACCATTTTGTTTAAACATAACCTGATATTGCTAAAGGGTAATGGTTAGACAAACCTGGGGATAAGATGGTGGAATGCAGATTTCCCTTCTATTTTATGGTGAAGACAATGTTCTAGAATTGTTGATAAAATGGTAGTACGACTCCAGGGTGAGCCCTTGGATTTCTGATGCACAGGTGCGCCTGCTTCCCACCATCTTTAGGTGGATCCTTCTCCTTCCCCACGTGTTCCTCGCCCCCTCCCCCAAACACACAGCTCTGTGTTCACCCATGGCAAAGCCATTCTGGCTACAAACCACCCTTGGGGTAAAACCAGTAAGATGACTGTTTTGAGGAGACTGAGATGGACAAGCTACATTTAACTTGTTAGGAAGTGTTTGCCTACCAAGATTTCTCAAAACTCTTTCTAGATTCACCTCAAGGGAAATATTTTCTCCTCTCACCTCTTACCAACAGCTGGTCAGTAAATTGAACACACTTTGCTCCGAATACGAGATCTGCCCGTGAAAAGCTATTAGGCAGCCCAGGTGAGCAGGTGAGAAACTCTGATCAGAGACTAAAGAGCACATGAAACAATTCGGAAACTGTCTGGCTCTTGCTCTAAACTCATTACTGCTTTCTCCGTCCTGGGAGAAAACCTCATTTAGGCCCCTGGGTATCCATAGTGTGAATTTCAGCAGTTTTCGGTGATCTTTGGAGGCTTGCATGTCACATCTTTATGTAAGGGTTTGGTAGGCCAGGTGGTTTCAATAAGCACAGCAGACACATTTGGTACACCTTTGTTAACCTCCCCAATGTATACGACACAGATATTTTATTGAGTACGAAGTCTAGAACTGGACTTCCCAGGTTTGAATTCTGGTTCTGCCATTCCTAGCTATGTGACTTTGGGCAAGTTATTCAACTTCAGTGTGCCTCAGTTTCCCCATCTATAAAATGGGAATGAAAATAGCCATTAGGATTAAATAAGTTAATAGCTAGTGGCTAAGCAAGCATTTAGAATGGCACCCAGTATACAGTAAGCACTCTATGGGTTTTTTTTTTTTTGACATCTGGTTTGATAAATTGTTCCTTCCGATTTCCCCCTACACTTTATTCTTCACTGGTAATGGAAGGAACAATTTATCAAATTTAATCATAAATATATATTCAAGAAAATAAAAACATAGGCAGGTTTTTTATTACATAGCTCATGCCTGTAATCCCAGCACTTTGAGAGGCCAAGGCAGGTGGATCACTGAGGTCAGGAGTTCAAGGCCAGCCTGGCCAACATGGCAAAACCCCGTCTCTACTAAAAATACAAAAAGAATTACCCAGGTGTCGTGGCACACACCTGTAATCCCAGCTACTTGGGAGGCTGAGGCACAAGAATTGCTTGAACCCAGGAAGCAGAGGTTGCAGTGAGCTGAAATCATACCACTGCACTCCAGCCTGGCGACAGAGTGATATGTCTCAAAAAATAATAAAATAAAATAAAAATGTATATCCACCCATACAAAAACGTGTACATACCTGCTCATAGCAGCATTATTCATAACAGCCAAAAAGGAGAAACAACCCAAATGTCCATCAACTAATGAAAAGATAAACAAAATGTGGTGTTATTCATGCAGTGGAATATTATTTGGCCATAAAAGGAAACAAATTACTGATACATGCTGCAACATGGATAAATCTTGAAAACATTGTGCTAACTGAAAGAAGCCAGACACATAAGGCCACACCTACTGTATGATTCCATTGATATAAAAGGCCCAGAAAAGGCAAATCTATTGACACAGAAAGTAGATTGGTGTTACCAAGGCCTGGCGGGTGGGGATTGGAGATTGATGGTTAAGGGGTACAGGGTTCCTTTTCAGGGTGATGAAAATGTTCTAAAATTGATTGTGGTGATGGTAGCCCAACTCTGTGGCTAAACACCATTGACTTCTGCATTTTAAGTGGGTGAATCGCGTAGTATGTGAATTACACCTCAAAAAGCCATTACAAAATAAATTTATTTTGTTTCAAAACAGGTGAAAGGTGTGTGTGTGTATTTAAGTTCATTTATTTTAACCCTCAATCCATTGTATTTACTGATCCTTACAAAATCATGACACTAAAGTTTATTTTCACGCTGACCTTTAATACGGGATCTGAAACAAAATATTGAACTAGATTCAACAAATGTGGAAGAGTTGGCTCTTTGTTGAATAAATATTTCCACCTTTCAAGTGACTTCATCTTTTCTAGAGATAGAAACTTATCCAAGGCGTTGACTTATAATAAAAATCTTGAGGGAAACTCGAATTTTCTCATGAAGAAAGTTTCTTGTGAAACTCAAAGCACACAACCAGATAAAGTGAGTTTTCACTGTGAGCCTCCATGCACTCATGGCTGGCTTTCATACCTCCAGCCTTGCGGCCCTAATGTCCAAGGTGGCCCCAGCCCTAGCTCTGCTGGCCGCAGAGCCGCTGCTGGTCCAACCACAGTGAAATCTCCCCGGGAGCCTCAGAAACAGTCCCTACGGCTCTGGTGCTGCTCACTGCTGCCTCTGCTACCACCCCGGAGACCAGCCCCTCCCTCGGTGGTCCCTTAGGTGAGAGGGCAAGAGAGGCAGCCTCCCGCCATTTCCAGGGCATCCTGGGAAAGCATCAGGACCTCAGGGCCGCACAGCCTTCCTCATTCACACTTGGCCCAGCACCCAGGGCTTGCCCATGGAGCTACGATCACAAGATGGGAGTAGGCTCCTCCCCATGAGAAGTGGATTCCCTAGACCGCGGTAAAGAGAAACACCAGTGCTGGTTGTTATCCCCCTCTCTCTTCACCCCCCACATTTGCTCTCTTTATTCTCTGCCCTGCATGGCCGTGGTTCCATCAGGGGTTGCTCTCAGTGGTTAAAGGTCCTGTCGGGAGGCTCCACTATCATGCTCTCAGCTCTCTGTCACAATCCCCTGTTAGTTCCCATATCATGTGAATAGTCCTGTCAAGAAACTCTCCCAGTAAAACCCTCTGAGTTGCCACAATGCTGACTCCAATGTCTCTCTCCACCAAGACTCGGGGAATCCTAGGATAGAGAAGTAGCTCCCCAAAATGATGAAATTGACTATTCTGTCATTAGGACAGCTGAAGCCTGAGCCATATTTAATCTGATTTGGAAAAATTTTTTAAGGTGACATTTCTTTTGCCTTAGTGTTGCTGAGCAAACCCATACCATGATGCAAATGTGGATCTCTGTGTGCGAATAGGGCTCCCTATCACCTGTCCACTGGAAGTCCTTGTGTATTCGCCATCATTTTGTGAAGAGAGTTTAGATGCGTATGACCATTTATCACCTTGATTAAAGCTCCCTTGGCTACTCCATCCAGAGCATGGCACTGGCCCCTCCTCTCAATCTGCCAGCAGAGCAAAGGCCAGGCTCTCACGGGTGCCTGAGACCACAGGGAAGCACAGCACAGGCAGCAACATCACTGCACATGCCCAGACCCAGCTCAGCCTGCTCACAGGGAAGCACCTGCTTCCTGGTGGCCAGGGACAGCACACTGCTCCCTCTGGAACTGCCCCAGTGCCCCGCTTATGGCAAAGCCAGGCCCAACTGATCCAACCCTCAGCTCCAGAGAGAGGATCTTTTTCTGCCATCCTCATCAAAGGCCCCACCCACTCTATTCTTCCTGCCCCAGGACATTATCTGACAGTGGAAAAACCGGGTCATGCAGGACCAGGATGGGGTTGGCTTGTCTGATCCCATTAAAGTAATCACAGTATATCACAAGATCTAAGCTATTCACATCCATCTGCGGTCAGTTTGTTACATTTTAGTAAAAATGTGGAAACAACCTACAAGTTCATCAATAGGGAAGTGACTATTTAAATAAATTATGAGACCTCCATTCAACAGAATGCCATGGAAAATGATGACAGAAACCTAGATATAGTTATGTGGCATGCAGCGGATAGGAAGATTCCATTAATAATTTAGGTAAAATGCTTAGAATTGTATGGGCCACATAGAAATGCTCCAGAGGTGAGAGTAAGTAGAAAAAGAGGCTACAAAACCATGTTAGAATGCAATTGAATTGTATTATTAAAATAAATGCATCTTTATATATTTATATACATAGAAAAATTTCTGGAAGGATATTGACCAAAATATGAACAGTGACTATTTCATGGTGAGGGGCCTGGAGGTATTCTCCTTCACATTCAGTTATATCATGTATATTATCCATATTTTTTTTATTTTGAGACAGGGTCTCACTGTTGCCCAGGCTGGAGTGCAGTAGCACAGTCTCAACTCATCACAACCTCTGCCTCCCAATCTCAAGCCAGCCTCCCACCTCAGCCTGCTGAGTAGCTGCGACTACAATTTCGCACCACCATGCCCAGCTAATTTTTGTAATTTTTTTTTTTTTTTTTTTTTTTGGTAGAGACAGGGTTTCACCATGTTGGCCAGCCTGGTCTCAAACTCCTGCTCACCTTGGCCTCCCAAAGTGCTCAGATTACAAGTGGGAGCCACCATGCCCAGCCCTGTATTATCTGTATTCTAATGACTATGTGACACCTTTTTTTAAATAATTCAGGAAATGGTCAAGAAAACAGGTTTTTAAGAATGTTCTGCTCAACCTTAACATGAGAAATCGTCACATGAACTTGGTAATGCAGCCCGAGTTACATAATAGTCAGAAAAAAAGCTATTTTTATTTTTTTAATTAGAATAAAATAAAGTAAAACCTTTCATATTTTAAAAAATCTAGTTACAATGCTTGAGGCCTGCATGGTGGACTGGAACCTGAGAAGTCATCCCCCACCATCCCCTGGTGAGGAGACCAAATGGCTTTCTGTGGAATGATCAGGTATCCCAAGGTGCTGCCCTCGGTTCTGGAGCCAGCCCACCTGGGTTTAATCTGACTCAGCCCCTTAATAAATTGTGATCTAGGGCAAGTTACACAGGACACAGAAGGTCACTTTATATTATTAAATATAAAATGTGGAAGGAAGACATAACAGTACTGCATTGGGCAGGTCTCTGGTTGCAAGCAACAGTACCCCGATCCCAATCTGCTTAAGCACAAAGGGGGCAGAGTGGTCCTTGGCTCAAAAAATTGACGCAACAGGAGTATGACTGAACTCAGAGACTGAATATGCCCATAGACAGCTCCAGGCCAACCACCTAGCATTACAGGAAAGAGATTTCATCCTTGCCAGCTCCACAGAGAGAAAACAAATCCCTGGAAGTTCTTTAATTGGCTGGCTTGGGTCACATGCCCATTCCCGAACCAATCGTATAGCCAGGGGGTGCAGCCCATTGCAGACATCTGTTCTTCCCTTCCCAACACCCTTTTCCCTCATCCTTTTGTTACCAGTTATCAATTTTCCTTTAGAGACTCATCCCTTCCTCATTCTCCAGGGTTCTGCTGGGGCAAGCAATCTTCATATTTCGCCTCTGGGGCCCCAGAGATGGGTGCTTGAGCTAAGTCTGGCCAATCTATGAAAAACCATCTCCTTGGCCACAGTGACTGGCCAAGTCTAACAAGTCAAACAAGGCCAACAAGGCCAGCTGGTCCTTCCATAAGATTCTGTCTAGACCTAAGAGGAGACATCTGAGGGCATCACTCTCCCTGCCTGCATCCCCTACCACACAGAGGAAGACGCTCTGTAGTAGGAAAGAATAAGGCCATCACATGGAGGCAGAGAAGTTACCGGGAGAAAGAGAGAGGCTCAACATCACTTAAATCACTGAATCTGTTGGCCTCTGAGCCAGCGAATAAATAGGCTCTCGCCCTGGACTTCCTGGTTATGCAACCAATAAAGTTTCTTAGAGCTGGAGTTACGTTTCTGTCATTGACCAACTGGGGGCTTGGGTCCGGCCGGATCTGGGTCATGTGCTTGTGTCTATAATAAAAGAGATGGGTTATTGAGATTGGTAGGCCACAATAAAACAGGGTTAGAGTGGAGGGAGAGTTTCCGAAAGAAGTTAGTGCTGCACAGAAGAAAGCAATAATAACGTCCAGACAAGTATTGAAATAGTCAGTTACCAAATAAATGGGGGTTTTATCCAGTTCTATTAGCCTTTACAAATCAATTGCCAAAAATTAAGTATACAGAAAATAATTAAGAAAGTTGTATATATTAAATTTTGTCCCCTACAAATAATAGTCATATTTTTAATGCACGTGAGATATTTATAAAAACAACAAATATTCAGGCACAAAAGAAAATCTGGCCAGGCATGGTGGCTCACGGTTAGCCTGTAATCCTAACACTTCAGGAGGCCGAGACAGAAGGATTGCTTGAGCCCAGAAGTTCAAAACCAGCTTGGGCAACAGAGTGAGATCCTCGTCTCTACAAAAAAAGTAAATTAAGGCCAGGCATGGTGGCTCACGCCTGTAATTCCAGCACTTTGGGAGGCCAAGTCAGGCAGATCACGAGGTCAGGAGATTAAGACCATCCTGGCTAACATGGCAAAACCCTGTCTCTACTAAAAATACAAAAAGTTAGCCAGGTGTGGTGGCAAGTGCCTGTAGTCCCAGCTACTCAGGAGGCTGAGGCAGGAGAATCGCTTGAACTCGGGCGGCAGAGGTTGTAATGAGCCAAGGTCACGCCACTGCACTCCAGCCTGTGCTACAAAGCAAGACTCCATCTCAAAAAAAAAGAAAAAGAAAAACACAGTAAATTAAAAAAAAATTAGCTGGGTGTAATGGTGCGCACGTATAGTCCCAACTACTTGGGAGGCTGAGCTGGGAGGACTTGAGCCCAGGAGGTCGAGGCTATGGTGAGCCGTGATCATACCACTGCATTTCAGCCTGGGTGACAGAGCAAGACCCTGTCTTAAAAAAAAGAAAAAGAAAATCTCAAGAAAGTTCAAATCTCATAAATATTACAGTTTCAATATCCCTAATCCAAAACTTGGAAATCCAAAATGCGTAAAATCCAGAACTTTTTGAGGACCAACATGATGCTCGAAGGCAACGCTTATTGGAGCATGTTGAATTTCAGATTTTTGGATTAGGGATGCTCAGCTAGTAAGTGTATAATGCAAATATTCCAAAATCCAAAAAAATCCAAAATTAAAACATTTCTGGTCCAAAACATTTGGGATAAGGGATATTCAACCTGTATAAGTTATATTATCTGATTACAATACAATAAAGTTAAAAACCCATAATAAGAGTTTAATGAGGCCGGGCGCGTTGGCTCATGCCTGTAATCCCAGCATTTTGGGAGGCCGAGGTGGGCTGATCATTGGGAGATGGAGGTTGCAGTGAGCCGAGGTCGAGACACTGCACCCCAGCAAGGGCAACAGAACGAGACTCCATCTCAAAAAAAAAAAAAAAAAAAGAGAGAGAGAGAGTTTAATGAAAATGAAATGCAACTATTTTAATTAAAATTACTTTTATAAAAGTTTATAAAGTAAAAATAACATTTATATAAGAAAGCAACTGCTTGGGAAATCTTTTTTATTTTAAGGCAAAACCAGGGAAAATGCCTACTAGTCTATAGAACACATGCAGCAGCTCTGAAAACTTTACGGAAGAGCAGAACATATTTATCTGAGTTGAATATTTATCATGAATCAAGTGAAGAGAAAATGATGAAAGAAACAATTATCACTACATCATATGGGAAATGGATAATAGTGACATGCGAGTAACAGGTCTTTACTCACCATTTACCACAGAACATTCCAGACAGGTTAAAGTTAAATACACGCATGCATACACACTCACACAACCATTCTTTAAAACCACAACAGAAGAATATAAAAGTGTATGCTCCCCCTATCTACGGAGACATTGGTGTCAGGACCAAGTGTGGGTTTCAGGGCAGACAGACCTCTGAGTTTCAGTCCCAGCCATGGTGCTTACTCCAGTACTTAACATTTCTGAGCTTAGTCTCCTGTCTATGTAATGTAGGTGAAAATACCCAGTTCGCAAGAATCAAAGCCACTATGTGGTCCACACTTTCAGCCTCTATAGTGGACTTACCCAGGCTGGGTGCTGGGGTAGCAAGAGCAAAACAAACAAGATCCCTGCTCTCCAGGAACAAATGGCCCCTGGGAGAAATGGCCTGAGCCAGGCGACCACACAAGCATGTAGTCAAAGAAAAGTGCAGGAGGCTACGAGAACTCAAAACATCTTGAAAATGTGTAAACATCTGTATATGAGCATAGAAAAGCCATACAGTGAAAGGCCATTTCATAGTAAACATGAAAATAATAATATCAATATATCTAACACTCTGATAAAAATACTTAAGAAAGCCCATATACCAGGTCATGTCCATTGGCACAGGGCTGACAAAATTCAACCAAACCACAAAGAGTGCTTATGCTATCAAACCCTTTCAACCAGCAATTAGAAAGAAAGAAACAAAAGAAGGAAGGAAGGAGGGAAGGAAAAGGGAAAGGGAAAGGGAAGGGAAGGAGGAAAAAGAGAAGGAAGGAAGGGAGGGAGGGAGGGAAGGAGGGAGGAGGAGAGATGAAAGAAAGAAAGGAAAAGAGGAGAGAAGGAAAGAGAGAGGAAGGGAGAAAGAAAGAAAAGAGAAAAACTCTGTTTATATAGGCATGTTTTTACCTGCGATATTTGTAAGCACATGACACTAAAAACAGCCCAAATCCTGACTGTGAACCATTACATTGCAGACTATGAAGGTTCATGGAAAAGGTTTTATCAAATCATATTACATGAGAAAGTTGATCACAAGATATTATGTGCACTTCAAATCCAACTAGACACAAAAGTTGCCGGAGGATCTGAAAACCAGGGAAGTAGTAGACAGGCCATGTTATATCAGTGGAGCTGTGCATATTTGCTATTAGTCTGACTTTTCTGTTTACCTCGCACTGTAACATTGGATAAATATTCTATACCAAATTTCTAAGGAGGATTGATTTTTAAGGGGCCATTCATCATTCCACCCAAATAAGCTCAGCATCGCCAGGTCATCTTCCTTGGGCTCAGCCTGCAGTTTCTAAGGAAGCAAGAGAAGGTGTGTGCAGGGCAGAGGCCAGCAGGGCCGGCAGACAGTGTTCCTCCTACAGAAGCAGCTGCCCATGGGCCCCTGGCTTGGCGAGGCCTGGGAGCATCTTATCACATGAGCTCATGTGAAAGGCCCACGCCTCCAGATCTCCAGCAAACATATGCAGTTCCTTTCCCATCACTGCCCAGCTCTGCTCCAGGGTCCATGAGCTCATTGCTGCTGGGCAAGTCCTCCTGGGGTCAGATAACCGCCAGGGGCAGCTCCTTTCCCAGCCTCCAGCCCTTGCCTTGTGCCCCCAGGAGACACAGGGCTGCCCTGATTTCCACTGTGTGATTGCAGGCAGAACACAGAGCTTTGTGTGAGCTTAGCCTCCGTCCTGGGGGGCTGAGCTGGTTCTCTCACTCCAGCCCTGACCCCTAGTGATGGCCTGGCCTCAGTCTGTGACCAGGTGGACCCCGCCTGGCCTCCAGGCCCTGCCCAGGCTGAACTGCTGTCTTGTTTCTGTCTCAGTCCCAGAATCTGCAGCAACCCTGAAACCAGAGGCCATCTCCCAGGTGGGTGTCAACCAGAAGAGTCATTGAGCATGGGAGAGGGGGCAGAAATGGAGGCCCTGCCCTCAGGGACCCCGGGTGGCTGGTATGAGGGGAGGTTTCTCCCAGAAGGTCAGAGCTGGTTCATTCATTCAGTCTCACACAAGAGGGCGTCCATTGTGTGCCAGGTCCAGCAGCAATGGAGTCCCAGGTGAGTCCCAGCAGTCCTGATGTCACAGACAACTGGAGAGAGAATGTCCCCTGGCCCTGCTCTGTTCCTGTGGGCAGCGGTCCTCGTCTAGGCCTCAGAACCCTACCCCACCCACCTCCTGTGCTCTGGCCTCAGACCACTACACACTGGCCACCGAGAGAGCTGGTGTTCTGAAACTAGAGCTCTTGCCTTCCCAAAACTTCCAGCCACAACATTCCCAATCAGTCTGGCCTCGTCCTTTCCAGACTTCCCAGAACTTAAAGGGAAAGAATGGGAAAAAGGGACAATGAGGTCCCAGAGAAATGGCCACTGACAGATATGGCAGAGGCCCCAGGGCTCTGAACCGCCCCCCAACCCCGAAAACGGCCACAGGTGGTGGAGGAGCTGTGTCTGTTTGTCTGCCAAGCCACACACCACATTCCCATGGGAGCCCACTGCGCGCGGGGTGGAGACAGCTGTTCCTCTCGGCACATGTGCTCTCGGGGAAGCAGGGTTGCTCGCTCCCCAGCCCGGTCCCTGTGGCTCGCTGGACTTCAATCCACTCACTCATGTGGCTGCAGCAGCCTGCTGAGCCCATGTGGCTGAGGGCAGACCATGTAGCCAGCGGGGGCCTCCACAGCCCCATCTGCAAAATGGGGCAGCTGGTCACTTTGCCAGCACCTTCTGTCTGAGGGCAGAGGAGGCCTGTCCCTGCTGTGCCCTGAGGCCCGGTGCAGTGCTGGGAGTCAGTCGCTGTGCATTTACTGGTCACCTACCAATTTAGCAGGCAGTGGGCTGGGAGGTGGGGCTACTGAGGCGGACACAGGGGTTCCCTGGAGAAGCTGGTGGCGGGAAAGAAGGAAGGTTTGTTGCCACCAGGGCTGTGACAACAACATGCTCGGGAGCTGAGGGACTCCACAGCTGGATCCTGGCTGCCTGTGCTGAGCCAGGGGAGCAGCCTGTGGGAGCAATGGGCACAGTCCCATGGAGGGCAAGCCTCAGGGCTCAGCAGAGGGGGCACACCCTGGAAAAGATTCCCGGGCCCTCTCACTTCCCTTCAGGTCCTGGCCAGGCCCTTCTGCCAGAAGCACTCCTGAGGGTCACACGCTCCTCTCCAGCAACCTCACCTCCCGGGAGGTTCTCAGGGAGCAACCCAGGCACACCACCCGTCTGCCCACTGCTCTGCTGCCCATGGAACTCAAGGGGACAGACAGAAAGTGGCATGCCTGGGATCCAGGCAGGGTCTAGCATCTGGAGGTCTGGGGACAGGCTGCCCAGAGTCTGACACGACTTCTCTGACCCTGCAAAGTTTCCTCCGGTCACAGGAAGGAGCAGGGCTCCAATGTCTGGGCTCCGTCCTCTGAAGCCAGATGCCCTGTCTCCCACCCTGCAGACTCCAGGCCTTCCCCCGCCCTCCCCGGCTCAGCCACCACCCAGCTTTCTGGATTTTCTTGTAACACCTCACTCGCCACCCTGTGTCTGCAAGCTCAGTGAGGCCTGTTCTGCTTGAGGAACACATTTGCATCTAATGGGGTAAGAAGGTGCTGAAGTTAGAAATATTTGCTTGATTTAGTAATGCATGTGAGCATATGTCTCATTCATTTTACCTACGTGAACGCTCCCCCTTCAGGCTGCAAGCTACGGTCAGCAACTAATTCTTTAGAGGCAGTGTGATCATTAGAATCATCTCCATCAAATGATTTTGAGTGTGATTTTTAAAGACAGCAGTGCTAGCAGTCGGCCTGGGCCCAGTCCTTGAACACTGCCCTGAGGATTTGCTTTGCTATTTCCATAGAGGAACCATTGGGGACCCCTAATTTTGCCTCTCCACATGTTATCCCCTTTGCCTTTCTATCCATCCCTGAGGGAAGAAGGCAAGGACACCCCCAGATGTCCTCACTGTCACATCAGGGGCTGTCTGCGAGGGCAGTAGGGCTCTGGCAGAATGGTTATTCCAAGAATGGAGTGTGGGGGAGGTCAAGCAGTGGGCACCGAGGGCATGGAGATGCCTGTGGCTGATGTGTAAGCAACAGAAGCCGGCTCTGGCTGAGGGAAGTGGAAAGGAATGCATTAAAAGGGCATTGGAGGCCGAGCGTGGTGGCGCACGCCTGTAATCCCAGCACTTTGGGAGCCCGAGGTGGGTGGATCACCTGAGGTCAGGAGTTCGAGACCAGCCCGGCCAACATGGCAAAACCCCATCTCTACTCAAAATACAAAAATTAGCCATGCGTGGTGGTGCAAGCCTGTAATCCCAGCTACTCGGGAGGCTGAGGCAGGAGAATCGCTTGAAGCTGGGAGGTTGCAGTGAGCCAAGATTGCACCATTACATTGAGCAGTCAGGAAGGCTCGGGAATAACTCACCCAGGGTCAGTTGCCAACATCAAGTGTGGATCAGGTGGAGGGAGGACCTCAGTGCAAGCCATTGGGGCCAGCCTTTATGTGCCAGCCTTTATCAATGACAACTCTGTCACAGAACAGTGGGTCCTACTGCCACCACCACCCTGCCCAGGAACTCCTCTTGTAGTATGATTCAGAGCATTCCCTGAAGACCCGGCTTCTCTGAGACGATGGCACCCAATTTGAAACTCAGGGCTGGTGCAACGGAATTGGGGCAGTCCAGGTCACATACCCAGGCACAGGTTGCAAGGGTGCCCGAGAAAGCAAGCACATGATGATTCGACTTCTCCAGTGGGCTGTGATGCCGGGCAGCAGCAACCATGGATGGACACGTGCTCACGTCACATGGACACTCGCCTCTACTCCTTACCACCTCTGTGGACATCGACATCCTTAATCAGCTGCTTCCTGGGAAGTTCTGAACCCTACACGACTCTAAGCTGGGATTTTATTTCATAAATTATTTCCCCCACAAGACAAAACAGGTCATCATTTCAGGAGAACGACCTTTCTTCTCCTTGCCAAGTGTACACTGGACATCAGGGACCACCTTGGGCAATCCTCGGGAAACATTTGTTGTGTAAGGTTACACACTGGGCCCAGAGACAATTCACACAGGCATAATGGTGGTTTTTTGAACAATTTATGGGCTTTGGGCTTAAAAGTGTTTTCTAATCCCTGTGGAGCCCAGATTGCAAAAAGTTTGTTCCCTCCAGCCCTCATCAGCATCTGGCTTGGTCATGTCCGCTTCTTACAAGTGTTTTCTGGTCATTCTCATCTTAGAAATTGACCGCTCACCAGGAGGCAGCGGGTGATGACACACTCACGGGGCAGAAGTCTGCAGAGAAGTCTCTGGCTTGGAAAATCCAGAGACACGGCTCCCTTGAGGTGACTGGTGGTCCTGGATCCTAGCAAGTCCATTCCATGATCCCTTCTGGGAAGGTGCCAAGTTAGGGGGCTTCTGTAAGATACTTGGTGGTCCCTTCTATCCATAGGGAGAAGCCCCCTCCTCCTTGAAGACTGTGGCCCCTATCAAATCTGAAAAAAGGTCTCCAAGACCAGACAATAGACATTCTCCTCCAGGTACAAACCAAGAAGGTGGGCTCACTGCAGGGACCCCCCAGAGCAGGAAAAGAGCGGCTCACTGCTTGGAAAAGCTCCATATGACCAACATTTTACCAGAGTCTAGCCAAGGCAAGCTTTTGTCCCTAGGGCAAGAATTTGGCAGCAGATCCATTTGCTCTGCAAACATCTGGTGCAGGCTCTGAGCTGAGGTTGGGGTGCTGAGCTCTTTTCTGCTGGGGAGGCCCTCTTGCTCACTATCCTGCTCACTTTCTCAGGGCTGAAGCCTCTCACTGCCCCACTCACCTGCCCTTTGACAGCCAGATGGAGAGCTGTTGATTCCCCCAGGGAAGTGAGCCTATTTGTGGAGGACCTGTCTTTTCTTTTTGGCAAGCAGGGGAAAGGAGGAATGAACTCTGACGTCATGGACTGCGTAGGACAGTGGGGTTGGAGGCCATCTGGAGCAGGTGCTGGCAGGACCCCTGGGAAAGGGAAGGAGGGCAGCTGGCTCATCAGATGGGGGTGTCCTGGGGTCAAAGACTCATGGTACAACGAGGTTAAGCTTTCCTGGAATCTCTGGCCCGTGAAGGATGAATGACGCTTCCTTGGCCTCCATCTCCTCCAGTACTCCAGTCCAGCGCCATGGGTGCAGGACTCCTGGAGGAAGGTACCAAGCTCAAGGAGACCTGGCCATGCCCCGGCCTCTGTGTGCTCTGAGGGGCTGCACCACTAAACAGTCCTGGGGAGTTTCGGGGGCTGTGGGGGTCCTCTCACCCAAAAGTATGTGTGGACATGCAGTGACATTCAGATCTCTCTTCTGCCTCAGCTGTCTCCTGCTGTGTTTGGCCAGGGAGAGGTTGGAAGCCTCTTATCAGGCCCCAGATTCACTCTGCCCTGTCTAGAAGACAAGGACAGTGTTTTTCTAATTACAGGTGGTGAAACTGAGGGCCCAAAGCAGTGACGGGACTTGGCCAGTGTCCCGCAGCAATTTCCCTGCCTGACCTCAAGACTCGCTCACTGCCTGTTTAGTGTCTTCTCTGAGAAATTATGCAGCTGGAAGGGGGCCCCGGGATAAACAATTGCAGAGAAACAGATGGGCGGCTCTGCAATCCTCCCCTCCAGTGTGCCTGAGAGCCCTCCCCTGCAGCCCTGGGGCCAGGAGGGGGCGCTGCTTCGCGGGGCTCCTGTTCCTCCCTCCTGGGGACCTAGGCTGGACAGTCCTGTCTTAGCTGCTCCTTCCCCAGCCTCCCAGCAGCCCTTCCACACGCCTTTCTCCCACCAGGCATCCTGACCAGGGCCCACTCTCATTTTCTATCACATCCTGATTCCTGGCCAGACATCGCCTGTCCCAAGGAAGGGCCCCTCTCCAGTAGGTGTCAGAGTCGCACCTTGCCCTTCTGGGAGGAGGGAAAGAGTGAAAAGGGGCCCACAAAACGGGGTCCCGCCCTTCAGAGGGCCAGAAGGGAGAAAATGGTCCCACCCATGCAACTCTCCGACGCTGAAGGCCCTGCATACCCCCAGCCTACTGTGGCAGAGCTGATACCCTGGACTCGCCCATGCAACTCTCTGACACTGAAGGCTCTGCATGCTTCAGGCTGGCTCTGCCTCCCACTTCCTGCTCCCTCCCACTTCCCCCACACCTAGCTGACCCCCTTCCCCTTGCCTCATCTTCAGGCACCCCCAATAAGCTCACTTGCCCTTCCCACCCCCAAGAGCTCAGCAGGCTCCTCTCTCTCCATCACACCCCCCACCTCCAGAACACCATCGACCTTAGAATTGCCTCTCCCTAGTCTGCCTCCTCTGGGCACCCCTGCCTGAAGCACTCCACCCTCCCGAGGTCTGGGCACATGGGGTTCTGCAGTCTCATCGGCCTCCCCTGCCCTCTGTGTTGCCCTTTGGTGAGGCCTCTCATTTGGTTTTTCTCAAACAGCACCCCTCTAGGCCTGACTCTAGTACATTCCACTGTTAGCCTGGTTTTCTGTCGAGGTTTTCCTCTTCTCTTCCCTTCTCTTCCTGTGTTTCCAGGCTCAGCACAGACTTTTCCTTCTCCAGGAAGCCCACCCTGCTAGTCCAGGCTGGAGGAGGAGCCCTCCTTGGGTGGCCTCAGCCTGACCTGTCCCCTTCCCTGTCATTGTCCTTTTCAGCCTACAAAGCTCATGTCTGTCTGCTAGGGGGTTCTTCCCGGCTGGATGGAACCCTGCAGGCTTCAGGGATGCTCAGTAGATACCGGGAGATCAGCGAGATCAGTGAGAACGACATGATTCCTTACAGAATTACCGCGGCCTTGGGGCCTTTTCTCCCTCTTTTGCCGTTAGGAGGAAATTTAAAATTGAGCAGTCAATAAAATGACTTGAATAGCTCATATTCAGCTGCTCAGTGAGTTCAACTTTCCCAGGCCATGCCCCTGGGGCCTGGGGCAGAAGAAGCAGACTTCGTAAGGGAAAAGCAACAAAAAGGGACCTGAGTTCCAAATCTAGGCTCAGGAGGAAGAGTGGGCGTCCTCTGCAGCTCCCCAGGCAAGGAAAGCAAAGGGAGAGGGGAAACCTTCATCTCCAAGGCAGTTATGTGCTGATGGCACACCTCCCGGTGGCCCCTCCTGCCCAGGCCTCTGACTCTTACCCACCCTGCCTCCCAGGCCCCAGCTAAGCAGAAGCTGCTCCACAGCCTGCCCCCCGGGAAGCCTCCCTCTGCAGATGACCACCGCCCAGTGGTCAGGAGTGGCAGCTCACCAGATTTCCCTTCCAAAGATGGGAAGGTGAGTCCAGGGAATCGGCTCTGCCACAGTAGGTTGGGGGTGTCAGTTTTATTAATTTAGCCTCAAAGTTCAAACAGAGAGGAGACCTAGATAGTCAATCACCTGGACGCGAATGTGTCTAGGAACACAGAAGACAGGAAGGACCAACCTAAGGACGTTCAGACAGAAGGAAGTAGCCATGAACAGCGGAAGATTTCCTTAATAAGGGGCTTTAGAGGATGTACTGCTGGCCCCTGGAAACCAGCCCAGTGCTTGACTCTAGAGTCAGTCTGTGTGGCTCTGCCTGACTCTTTAAACAGGTATAAAGAAAGCAAGTGTCAGAGAAGTTCCAGATGGTAACATCCTTCTTTGCACAGCAGGCAAAAAGCAGAGGGAACTTTCACAGCCCACCTGGATACCCCTCCCTATACTGCTTTCTAGTTCCTCTTCCTTTCTCCTCAAATGAAAGAGTGGTGCCACTCTATGGGTGTTAGCACGGAGAGGAATTGGGGGGCTGCGTGGAGGTGGTGACTCAATTCACCAGAATCCACAGAAGGTGCCCTGTTGATGTCTGGATCTTCCTGGAGATCAGGAAACTTTGCTGCCCCAAACTCAGACCTCAGGTGTTAGCTGTTTCCTAAGCAAAGTGACCTGTGTAGTGGTTGCTCCAATGTTGTGAGTCAGGGTATGAGAGTGGGAAGGGGTAGCCTGAGAAAGGTGCCGACAGAGCAGACCATGATGCGGCCGCCTTAGCAGCTCTGGGACCAGGCTCACTACCACGGAGGGAAGAGGGAGGCTTGGAGGGAACCTGGTTCTCCAAGCCCCTCTTCACTCCAGTTGCCTTCCTGCCTCAGGCACAGCTTCCTCTCCCTGGAAAATCTCGTCTGGGCTACTGTCTCCCCAGAATCGCCTTCACGCCTGGGGACAGCCACTGCACTCCTGCGGCAACATTTGTTCTCTCTCCAGCCTGCGTCCTGCTCAGCAGCAGCCAGTCATAGATTCCTGCTCTTCAATCAATTCGGGGGATCTGGGCTCTCCGCCTCTGCGGCCCACACCGCAGTGCCCAAATGCCCACCACACTCCTTAGTGTCCAAGGGACCGAGAAGCCCAGTGCAAGGAGAGCAAGTTCGTGAGTGGTAGGGATATGTGGCCATGTCCCGAGAGCCACGGGGACCTCTCTACAGTCAAAAACGGGAAGTTGACCACCTGTCACGGCTGGCAGAGGCTGGACTGGGCCGCTGGCTAGGAAGCTCTCTCCCCAGCCTGTGAAAGTGCACAGGATACTGGAGCGGGCTTCCCCCAGCAGCGGATCCTCGCGTGGGTGCAGGCAAGGTCAGGTGCGCATTGTTCCCACAGAGGGAGTTCACCAGCGGAGTCAGACCCCGGGACGTTCTGTGTGGCCGAAACCGGCTGAACGTGAACCTAGAGCAGTAACTGGCGAGCATACGATGCCGCGGAGCACACGCATGAGCATGAATATCTTGGTTCCGCGCTCGCAGTCCCCTCGTTCCCGCCTTGCGCTCAAACACTCAGGCTGGCGACACCCCTGCACTCTCCAGTGTGGAAGACTTGCGCTCCCCCCTGCGGCCCAGGCGAACCCCGCTCTCCCTGCGCCTCCCACCCCAGTCCTCCAACCCCATCCTCTGCCTCCCCAACCTAACGACGTCGCTGTGGTCTGCGCTCCCGCCCTGACCGGCAGGTGAAAGGCGGAGCTGCAATGCCATCCCGCGGCTGTCAGGTGCCCAGGGAAGAGTTTGGCGACAAGCAGGGCTGCGTGGATTTCGGGCAGCGCCAACTTTATGCCTGTATGACTTTGGGCAAGTGACTTCATTCCTCTGAGCCTGTCTTTGCACCTGCAAAGAGGGCTACGTATCCCTTCCAGGTAGAGTGAGTGCGATGAGGACCTAGTGGGTGCACAGGGCACCAGGCGCACCGATGCTCGGCAGGCCAGGGCGCGCGCTCGCTGCAAATGGAGTTCCCCTGTGCGCTCAGCTCTGCAGCTCCAAGTGCAGCCTGGAGCGAGCCCGCCGAGCCGCGGGATCCCTCCGGGGTGGGATAAGGGAGGGGAGCCCCCGCGGCCCCCTCCCGGCCCTCGGCGCGGCCGCGTGCGTGGTGTCATTGGCCCGGGCGGCCCGGTGGGCGGGAGGATGACATCAGCGGCAGGTTGGATTATAAAGGCGCGAGCAGAGTCACGGGCTCAGAGCGCACCCAGCCGGCGCCGCGCAGCACTGGGACCCTGCTCGCCCTGCAGCCCAGCCAGCCTGCTCCGCATCCCCCTGCTGGTCTGCCCGCCGACCTGCGCGCCCTCGCTGCCGCCCGTGTGCGCCCCTCGACCCCAGCGGCACCATGCATCTCTCCCAGCTGCTGGCCTGCGCCCTGCTGCTCACGCTGCTCTCCCTCCGGCCCTCCGAAGCCAAGCCCGGGGCGCCGCCGAAGGTGGGTGCTGTCGTGGGGACGCCGAGCCTGGGAGAGGCGTGGGAGGCTGGGGGCTTGGAGAATGCGGCGCGCAGGACCCAGGAGAGAGGGAAGGCAGGCGGCTGTCTCCTCCGAGATGCGCGTGGGCGAGAGCCGGGGAGCCCTCGAAGCGCGGATTCGGGGGTCCACTTCTCCAGCCTCCGGAGAACATCGGCCCATGCGCAGCCCCCTACCCCAGTGTGGCCTGCCCGGCGAGCAGCAAAGGGAGGGCAGGGGGCTTCCGGAGGGAGCGGCGAAGGCGGCCGCGTGGCAGGTGGATGCGGGGCCAAGCTGGCCGGCATCGGTGGGGGCGGCTCTGGGCTTGGGAGGGACACCCCGCGCCGGCGGGCGCGTGGGGCTGGAGCATCAGAGTCCCCCGTGCTGCAGCCGCGTGTCCCTTCACCTGCCCGCTCTTTCCTCGGACAGGTCCCGCGAACCCCGCCGGCAGAGGAGCTGGCCGAGCCGCAGGCTGCGGGCGGCGGTCAGAAGAAGGGCGACAAGGCTCCCGGGGGCGGGGGCGCCAATCTCAAGGGCGACCGGTCGCGACTGCTCCGGGACCTGCGCGTGGACACCAAGTCGCGGGCAGCGTGGGCTCGCCTTCTGCAAGAGCACCCCAACGCGCGCAAATACAAAGGAGCCAACAAGAAGGGCTTGTCCAAGGGCTGCTTCGGCCTCAAGCTGGACCGAATCGGCTCCATGAGCGGCCTGGGATGTTAGTGCGGCGCCCCCTGGCGGCGGTGAGTACGGCCCACCCGACGCCCAGCCCCAGCCCGGCCCGGGACCGCCCGCCGCCCAGCCGGCCTTCGGAGGCGCGCGAGCCGCCTTTGCTCAAGTTGTGCTAGGCGTTTGCCAGCCGCCCCCTTTATTATCCCACTTTACAGACAAAGAAAGCGAAGGATAACGTGATCGGGGAACTTTGGCAAGGTCAGAAACGGCTCAGCCTGGTTGAACCCACCTGGCTTCTTCTGGAGAAGCAGAAACAGGCTTGGTGGTGTCTCACCCACCCCTGAACCGTAGCTGAACTAGCAGCACTGGCCCCTATTGGCCAGCTGGTGGGGGGATTGAGAGGAGATCATGGGTTTGTGGGAGCAGAGAAGGAAGGTTACACCCACAAGTCCAGGGGACATCGATCATCTGCTGGCCACCATGCCCCCTGTAGTGAGAGTAGCCCTCTGCTGGCACTGTCAGAGCGCCCTTCTGCCTGGGACACTCCGATTCCTGTCCCTTCTCTAAACCCAGGCAGTGGGCAAACTGGTCTGTCCAGGGTCCTGAGGCAGCTGCAGCCTGGTGGCTTCGGGGGTGAATCTCAGTGCTTGTGGCACTATTTCAGGGAATAGGAAAGACACTAAAGTAAATATTATTTGCCCCAGCCTCGAACTCAACACGTCCCAGAGTCCCTCACCAACCCTGTCCCGACCCAACCGGTGCTCTGGGCTCCGTTTCTGGTGTGGGGTCTCACCCCGCACTAGGGCTGGAAACCTCTGCCCTACCGCCACCCCCTGCCGGGTGCCGCGTGGTGGTAATTTACTGCTGCAGAGAGCCTCACCTCTCCTCTTTCCCTCCTCTCTATTCCTGCCGCCTGCCCGTGCCCACTGAATAACATCCCAGCCTCTGACATTGACAGTCATGTGCGTTAGGATCAGGCTTACCTGGCTTTCTCGCTTTCTTGCCTCCAGCTCAGCAGCTGCCACTGCCTGTCCCACACCTTGACTGTCCCATCCCAGGCTACGGGCAAGCTGCTGTCTCCTCCCCAGAAACCCTTGTCAGTGTCGGATCTTCTCCCGGAGGGAAACAAGAGCGCCTGTCCAGCACACTGTCTCTTTTTTACAGTACAGAACACTTTTTCACAGTTTGTGAACCCATTCACCTCTCCATATTGAACAGCTTAAGGGCGAAGTGCTGGCCTAAGGCACTCTAGGACCCACTGCACCCCGAACAGACTCGTGGAAATATTTGTCAATGACCAGAGAAACCAGCACACCCTGGCCCATGGCCACTCCCACCTGCCCGAGGTTTTAACCAGTGCCCTTCCTCTCTTTGCAGCCAGACCTCACTCGGCTGTGGGCCTCTCCCCAGTTCTGCAAAGGCTGTAGTTGTCTGTGATCTTGACTCTCCCCTGCACAGGGAGAAGAATGATTCTGACACTTGGGGACCAGCCTTCAGTAGCTACCCTTGGAATGCCTTTGCTCTCTTCTCTCCTGTCTAAACAACAAAGAGACGGAGTCTGAGGCCTCAAATTTTCAGTTTGATTTAAGCATCAAGTTCAAACTTTAGAACCTGAGCAAATGTTAGTGACTCTCCATTGGTTCGTACCTGGAATGCGCATCCCCACAGGGGCTTTGTTCTTGGGCCTGGATGTCTGTGGTCACCAAGTGATGGCCAAACGGGTGGTGAAAGATGCTGTGTAGGAGGAATCCACATTGTTAAGAATTCTCGACCCCTTTGATCAGGGGGGTTCAATAATCTCCTACCAGCTCTCTTAGCATAGATGAACACTTACCGTCGACACCTTCAACACCGGCTTACGCCCAACACCAGCTGTTTTATTATTATTTGGGAAGGGCGGTGTGGATTTATTATTTGGGATTTTTTAAATGAAAAATAAAAACCCCACCCTCACTGCCCCCCATTCCCAGTGAGAGAGCAGAACATCATTCCTGCAGGCTCCTGGTGACGATGCCCAGGATATATCACTGGGCGTAAAGAGAAAGACAGCTTAGATTTTTCACATTAATGAAAACTCTTTGAGGTTGTGGCTGTTTCTCCACGCAGTGGGTGACCTGGGCTCTAAGCCACCGTAATGATGGTGGTTGATGGTTCTAGGTATTCATTGTAAAATGCTAATGACAGAGACTGGGTGTAGGTGAAACCTGAATGAACACTTTGCCCCTGGGGCCCAGCAACATCACAGACAGCTGTCATCTGTGTAAACTCACGGCAGAGCCAGAGAAGGGAGTGGGGGAGGGTTCATCAAGCCATTCTGGCCCAGGTCCCCTCTGTGCATGCTGTCCTTTGGGAGGGCACTGAACGCCCCTGAAGGCCACCTTCCTTGGGCCCCGGGGCACCCACACACCCATTAGCAGAGAGTTTACCCTAACAACACTCAGAGCCCATGACTGTGCATTTCCCCAAGGCTGGTGTGAGACACCATTTCCTCTGCTCCTGAAGGGGACCTGGACCCAGACCCTTTCCTCTGCACAACCAGCTAGGGAAGGAGGTGCTGTTTACTGGGTGGCAGCTGTGACCCAGACACTGCCGATGCCCGATCCGAGGCTCCCTGTTGAATCTGAAAGCCAGCCCTAGGAGGTGGCTATTATCCAATTTTATGGGTGAACACTCCCAGCTATCCAGGGTCATCCAGGGACCCAACGTCAGAGTAGAGATTTGAGCCCAGGATTCCTGATCCTGAGATGTCTCTCTTCTCCTTCCATCCATGGTCACTCAGACACACGAACCCCGGGCGAGCACTGACTGAGGGTTTGCGTTGTAGCAAAAAAGGGATGGGAGATTTTCCATTCTCTTTCTCTCACTGCGCTTCCCTGAGTGCCAAGGGCAAGGCCTGTGGTTAGACTGGGGGAAGAAGGAGTGTTGCAGACACGCTGGTTCCACTTGTACTGGGGCAGCAAAGCAGAAGGGGCCTGGGGAGTGCGCAATGGGGGGCTCCTCCCCTCTGCAGGAAGGCCTGGTTGGGGGGGTGGCGGAGGTAGGGGAACATCCCTCAAGCTGCTGGGAGAAGGGGAGGAAAGGTTCTAGAACCACCCTGCCTGCTAGGATTTCTCAGCTAAGGGGCCAGAACTGAGCGTCCCGTGTTCACTCTGTGTTTCAGGATCGGGAACTGGCTCCGTTGTGCTGAGGTCATCTTTGGTCATCAGCCTCCAGCATCTGGAAACACCTCCAACGCAATGTGGCTTTTACATTTCTTTCTTTCTTTCTTTTTTTTTCCTGGTACTGGGAATACACAACACCAGCTGTTTTATTATTATTTGGGGAGGGGGTTGTGATTTTATTATTTGTTTTTTTAAAATGAAAAATAAAAAGTTATATATTATATATATATTATATACATGAAACACACACACCTACACCGACTTGATGACAAGGGACAGTTTTTAAGAGACTGACAGAACCAGCTGTAAAACATTGCTGTTTGTAAATTCATGTCATGCATAAATGTATTTATGTTGTAAAGCTATTTATATTGTTTATAAAGAGATATTTATAAAAATTTTATTTATGTAACTAAATGAAAGAAGTCAATCATTGTAATGTTTTTGTCCTAACTAGTTAAAAAAAATGTAAAAAAAAAAAAGTCATTCCATGAATATCTTGAAAACTGTCTTTATTTACTTGTTGCCTGTATTTTTTAGGACTTAGGCTGAGAAAGAGGGAGAATGTGAAGAAAAGGCATTGCCTCCAAATAGGTCTGACAGGCAGATTCCCAATTCTGGATTTATCTGTGTCAGAATCCCCTGGAGACCTTGCTAAAAATACAGATTCCTGCCTTCTCCGAATCTGATAGGACTGGCTGTGTAAGTTTCGTCCCAAGTGATTCTGACCAGCTCAGCCAGGTCAGGAAGCTCTGCTCAAACACCTGACCGCTAGGAAGTCAGATGTTATGAATTAAATTAATGACGGCCGGGCGTGGTGGCAGGTGCCTGTAATCCCAGCACTTTGGGAGGCCAAGGTGGGTGGGTCATCTGAGGTCAGGAGTTCAAGACCAGCCTGGCCAATATGGTGAAACCCCATCTCTACTAAAATTACCAAAATTGCCGGGCGTGGTGGCAGGTGCCTGTAATCCCAGCTACTCGGGAGGCTGAGGCAGGAGAATTGCTTGAACCCAGGAGGCAGAGGTTGCAGTGAGCCGAGATCACAGACGGCACCCCAATCCTGGGCAACAGAGCAAGACTCCATCTCAAAAAAAAAATTAATTTTGAATTCAGCTGACTTAGGGTCCTGTAAATTCTACTCCATCTTCTGCTGTTAGTGGAAGAAATAGCTGCTAACTCCCTCTCTGTTTGGGGGAGATTTAGAAGGCTTCTGCATATCTTGCAGAATTGGCCAGGTCACCTTACGAATCTCAGCAACTCTGTTTTCTAGACTCGCTCACAAAGCCTAGGATGGGTAGTTTGTGCCTCATAATGAATGCCATGGTCAGCTGGGAGCCGAGACCTTGGAGAGAAGGAAAAGGCGTTATCAAATTTCATATCTGTAGTGTGCTGCGCTTTGTGGGAGGGTTGTGGGTTTTCTTTTCACTTGAAGCCACTAACAATTACATTTCCTATGCCCCATGGAGCTATGAGTGTGGAATTATGAATATAATTTAGAATTTATGAATATAATTTAGATTAGAATCTCTTCTCCTAAAACCAGCAGGAAACTTTGAAATAATTCCGAGGTACTCTCACTACATGCTTGGTTGGATGACAGCCCTGTGCAGCCTTCCCTGTCATCTGTCCCCTGTTAGGGGAAGGTGGGAACATACCCTCTTGGGCCAGTAACATCAGTGGATTGGGGGCACCCTGCTCAGGGGAATTGGGAGCAGTGTTGCCCTGTGCTCATGGGTCCGCAGGCACCGAGAGGAGTTCCAGAGGAAGTGTCACTGGGGAGGTAGCCAGTGTCACCTGGTCTTTCTGTGGGTGTTTGAGCCCTGGGACCTTTGTTCCAGGTAGCCCTCCAGCAGCAACCTCTCAAGTGTGTGAGTAGCCAACACAGTGACATTGCCCAGGTGAGAAATCCCCTTTTAGACATGTTCCTGGCTGGGCACAGTGGCCACACCTGTAATCCCAACAGTTTGGGAAGCCGAGGCGGACAGATCACTTGAGCCCAGGAGTTCGAGACCAGCCAGGGCAATTTAGCAAGACCCCCATCTTTACAAAAAATAAAAAAATAGCTGGGCATGGTGGTGGCCACCTCTAGTCCCAGCTACTCGGGGGAAGGCTGAGGTAGGAGGATTGCTTGTGCCCCAGAGGTCAAGGCTGCAGTGAGCTGTGATCACCCCTCTACACTCCAACCTAGGCAACAGAGTGAGACTGTTACACACAAACACACACACACGCACACACAAAAGAAAGAAAAGACACGTTCCAGCTTCTACAACTTCCCTCAAAAGTTCTCTCAACTTCCACAAGTGCCCCAGAGGACATTTCCAGTCCCCCTTCCTTGGGGACACCTGTGGAAGCCACCCAGAGCATGGCTACCTTCCTCTGTCCCACTCCCACCTCGGTGGCTGGAAGATTATGGGCCCGCATCACTGACGCTGAGGACTCCAGCACCCGAGCCTCGCCAGTGAGTGCCCCGGCTCCTTGTGCTGTCTGCAGACCCCTTACAGACCAGGGAGGGAGCAGGGGGTGGCAGAAGGTGACACTGCCAGCTTTGCTGGTGGCGAGGCAGGCACGTCTTCCCAAGGCCCAGAGGCAGAAGGGATGGCGAATTCTGGGATCTAGGGAACCCCCACTAGAAGCTAAAGGGTTTTCCCTGTGGACAGTGCCTGGCTACCATCTGGGCCAATATGGCCTCTCGGGCCCAAGCTACACATGCTGTCCTCCTAAGTGCTCTTGTCCTGCGTATTTGCCTGCAAACAAAAAGCACAGCCCTCCGCTGTCAAGGCCAGCCCCTCCGCCTGTTGCTTTAGGATACAGCCATACAGCCAGTCCTCCCCTTTTACATCCAGACCTGAAGTCCTGCAACTGCTTCCTCAGCAGCGACTGGAATATGTTGTCCCAGCCAGGGATTTCCGCAGGAAAGCCCAGAAGGAGTGACAAATATTCAATAACTAACAGGAAGTGTTTTGACACCTCCAGAGATGGCCCAGGTGCTGTTATCTGAGAGCTTCCAGCCTTGGGCCTCTGTCCTGGCCTCCTTCCTCTCAGGGAGCCTCTAATCTCCAAGCTGCCTGGAGCACCTGTGGCTTCTCTCCCATCTGAGGTGACAACTGCCAGGGCCAGCTTGGAGAAACAGCGCCCAGGTGGGGCTCGCTGGAGTCCCGGTCCTCTCAAAACGGGCATCTCTGCAGTGCGGGAAGACATATCTTGATCATCTCTTGGCCTTTTAGCTAAGATCAATTGTAGAAGAGTCCCTGGGAAACGCCACGGGGCTGGACAGGCCAGAGCACAGCAGAGGCAAAGAGAGTTTCGGGGGCTGGAGGGCCTCGTTCCCTTTCCAGCAGCACAGCCATTGGGGGAGGCAGGGGGCCCACAGGGAGGAGTCGCTGGGCATGCCTGGTCCCTGGTGCCGCAGCTGTTGACATGTGGGAACCCTGGCCCAGCAGCACTAGGCCCAGGAAGCCTACCTTGGGCCCCCACACACGCCTGGAGGAAAGGCCCAGTCTGTCAAGCCCATCTGAGGACATCACGTTGAGAGGCAGCGCCCGTGGGGCAGAGGTGGTGCACCTGCCATGGAGGCGGTGTGTGCCCTGGCGAGGTGGGGCGGTATCGCCAGGCCTACAGCAAGTGGTCTGGGAGCCTGCCTTCCCCACCAAACAAGCAAGAGGGCCTCCCCTGACAGTCATGACCTGCAAGGGTGGTGGGAGATAGGGCTCTGCACGGGTTGGGCGCCCTGGGGGTGATCAGAGAAGCCTCAATATCCAGACCCTGTTGGTGCCTTAGGAAGAGCCCTTAGCCTAGTCAGGAGAGTGGTAGGGGGAGGCTGAGTAGCCCCAACCCTCAGTTGTGAGGGGTAAGTGGGGAAGAAGCATCAGTGGGGGGCCCATCAGAAATGGGATTTGAGGCCTGGCATGGTGGTTCATGCCTGTAATCCCAGCATGTTGGAAGGCCGAGGTAGGCGGATCGCTTGAGGCCAGGAGTTCAAGACCAGCCTGGGCGACAGGGCAAAACCCCATCTCTACAAAAAATACAAAAATTAGTTGGACAGGGTGGTGCCCACCTGTAGTCCCAGCTACTTGGGAGGCTGAGGTGGGAAGATCACCTGAGCCCAGATTGCACTACTGCACTCCAGCCTGAGTGGCAGTGAAACCTTGCCTCAAAAAAAAAAAAAAAAAAAAAAAACCCAGATTTGACTCCAATGGTTCACATGAAGAGCTTTAAGAAAGCGACAATTTCCAGAGTCGGGGCAGCTGAGAGAGAGGTGCCCAGTGGGAAGCCAGTTTCTTCCCTGGGGCCGAAGGGAGGGAGCTGTCTTCAGAGCTGAGCTGGGTGGGGTGTCATCTAGCAGGAGCTGTGCCATGGGGCAGAAGCTGTGCCATGGGGCAGGAGCTCCTGCAGGGATGTGGAATGAGAACGATCTCGGCTTCTTTCTCCCCTCCCTTCCAGCCTCCTGCTGGTGTGTCCAATTGGCTAGAACCCAAGCAGCAAGCGGGAGGGGCCAGGGCAGGCTGTGACCCACCAGCACAGGAGCGCCTTGGTTGAAGTGTCAGCCAGCAACTCCCTCTCACAGGGATAAGGCCAGGCAGCAGGGCAGGGGTGGATACCACCTCTCTAGAGGCAATTTCTTATCTTGGTTGCAGAAGACAAAAGTGACCACATCAGAAGTATGAGCGCAGCGTGACTAGCAGGTCTGATCCTGGGAGTGACCTCACATTTATAGCTGTAATGGGCTTGCCTTGTGGATCACTGGTCCTCCCTCCCTGCCCCAGAGAATGCCAGTTGACAATGTCCCCTCCCTGATGGCAGAGTGTCTGATGTTCTCTATCCGATCCTGGTCCAGGCCCTGGACAGATGCCATTTGTTGTCCAGTGAAGGGACAGAAGCAGAAATGTTTCCTGGCAAGCTCCAGTCAGTTCCTCTCCAGGGCAAACCAGCCCTAGAGCAGCCTGCCTCACCCCCAGCATCCCCACGGTCTACTCTGTCCTGTTCGAGAATTTCAGTTTGTTTTTCACACCTCTGATTCAATCTTCCACCACATTTTCTATCTCTTTGTAAGTTTTCTGTATCTGATCCTTTTCCCCTTTTGTCTTATCTGGTTCCCTTTTGATCTCACTGTTGCCTTTTCATTTTAGCTCCTGATTCACAGAGTCCACGTCCTCCCGCATCCAACATCGAATGTAGCAGTTTACTGAGACTTTCTTCTAGATCCTTTTGCAGATATATTTCAGAGATCTGTTCTCTGTGTATCCTGAAGGCATGCGTGAGCACCCCATCTCACCTGGCCATTTTTGTGATTTGCAATCTGTGTGCTTAGTTGGAGAAAGATGTTGGGAAAATGGCAGAATATCAGATGGCAGGAAAAGAGCCTGCCCATCTCAGGAAGCATGAGAGGAATGGCTGGCAGCCCACCAGTCCTGGGACTCTGAGTGGAGACCCCGAGAACGGAGAAGTGAATGCTTTTACTCATTCCTCATTGAGGCATTTGGTCCATGAACCAAAAGCCAAGGCAGGGTCAGCTGTTCCTCTACGGCTCCTTCTAGTCTCAGTTCCTCCTCTTCCTGACTTGGCAGTGTCTGTCGGTCTCACTCTGGAGTGTTGTGAGTTTGGGTCCACATCGATGCCTCCCTGCATGGAGCCCCCCTCCAAAAACAGCTTTGAGGCCAGGCGCAGTGGCTCACGCCTGTAATGCCAGCACTCTGGGAGGCCAAGGCAGGTGGATCACTTGAGGTCAGGAGTTCGAGATCAGCCTGGCCAACATGGCGAAAACCCATCTCTACTAAAAATACAAAAATTAGCTGGGTGGCACAGCTACTCGGGAGGCTGAGGCAGGAGAATTGTTTGAACCCGGGAACCTGAGGCTGCAGTGAGCCACGATCGTGCCACTGCACTCCAGCCTGGGCAACAGAACGAGGCTCTGTCTCAAAAAAAACAAAAAACGAAAAACAAAAAAAAAAACCAGCTTTGGAGCCAGAAACTGTTTAATAAATTACATTCCAATTTGTGAGGATGGGAAGTTCAACCATTTCATTAACTTTTTAATTATTTCAGCTATCAGAATATGCTTTTGTTTTATTTTGTTATTTTCTGTTTATTTTTGCATGTATATTACTTCATAATTTTATTTATATTGGTTTTAATTTTCTGAACCTTTTCTCAATGCTTAACTGAACACATTCCAGAGTATGACTGTATCGATATCCCAAAGTTTTGATATGTGGCAATTTCACTGTTCTTAGCTTCTAAATAGTCTATTGACCTATTTTTTTTCCATAACAAGTGGAGTTTAATTTTTGTTTAATTCGTATTATTAACTTTAGTACTACTGAGGTTGGTTCAGTGATTGTATACTTTCTGCTTTATTATTAATTCCTATGTTTTAATCAATTTTGTAACTAGCACACAGATAGTTTGAAAATATAAAGACCTACTAACACAGTTCAAAATTCCGTAAATATTTAATCCATTTTACCTTTTATATTACCATGGCCCAATCTTCTGACCCTGTTTTTGATTCACTGAAGACTGATAATGATGTTGGAAAATGCACTGTGACTTTTTTCCCATTTATCCTCACATTCATAGTTATATGGTTGTTATTCAGTACAGAAGGTTCAGTATTAACATATCTATTAGGAGATGGGGGGTTATGCTGTGCTAACAAGCCATCCCCAAAGCTCAGTGGCTTAAAATGCCAAAGGTTTGTTTCTTGCTCATGCCTGGAAGAGACCTAGATTTCAGCAAACAGGAGTCATGCCTGCACCCACGTAGCCTGCACTTAGAGTTCCTTCATTTTATGCCAAGTACTTCCCAGTAAATTCTGTTTTGTCTGATGTGAACATTATCAGCCCTATTTTATTTTTATTGGTGCTTGATATCTTTTCCCAAGCTTTGATCCTTTCCCTTCTTGTGTGTGGGTTTTTTAAAATTTAGGTGTATTTATAATATATTAGGTTAAAATATATGTAATTTGAAAAATTTTGCTTTTTATTAAGGAGGCCTAAGTTGTTCACACTATTGCTTATGCTTGGACCAATGTCTTCATCTTGATTTTGACTTTCTGTTTTTAAGGTTCTTTTACATTTTTTGTTCCATTTTACTTGTTTTCTGTAGACTGTTGTGCTTGCTTTTATCTTCTGCAATGATTTGGAAAATAGACAGCCGGTGTGTAATTCTGTTGGAGGTTCCTTAAGGTTTTTCATGAAAATTATCAAACACACATTTATATTGCTATCCAAATGAAAATCACACACAATAACTTCAGGCTCCTTCAGAAGACAGACAAGGAATTTGGGCCATTTGCTCCTTCCTGGCCTCCTCTGTCCTTTCTGGGCCATTAACGTAATCTGAGGACTTTCTCCTTACCTGGTTAAAACCACCAAACCTCCTTTTCTCGCATGGGGCCCGTTCCACACTCATCTTCATCTGGGGCTGGCTCCCCGACCACTGCTTGTCCTCATGGCAACTTGGCCCTCTCCCAATGTCTCTGGGGTTTAGACTTCAGCCCAGCATATGGGGGGTGTGTGTGTGTGTGTGTGTGTGTGTGTGTGTGTGTGTGTGTGTATAGGGGTGGTCTGGATCGTTCTAGGCAGCACAGACCAATTCTCTGTGGAGTTTGACGACTATTTCATTTCTCCAGCGTGAGGGCAGAAGTGGCTCTGTGAAGCATCCCCAGAGAAACACACACCTGTAGCGACTTCCTCCACCCGAGGAGCCAGAGAGGAGTTGGAGAAGGGGCAGGCCTGTCATCCCCAGGCCTGTGCACAGCCTGGAGTCTCCAGATGTGAACAGAACAGAAACAAGGTTCCCAAGTGTCCTGCTTGTACAGTCAAGGAGGGTGGACAAGAGTCTCGTCACACTTGGAGGAACACCATGGGGCGGGACAGCTCTGCAAAGGATTCAAGGACTGCCCTGGGACAAAGGCAGACAAGGTGGAGGGGGCTGATCAGAAAGCACAGGCATCAAAATTAGCCGGGCATGGTGGGGCTGTCTGCATTGGGATCCTGGCGTTTGGATGCTGGGGTGAGATAGAGAACCTCGGGTAAGCTTTGAGCCCTGGGAAGGCCTGCGGGGCTCCGCTCCCTCCCGTCACTTGGTCTTCCCATCAGTGGGTCTGTGGACATAGCACGGGCTTCCTTCCTGGACACTGAGGGGCCCAGTGCTGGTGTGAATTCTGGGTGCAAGCAAAGAGAGTCAAGGTGAGCAAGCTGTGGCAGTGGCTTCTGGGCTCCGATGGACTGGACGCCTCTGGACAAGCCATTTGCCGTGGGGGAGGGCTGCCCTCAGGACACAGGGGTGGGCCTCCTTCACACGACCCACAGCAACAGTGGTACTCAGCACCTGGATACAAGCGGCCCAGCAGGAAAAACGTGGGTATAGATTTATGTCTACATTAAACATAAGCACATCAGTATTATTATTTTGAGATACATTTTCACTCTTGTCACCCAGGCTGGAGTGCAGTGGTGCAATCTTGGCTCACTGCAACCTCCACCTCCCAGGTTCAAGTGATTCTTCTGTCTCAGCTACCCAAGTAGCTGGGCTTACAGGCGCCTGCCACCACGCTCGGCTAATTTTCATATTTATAGTAGAGACAGAGTTTCACCATGTTGGCCAGGCTGGTCTCGAACTCCTGACTTCAGGTGATCCGCCCGCCTCGGCCTCCCAGAGTGCTGTGATTACAGGCGTGAGCCACCGCGCCCAGCCCACATCTGTATCATAAGATTACACATACACATATCCGTATCTGCATGATCTCTGTCTATGCTCATACTTTCTTCCCAGGCCCGGGGATTGTCTTGCAGACACCCCCGCAACTCAGAGACACGCCCCACACCCATGAACCCACATTGTTTGCAATGAAGACGTAATTCACACACACAATGTTCATAGCAGCATTATTCATACATAATTAAAAAGTAGAAACAACCCAAATGCCCATCACCTGGTGAATAAATAAAATATGGCATCTCCATGCAGTAGAATATTATTTGACAATAAAAAGAAATGAAGTACTGATTCATTCCATAACATAAATGAACCTTAAAAACATCATGTGAGCTGGGCACAGTTGTTCATGCCTGAACTCCAACACTTTGGGAGGCAAAGGTGGGAGGACTGCTTGAGCCCAGGGGTTTGAGACCAGCCTAGACAATACAGCGAGACCCCATCTCTACAAAAAGTTTTTTAAAAAATTAGCCAAGCATGGTGGTGCATGCCTGTAGTCCCAGTTACTCCGGATACTGAGGCAGGAGTGTCGCTTGAGCCCAGGAGGTCGAGGCTGCAGGGAGCCGTGATCACATCACTGCACACCAGCCTGGGTGGCAGAGCAAGACCCTGTCTAAGAAAAAATAAAAGGAAAAGAAAAGAAGCTGGGCATGGTGGCTCACGCCTGTAATCCCTGCACTTTGGGAGGCTGAGGTGGGTGGATCAACTGAGGTCAGGAGTTTGAGACCAGCCTGGCCAACATGGTGAAACTCCGTCTCTACTAAAAATACAAAAAATTAGCCGGGCGTGGTGCCGCCCGCCTATAATCCCAGCTACTCAGGAGGCTGAGGCAGGAGAATCTGTTGAACCCAGGAGGCGGAGGTTGCAGTGAGCCAAGATCGCACCATTGCTCTCCAGCTTGGGCAACAAGAGGAAAACTCCATCTCAAAAAAAAGAAAAGAAAAGATCATGCTAAATTAAAGAAGCCAGGCACAAAAGGCTACATACAATTATGAATCCTTTCATATGAAAGATCATGAATAGGCAGGTCTGAAAACCCAGAAAGCACGTCGGTGGCTGTCAGGGCTGGAGCGGGGCTGGTGAAATAGGCAGTAACTGCTGATAGGTACAGGATTTCTTCCAAGGTTAGGAAAACAGCCTCAAATTGATCGTGGTGATGGTTGCACAACTCTGTAAAGATATAAAACACAGGCCAGGCATGGTGGCTCATGCCTGTAATCCCAGCACTTTGGGAGGCTGAGCGGGTGGATCACTTGAGGCCAGGAGTTCAAGAACAGCCTGGGCAACATGGTGAAACCCCATTTCTACCAAAAATACAAAAAATTAGCCGAGTGCGGTGGCGGGTTCCTGTAATCTCAGCTACTCGGGAGGCTGAGGCAGGAGAATCACTTGGGCCTGGGAAGTGGAGGTTGCAGTGAGCCAAGATCGTACCATTGCATTCCAGCCTGGGTGACAGAGCGAGACTGTGTCTCAAAAAAAAAAAAAAAAAAAAAGGCCCGGCGCGGTGGTTCACACCTGTCATCCCAGCACTTTGGGTGGCCGAGGTGGGCAGATCACGAGGTCAGGAGATCGAGACCATCCTGGCTAACACGGTGAAACCCCGTCTCTACTAAAAATACAAAAAATTAGCCGGGCGTGGTGGCAGGCGCCTGTAGTCCCAGCTACTTGGGAGGCTGAGGCAGGAGAATGGCGTGAACCCGGGAGGCAGAGCTTGCAGTGAACAGAGATCGCACCACTGCACTCCAGCCTGGGCGACAGAGTGAGACTCTGTCTCAAAAAAAAAAAAAAAAACCCAACAACATTGAATTTGGATTCACTGCTTTAAATGGGTGAAGTGTACGGTGTGTGAACTATATCAAAATAAAGCTGTGACTAAAAAAAAGTTACTTCAAAATAGAAGAAAGACTCTTAGAATAAAGACTCCTGCACTCAGAGCCCCACCCTGTGTGTGAGACTAGACGTTTTCCAGGAGCGATGTTCCCTAAGCTGCATACAGGGGAGGGGGACCCACGCCAAGGTGTCAGGTGGCCAGGTCATTCCTGGCACCACTCCTTTTTCTAGGGGAACTTGGCCAAGTGTAACCTCAGCTTCTGTAAACTGGAAGCAATCATAGTACTACCTCGTGGGGGCTGCTACAAGGATGGCATGAGATGACCCGTATCCTCACTCTAAGCCTGACAGGTAGAGAGCTGTGGTCACTATGAGACCAGGTCATGCACCTCTGCCACCCAAGTGCCTGGGTTTCCCAAACTGCAAGCAAAATCTCAGTCCCAGGAACAGTGATACCCAAATCACAACAGCCTGGAGGACTGTGCCGCCTCCTCACAGTCACCTCCATGGCTTCAGGGAAATGCCAGAGACACCTCACCTGTGAACATGACAAGCCCATTTGCTTTCTTCCCTTTTCCTTCAGGTTGATAGTCCACAGCTCACAGCCCTCAGAGACGACCCTGGACCCTGCATGCTGGCAATTCCCCCCAGGGATGCTGCCCTGCACTGGGTCCTCCTGAGCTCCCGGGGTGCCCAGCTCTGGGGCTGCAGTGGGGGAGGATTCTGAGTCTCACACTGTCTAAGTGGTGCTGCTGGGCTGAATCTGTGGTCTTTGTATCACATGAGCTGCCGCATGGGCTACTGCCACCAGCTGCTTGGCCTTCAAGCATGAAGTCAATACAGGTGGGTGGGGAGGGGCAGAGGCGGAGGGTGGCAGATGACCCCAAGCCACTCCCTCCTTCCTCTTCAAATGCTTATTTCTGTCTTCACAGTGTTCTCATTCCCTACCCAACACACCCCGCAAACTCTCCACCTCCACCAGCCAAGCAACACGGGTCCTTGTGCTTGTCAATGCCTACGAAGAGCCGTGAACTCCCTGGTCCATAAAAGCGGTCCCATTTGGGCAGAGCCAAGATGCTCTGCTATACCCCAAAGGTGGCTGCAACTCCCTCAAGGGCAGGAATGGGGCCTTTCTTGTTTTGGTGTTCCCGACATCTAGCCCAGTTCCTGGAATGTCCCAGGTGCTGGCAGAAGTTTGCTGGAGGGCTCTTTGCAGAAGGCACAGAGGACCACATTCTGTTATCAGCAAGTCAAACCAATGTGGCTGGCCTGGGGACATTAGCTTCTGTCCCTTGATGGATGCTGGCCACCCTACCTTCCAAGACACTGCCCAAGAGAGGTCTCTTCTAAGGGAGTGGCAGGCACATGAAGAAGGAGAGACCTCCCCCGCCCCCGCAGGAAGCGCTCCTTCCCACACAGGCTTTCCTCCCTGCACATCTTCACGTCCAAAAGCCACAGAAATGGCTGCTCAGGGCTGGGCGTGGTGGCTCACTCCTGTAACCCCAGCACTTTGGGAGGCTGAGGCAGGCAGATCACCTGAGATCAGGAGTTCGATACCAGCCTGGCCAACATGGCGAAACCCTATCTCTACTGAAAGTACAAAAATGAGCCGTGCATTGTGGTGCATGTCTGTAATCCCAGCTACCAGGGAGGCTGAAGCAGGAGAATCATTTGAACCCGGGAGGCAGAGCTTGCAGTGAGCTGAGATTGCGCCACTGCACTCCAGCCTGGGCAACAGAGGGAGACTCTGTCTCAAAGAAAAAAAAAAGCCACAGAAATGGCTGCTCAATTTCTGTTGTTGTCATTATCAAAGTTTTAAGGCTTCCTTTATGATCCTGCAAAGCCCATTTCCCCTAGGCCGCCACATCCGTCCTCTGGCAACAATTCCCCTTGTGGTCCCTTCCTGTAATGAGAAGGTCTCTCTGACCGTTAGGCCTGAAGACAAACATCTTAGAATACATGTGGTTAGACAAACATCTTGGCCCCTCTGAGCCGCAGTTTCTTATCTGTCAAATGGGAATAATACCTAATTCAGAGGGCTGAGGGTGGGGGTGGGGAACCAGATGCCGGATGCTGTGAAAAGGTCTTTGCTGCTGGCACAGTGAATACTTAATAAGTGGCAAGACCAATGATAGGATGCACATGGATTTGGGAGGCTGAGGTGGGAGGATCACTTGACATCAGGGGTTCAAGACCAGCCTGGCCAACATGGTGAAACCCCGTCTCTACTAAAAATTCAAAAATTAGCCAGGCATGGTGGTGCATGCCTGTCGTCTCAGCTACTTGGGAGGCTGAACCTGGGAGGCAGAGGTTGGAGTGAGCTGAGATCGCACCACTGCACTCCAACCTGGGTGGCAGAGCAAGACTCTAAAAAATAAAATAAAATAAAATAGTACTTGCATAACATGCGTGGGCTTCTCCAGCAAAGTATACTGGATACAGGGTGAATAGGAAGCTACGGTCTTTCCTAGGTGATCATCTTTTCAATAATATATATCACCGAAAGAGAATTTTAAAGAGAATACGTGAAGCCACCCATATCTAGAGAGGTTGTAACTCACATAATGCAGACATGGATGCTGGGCACCCCACCCTCCAAGCTCATCCTGGATCCAGCCACATCTTGCCCCTCCTCTGCTCCCACCCTGCTCCAGCCACCTCCATCTCATGCCTGGGCAACTGAAAGAGATGCCCGGGCATGGAAGGGGAATCTCCTTGCTTCCAGTCCTACTCCCCTCTCTGCAAGCCTAAGGGATGAGTCCTACCGCAGGGCCTTTGCACTTGATGTTCTCTCTGCCTGGACAGCCGTTTCCCTAGACATTCTCAGGATGCATTCACTTACTTTTTCATTCAGATCTCCGCTCCAAAGCCAATCCCCCAGTTAGGCCTTTTCCAATATCTTATCTGGAAAGCCTTCTCCCCGCTGCCCACGCCCTGGTACTCCCCACTCTGCTTTCTTTTCCTTCTGACGTCATATTCTGTGCTTATTTGTTTATTGCTCATCTTTCCCATCAGAATGTAAATTCCATGGGGTGGAATTTTGTTTTGTTCCCACTGCAAGTCCAGTGTCTATACCCTAGAACACTTTTTTTTTTTTTGAGATGAAGTCTCGCTCTGTTGCCCAGGCTGTAATGTAGTGGTGTACAATCTCAGTTCACTGCAAGCTCCGCCTCCCGGGCTCAAGTGATTCTCATGCCTCAGCCTCCCAAGTAGCTGGGATTACAGGCGCCCACCACCACCTCCGGCTAATTTTTGTATTTTTAGTAGAGACAGGGTTTCGCCATGTTGGCCAGGGTGGTCTTGAACTCCTGACCTCAGGTGATCCGCCTGCCTCAGCCTCCCAAAGTGCTGGGATTATAGGCATGAGGCACAGCCTGACCCCTAGAACACTTTAAATGCTCAATAAATGCTTGTTGGCTGGGCATGGTGGCTCATGCCTATAATTCTAACACTTTGGGAGGCCGAGGTAGGCCAATTGCTTGAGCCCAGGATTTCAAGACCAGCCTGGGCAACATAGGGAGAACTTGTCTCTACAAAAAATTTAAAAATTAGCTGGCCGTGGTGGTGCAGGCCTGTAGTCCCAGCTACTTGGGAGACTGAGGCAGGGGGAAAGGATCGCTTGAGCCCAGCAGGTCAAGCTTGCAGTGAGCCATGATTGCACCACTGCAGTCCAGTCTAGGTGACAGAGCCCAGACTTCGTTCCCCACCCCGCCAAAAATTTCAGTGTTTGTCAAATGAATAAATCGTCATGTCTATGGCTGAGTTTTGGATAACGGCACAGTTCCAATAAAGCAAAAAAAAAAAAAAAAAAAAAAAAAAAAAAACCATGGAGTTTAATGGAAGTGTCTTTTACGCAGTGCTAAAAAAGTCTAATCTATACTTTTGATGGCTTATTGTATTAAAACCCCCACAAAGCTCTGTGAGTGGGAAGAGCAGCTCAGGCATCTCAGGGAGGTCCTTGGCACACATGCCTCGGGGCTTCGCAAACCACTCAGAGAAACTGCTGAGGTCAGTGGTGTTCTCAGAAAAGGGCGCTGGGGGCCATGAAGAAGAAAGTCAAATGCTCCAGGAAGTGGCAGGAAGCTAGATCACACAGGTCATTCCTAGACCCCTGGGAAGCTTGAGGAGGCCCAAAGACCACCTCCAAGAGAGCCTTCCCTGCCTGGAGCCCACTGTTCTGAAGGCACTTTCTAAGGCCACTGGGTGCTAATGCAGCACCCAAACACTGTTTGAAGCAGGTGTGGGAGGAGAGGCAAACAACCGCATCTATCATAAGTCTCTTTTTTTTTTTTGAGACAGAGTCTCGCTCCATCGCCAGGCTGGAGTGCAGTGGCGCGATCTTAGCTCACTGCAACCTCTGCCTCCTGGGTTCAAGCAATTCTCCTGCCTCAGCCTCCTGAGTAGCTGGGACTACAAGCGTGCTACCACGCCCAGCTAATTTTTGTATTTTTAGTAGAGACGGAGTTTCACGATATTGGCCAGGATGGTCTTGATCTCTTGACCTCATGATCCGCCTGCCTCAGCCTCCCATAGTATTGGGATTACAGGCGTGGCCACAGTGGAACTGTATTCTGCCTTTCATAGAACTTGTTTTTTTTTTTTTTTTAGACAGGATCTCACTCTGTCGCCCAGACTGGAGTGCAGTGGCACCATCTCAGCTCATTGAAGCCTCAACCCATCCTCCCACCTCAGCCTCCCGAGTAGCTGGGACTACAGGCACGTGACACTACACCCTGCTAATTTTTTTTTTTTTTGTAGAGACAGGGTTTTGCCATGTTGCCCAGGCTGGTCTCAAACTTCTGGGCTGAAGCGATGCACCCACCATGGCCTCCCAAAGTGCTAGGATTGCAGGTATGAGCCATCGCACCTGGCCATATAGAATACAGAACTTTTTTCTTTTTTTGAGACAAAGTTTCCCTCTTGTTGCTCAGGCTGGAGTGCAATGGTGTGATCTCAGCTCACTGCAACATCCACCTCCCAGGTTCAAGCGATTCTCCTGCCTCAGCCTCCCGAGGAGCTGGGATTACAGGTGACTGCCACCATGCCTGCCTAATTTTTTGTATTTTTAATAGAGATTTCACCATGTTGGCCAGGCTGGTCTCGAACTCCTGATCTCAGGGGATCCACCCGCCTTGGCCTCCCAAAGTGCTGGGATTACAGGCGTGAGCCACCATGCCCAGCCATAAAGAATTCAGACTTTTAATAGGAGTCTGTCTTTGTTTCTGACCCCAATGCTTTTACATTTCTTTATGTTCTGAACAAAAGAAGTACCACCAAATGCGTTCCACCACCACCAAAAGACACTGGCTCTGCAGTTGGGCAAGGACTAACCACAATGACAGTTCAATTTGGTCCAAACATGGTGGTATTTAAGGTTAGCCAATAATTCTCAACATATCGTCCGTCATTCTTTATTTTTTAAAGTCCAGTGAGGTCTGAATAGTATCTGTGGCCGACACTGAGAATCTAAAAGCTGGCAATTTTAAGGGGAAAACCACAGCCTCCTGGTGCCCTCTGGTGGTGAAGCAGTAGGACTGCATGAAATTACAAAGTGTTGAGTCAGTCGCTCCCAAACTAGAACATATTCAGATCTGTTAAAACACAACTTGCTGAAACTCACCCTCAGTTCTAATTTGGAAGGTCGGAGGTAGGACCTGAGAACTGGCATTTCTAACAAGTTTCCAGGTGCTGCTGCTGTTCCTGGGACTGCACTTGAGAATCACTGGTTTAGGTTACCTAGCCCAAACCTGCTTCTATCACAGTACTAGACTGCATGCTAGAACATTTTTTCCTTTTTTTTTTGAAATGGAGTCTCACTCTGTCACCCAGGCTGGAGTGCAGTGGCACAATTTCGGCTCACTGCAACCTCCGCCTCCCGTGTTCAAGTGATTCTCGTGCCTCAGCCTCCGGAGTAGCTGGGATTACAGGCGCGCACCACCACGATCCTCGGCTAATTTTTGAATTTTTAGTACAGACAGGGTTTCACCATGTTGGCCAGGCTGTTCTCAAACTCCTGACCTCAGGTGATCTGCCTGCCTCGGCCTCCCAAAGTGCTGGGATTACAGGCATGAGCCACCACACCGGCTAGAAAATTAACTAAAACAAGCATTTTTCTACACTTGAACAGTGGCTGCTGGCGATTTTTTTGTTGGTTTTCAATCTTCCAAATGTTTGCAATGTGGTTATAAATTTTTTAAAAGCAAAGCAAAACACCCAAAGGACATGATTCTTGTTGGAGAACTGTTACCACGGGCCTTTCCAAGAGGCAGGCACAGACCACTGTTGGCAAAGATGGACTGGTGCTTTGGATCGTGGGCCCCTCTTTGCCTTTTTCACAGCTTTCTGTCCAAGGCCCTGCTGTTCCAAAGACCACACCAGGTTGTGCCCAGACTCCCTGTGGAGCTGGCTCCCCAGACACAGCCCTAGACCCTGGAGGATCCACTTCTCCCCAGAAGCTGGACTCTCCCTCTGCCCAGGGGACTCCAGACCCGTCTCCTCTTGCCAACCCCAGGTGCTCGCTCTTGGCTGCACCCTGCTGCTCCTCAAAGAGCTCCTGGGAGAGGAGAGTCTGGCCTGGGCCCAGCCCAGCCCTGCCTGTCTGCTGAGGGGGCAGGGTGGGGCGCACAAATGAGACGCTCAACTCCCATGGCTCTGCTGAAAGAAGCCAGGCCCTCAGGCACTGGGAGAAAAGTGCCTTTGGGGGTGGCAGGGGCTTGGAATCAGCATCACCAAGGCCACAGGGACTTCGTCTGCACCAACTCTCTGGCTTAGGGAGCAAGGGTCAGCCACATTCTCTCAGATCAGTTAAAACCATGATGCCTCTCACCTCCCAGGATGTAGATCAGAAAGTGAGTGAAGGGGGAAAGGCACTCCAGACTTAAAAAAACAAAACAAAACAAAACAAACCCAGGGGAGGACCCAGTTGGCCTAGCTGGGGTCAAGGACCCACCCCTTGGGCAGTCAACTGTAGTACACGGGTTCTGTGATGAACACCCCTCACCCCCAACATGAAGGCCTTTGATGGGCTTCATCCTAAACGAGGCTGAGCAGACAAAGTGAGTGTCCCAGGGCTGGATGGGGACCGGAATATGACTGCCCCAGAACCTGGCTCCCAGGGCTGCAGCAGTGTCCATGCCTGGCTCCACCCCCACCAGGGTAGACAGAAACCACCTGGGCTCTGCACACAGCTGCACTGCGCTTCCTGCAGCCAGGTATTGTGGTGGGGACATTGGAGATGGGGCAGCGCCTCAGTCAGGCCACCTGACCAGCGCACAGTGACCCCAGCACTGCAGGTGCTGGTGGGGTATACCACCCCCCAGAAGACAGGGCTCCTAGAAGGCCTCAAGGTGGCCAAAGTTCCTGGAACTGCCAAAGTCCCTTATCGCCACCCCTTCCACAGGAGGCCACAGCCACTTTCTCCTCCTCCGCCGAGGCTGGGGAGGTGAGAGAACTCTGCTCTGGCCAACGCCCTGGAGACGGCCTCCTGCTAGTGACGGCTGGGCCCTGACTGGGGCAAGGAAGAGCTCTGGGCCGGCAGGCGGCTGGGTCGTAAAAGTGCATGCACCTGCTGGGCATCCTTGGGCCCTGCAGGCTGCACCCAGCCCCAGGCTGACATCCTGTTCTCAGTCCCAGCGAGGAGCCTTCCCTCCTGGATGCTTGAAGGTTCCAGCCTGCTATGGTCTGAATATGTCCCCCAAATGTGTGTTGGAAACTCAATCCCCAAAGCAACAGTGTTGGAATATGGGAAATGTTTAGGTCATGAGGGCTCTGCACTCATGAATAGATTAATGCCATTCTAAAAGGGCTTGATGGTGCCATTGACTCCCTCATCAAGAAGGGAGTTTGGTTTCATTTTGCCCTTCCAGCTTCTGCCATGTGAGGACAGAGCGCTCCTCCCTCTAGAGGATGCAGCATTCAAGGCGCCATGTTGGAAGCAGAGAGCAGACCCTCACCAGACAATGGACTTGCTGGCAACTCACTCTTGAACTTCTCAACCTCCAGAACTCTGAGAAAATAAATTTCTGTTCTTTATAAATTACCCAGGCTCTGGCATTTTGTTACAGCAGCACAAAGTGGGCTAAGACATGGCCTCCTCCTGGACGTACGGGTGAAGCACTGGTCATCTCTGCCAAGCATCCCTGCCCATAAGGCCCAGCTCCCCCCACAGCCAAGGCCTCCCCATGCACATGGCTCGTGTCCACAGACACCTTGCTGGAGAGCACGTGAAAAGGCAGGTGCTGACCTTGCCCAAATGCCCACATGCCCCTGTTCAGTAGTGGAAACCCACATTCTCCCCTTCAGGCCAGGCTGGGCCACGAAGAAGTCAGGCCTTGCCTGTCCCCTGGATCCTGGGTAACTATAAGATCTGCTTAGAAGAACTCTGGAGGCCAGGTGTGGTGGCTCACACCTGTAATCTCAGCACTTTGGGAGGCCGAGGCAGGTGGATCACTTGAAGTCAGGAGTTTGAGACCAGTGTGGTCAACATGGTGAAACCCTGTCTCTACTAAAAATAAAAAAAAAATCAGTTGGGCGCAGTGGCAGGCACCTGTAATCCCAGCTGCTCAGGAGGCTGAGGCAGAAGAATCACTTGAACCCGGGAGACAGAGGTTGCAGTGAGCCGAGATGGCACCACCGCACTCCTGCCTGGGCGACAGAGCAAGATTCCATCTCAAAAAAAAAAAAAAAGAAAAAAAAGAAAAAGAAGAAAAGAACTCTGGGGCCTGGAAGCCAAGGAGTAACATCCATGCTAAGTGCAATCAATCCCAGGCCCTCAGCAAGATGTGGGTCCCAAGGGCAGCTGGCTGTTGGGGATGGAGTGGAGGCTGGTTATCAATAATTCCAGGTCCTTCCATCATTTGCCGGATTGGCTCAGCAGTCTCACAATGTGTGACAGGCAGAACATTGAGTCCCCAAAGAAGCTCACGCCCTAGTCCTAGAGTCTGTGAATGTGTCACGTGACATGGCAAAAGGCCTGCAAGAGTGAGTTATGGATACAGACCCTGGGGTGGGGAAATGATGCCAGGTAGTCTGGTGGGGCCTGATGTCATCACAAGCGTCCTTAAAAGTGGAAGAGGGAGCCAGATGAGTCCATCAGAGGAAAAAGTGGCTGCAGAAAAAAGGCAGGAGATGCAATGCTGCTGGTTTTGAAGACGGAAGAAGGGGACCCAAGTCAACGAAAATGTGGGCGGCCGCAGGAGCTGGAAAAGGCAAGGAAGCAGATTTTCTCCTGGAGCTTCCAGAAGGGAGCGCAGCCTTAACAACGCTTTAATTTTGCCCATGAAACCCATGTTGGACCTCTCATCCGCGAGAACTGTGAGATAAATCTGTGTGGTTCAAAGCCACGACATTTTGGTAACTTGTTAGAGCCACAGTGGGAAATTCATATGCCACGACAGCCTGGCTGTCCAGAGAGGACAGTGCCGAGCTGCCAGCGACATTTTTATTTTTTATAATAGCTTAACTGGGATATAATTCACATACCACGTACTTTACCATTTTTTTAGAAGTGATCTTGCTGTGTTGCCCAGGCTGGAGTGCAGTGGCGTGATCATGGCTCACTACAGCCTTGAACTCATAGGCTCATGCCATCCTTTTGCTTCAGCCTCCCGAGTAGCTGGGATTACAGGTGTGAGCCACTGCACCCTGCTAATTTACCATTTAAAGTATACAATGTACTATACAATTTTTTTTTTTTTTTGGAGGCAAAGTCTCACCCTGTCGCCCAGGCTGGAGTGCAGTGGTGCAATCTCGGCTCACTATGCAACCTCTGCCTCCCAGGTTCAAGCGATTCTCCCCGCCTCCCGAGTAGCTGGGATTACAGGCATGTGCCAGCTAAATTTTGTATTTTTAGTAGAGATGGGAGTTTGCCATGTTGGCCAGGCTAGTCTCGAACTCCTGAACTCAACTGATCCTCCCGCTTCTGCCTCCCAAAGTGCTGGGATTACAGGTGTGAGCCACCGTGCCCGGCCCAATTCACTATAGAATTTTAAGGGTTGTTTTGTAACTTCTGGAAATGGTCTTCATCTTTTAACCTCTGAAATATCCATCACTAACAAACCTCCAACTGCATATCCAGAGGCCAAGAGAAAATGTTTGTGCATATGACCAATGGTTATGAAATAAAAGACTGATATCAAATAGCTCATCCCTAATGAACTTCTGACTTCAAAGATCTGGCGTTTGGTGAACAGCAGTGAGTGTGTTATTAGCTCAACACCTGGCAGCTGGGATCCTCTTAGGAGGGCCGCTGTCTTGAAGTAGAAACACCTGGAAAAGGTGAGGTTTGAGGACGCGGAAGGGCACAGGCACCCAGTCATCAGAGAAGGCGAGCTGAGTTTTCCGCGAGATGAGGAGGAGACTGGCTGTGCTCCGGGGAGGGAGACAGAACAAAGAGAGGGGGAACAGGGAAGCCAGGGGAGGAGGCACTGGTGAGATGGGAGGGTAGGAGGATCATCCAAGGCCAGTAGAGACCAAGAAGGAGGTGGGACCCTGGCACAAGGCACATCTCAGGGACTTGGTGAATTTGCTGAGATGTGAGTCCCCTTTCCTGTCAGGGTGGGCCCTTTGGGGGACGGGGGATTAAGGAGAGCCTGAGCCTCACACTTTGACTCCTGCCCTCAGAGCCACACTGCCCCCAGGGGCCACACTGCACAGTGACGTGGGGGAAAGCCGCTGCATTCGGAGCTGCTGAGATCTTGGGCAGGGCTTAAAACTCCTCAGGGCGTGGAATGGGGCCCCAGGCTGAGCTTTTATCAAATCCAAGGGGCTGAGAGACACCCCCACCTCCCACCAGCACACACACCCCAAGCTCACATATGCTGGTATACAGGTGGGGAAAGGTCGATAATATTCTAATATTCTAGCTGTGTCACAGTTTTTTGCCTTGAGCCAATAATTAGTGGCCAGCTCAAAAAATATAATCTTTTCAATCACTAGGTAAGCAGTGTCCTCTCACCCCCTTCCGTGCTGCTTGGGTCCCCACCAACCGCGACAGACAGCTGCTTGGGTCCCCACCAACCGCGACTCTACCGTCCCCTCTGATCCCTGGGACTGTAAGCGCCGGCCTTGGCCACTGCTGGTCCTGCGGCCTCTGGCACCAGGCACCAAGGCGCCGCCTGGCGGTCAGAATGGGCGTGGACGGCAGAAGGGAAGTCCGTGCTCTCGCCGGCTGCTCCTTGAGCCAGCAGGGCCACTGGGGCCAGCTTCTGTGCGGTGCATTCGCACGACCACGCCCCAGGTGAGCTGTCCCTGGACACCCAGAAGCTGTTCTGAGCCCAACTTCCCAGAACCAAAACTAAGGTCCGCTGTTTCTCTCCACAGGGTTGGTCAGATTTTTTTCTTTTAAACCTTTTGCAACAAAAGGGATCTAATTACCTTCCCTTGGCCCAGGCCATTGTCACATTCCTTTGTCCAAGCTCAACGCCCACTTGCCCTTCTTATTATTTATTTTATTTTTGAGACCGTGTTCGCTTTTGTTGCCTAGGCCGGAATGCAATGGCGCGGTCTCAGCTCACTGCAACCTCTGCTCCCGGGTTCAACCGATTCTCCTACTTCAGTCTCCCAAGTGGCTGGGATTACAGGCGCCCACCACCACGCCCGGCTAATTTTTGCATTTTTAGCAGAGACGGGATTTCGCCATGTTGCCCAGGCTGGTCTCAAACTCCTGACCTCAGGTGATCCACCCGCCTTGGCCTCCCAAAGTGCTGGGATTACAGGTGTGAGCCACCGCGCCCAGCCTTTTTTTTTTTTTTTTTGAGACAGGTCTCACTCTGTTGCCCAGGCTGGCATGCAGTGGCGCAATCACGGCTCAATGCAGCCTCAACTTCCCAGGCTCAAGTAATCCACCTCAGCACCACATAGCTGGAACGACAGGCAGCGCCACCACACCCAGCTAATTTTATTTTTTGTAGAGATGGGGTTTTGCCATGTTGCCCAGGCTGGTGGCACCTTCTTGAAAGGGAAGGGGCTGAGTGTGGTGACTCATGCCTGTAATACCGGCACTTTGAGAGGCCTAGGTGGGAGGATCCCAACAGCCACTCAAGGCAGGAGCCCAGGAGTTCGAGACCAGCCTAGGCCACAGAGTGAGACTGGTCTCCACACAGACAAAAAAACACCACAAAGAAGAGGAGGAACAAAATATAAACTTAACCTCTAGCAGGATACCTTAACATACCTACAATCCCAGGTTTAATTTTCAGGCAAAGCTAGTGAGCATCTTTGTATACTTTAAATTGCAATGTGTGCTTATTGAATTATCTGCTTTTTATCTTGTTTGAATTATATAAAATATTGGCGGTACAGTCATATATTTTATACTTCGACTAGCACAAACATTATTTTATCATATGTCAAAAATAAATTTAGAAGCTCAGCTTCATGCAGACAGCAATTTTGCCTGTTTTGCTCATCTCTGCATCTCCAGGGTCAAGAAAACTGCATGTCCCGCAGTAGACCCTCAAAACATACTTGTTGAAGGAGGAAATTAACCAATTAATTAATCAACTTCACAAATTTTTAAAATACATTAAAATGTCTGTGGTACTATAACTCACAGCTTCCTTGTAATACTAAAGAAGTAATAATACAATGCAGTCATTTTCACATTCCTTTTTAGATATTTAAGCTATCAATTGTGCTTTACCTTGAATAGATTGTTTCATTAAGAAACAAAATTGGAGATTCCTAAGACATTCAATGTATCTTCCCCTGAGACAAGAGCATAATATGTTAGTATCGATAATTCTGAAACTTTTGAAGTAATGGAAATTCATTGAAAAACAAATTAATCATGATGGCCCAAAGAAAACGATAATGTAATAAACATTCAGCAAATTACAAGGTAACCCCTTACTATCTCCATGACATTGGGAAGGTAACATCACTGAATCCAAAACTCCTCATTTGTAAAATGGATAACATCTCACTTTCCTATTTCATGGAATTGCCACGAAGATTAAATGGGATCATGCATGATAGAATTTTGCAACCCTTTGTAAAACATCACTGAGCACTAAGCCTTGCTTAAAAACAATGTGTGGCTGTCTGATTCTACATACCAAAAATGGATATTTTAATTTTTTAAAAAGTCAGTCAGATAAACAATACTCAACCAGATATTTGCTATCATGTGTGTTTCTTTGAGCTCCATTGCTTGTGTTTACGGCCATCTGGATTTCTTCCTCAGTGAATGACTTGTTCTTTGACCATTTTCTCTATTTAAAGTAGCTTTTTATATATTTGGCACATTTACTCCTTGTCTGTCATGTATTTTGCTATTATTTTGCCCAGATAATGTTATTTGCCATATTGAAGTTTTAGATCTTTATTTATATGTATATGTATATATGTATAAATTCAACTAGAACATTATTTTATCATTTAGCCATGCCTAATTTTCTGTTTTTCTTCTTTTGTAGAGACAGGGCCTCACTGTGTTGCCCAGGCTGGTCTCAAACAGTCCTCTCACCTTGGCCTCCCAAAATGCTGGGACTACAGGTATGAGCCACCATACATGGCCAGTCTAAGATTACATCGAGTTTTTTTGGTTTTTTTTGAGACGGAGTTACGCTCTTGTTGCCAGGCTGGAGTGCAACGGCGTGACCTTGGCTCACTGCAACCTCTGCCTCTTGGGTTCAAGAAATTCTCCTGTCTCAGCCTCCCTAGTAGCTGGGATTACAGGCGCCCGCCACCACGCCCACCTAATTTTTTGTATTTTTAGTAGAGACGGGGTTTCATTCTGTTGGCCAGACTGGTCTTGAACTCCTTGTGATACCCTACCTTGTTTTAACCTGATTGTCTCTCTTAGCTGAGAGAGCCAGACAGACTCCATTTTAGTTCCTTCACTTACAGCCCCTTTACCTCCCTCCCTTAAGGGCATAACTGGTGCAAGCTGACTCCATGCACATCCAGGAATGCACTTACTGAGAAGATATTGAGGCAAGCTGAACCAGCAGCTCCTGGGGACGCTCGGTGGATGGCATCTAGAGCCCCTGCCTTTATATCTTTGTGATAGTTTAAGCCCCCTGCACCTGGAACTGTTTATTTTTTCTGTAACTACTTCTGTAACCAATTAATTTTTTTAACTTTTTGCCTGTTCTGCTTCTGTAAAAATTGCTTCAGCTAAACTCCCCCTCCTCTAGTTAGACCACGGTATAAAAAGAAATCTAGCCCCTTCTTCGGGGCCGAGAGAATTTTGAGCGCTAGCCGTCTCTCAGTCGCCGGCAATAAAGGACTCCTGAATTAGTCTCAGAGTGTGGCGTTTCTCTACAACTCGCTCAGTTACAACATCCTGACCTTAGGCTATCCACCTGCCTTGGCCTCCCAAAGTGCTGGGATTACAGGCATGAGCCACCACGCCCAGCTAATTTTGTATTTTTAATAGAGACAGGGTTTTGCCATGTTGGCGAGGCTGGTCTCAAACTCCTGACCCCAAGTGATCCACCGGCCTCGACCTCCCAAATGCTGGGATTACAGGTGTGAGTCACTGAGTCCTGCCATGAATATGCATTTTTTTATTCTTATATGCATTAAAGGATCCTCAGGTAACGCTTATATACATCAAAGTTTGAGAAGCAGTGAAGATAATGATATATGTTTTTTATAACCTTTATCGTATTAATGCAGTAAATTACAGGACCACATTTTCCAAATTTTTAACGACTCTTACACTCCTGTGATAAAACTATGGCTTAAATATTGATGAATAGAATTTGCTAATATTTTATTTAGGATTTTTATGTCAATATTCAAAAGTAAGAAAGATTGATCTGGCTGGGAGGCCTGTAATCCCAGCACTTTGGGATGCCAATGTGGGCAGACCGCTTGGGCACAGGAGTTTGAGACCTGCCTGGGCAACAAAATGAGATCCTGTCTCAACAAAAAATAAAAAATTTAGCTAAGCATGGTTGTGCACCTGCAGTCCCAGCTATTCAGGAGGCTGAGGTGGGAGGATCAATTTAACCCATAAGGTTGAGGCTGCAGTGAGAGGTGATTACACCACTGCACTCCAGCCTGGGTGACAGAGCAAGACCCTGGCTCCAAAAAATAAAAAAAGAAGAAGAAAAGAGAAGAGGCTGGACACGGTGGCTCATGTCTGTAATCCCAGCACTTTGGGAAGCCGACATAGGTGGATCACCTGAGGTCAGGAGTTTGAGACCAGCCTGGCCAACATGGTGAAACCCTGTCTCTACTAAATACAAAAAATTAGCTGTGCCTGGTGGCAGGTGCCTGTAATCCCAGCTACCTGGGAGGCTGAGGCAGGAGACTTGCTTGAACCCAGGAGGTAGAGGTTGCAGTGAGCTGGGATCGCACCACTGCTCTCCAGCCTGGGCAACAAGAATGAGACTCTGTCTCAAAAAAAAGAAAAGAGATTGATCTGTGTAATTTTTTGTGCCAACTTGTCAGGTTTTGGTACCAGGGGTTATTTCTGCATATTCATTTCTAATTGTGTATACTTTTTCATGGTAAAACTTGTCAGGTTTCATATAATAGTATTGGTTGTTTTCAAGGAATAAGCTTCCTTTTCCCTTTTATGTTGACTTCCTATGTATCTTAAAGTCTATTTAAAAAAAAAAAACAATCTATTGGAACTGCTCCTTTTTTAACCACTTCGCACTGTTTCAACTATTGTAGCTCTATGAAATATTTTATTATTTGTTACCAGAAGATTTTGGTAAATCCACTAAACCTTCTAAAACGTCCTTTTTCTTTCCAACTTTCTTGCTCCCTACAGGCTTCTGGTAGAACGTCAGGAGAAAATGACATCACCTTGGAAAGGTCTCCCTTTGAGCTGCTCAGTTGACCAGCGGCTGCTTGCTGTGTAGGTATGCGGGCTCCAGTCTGACAGGCCTGAAACACACTTACCTTCGCAAATGTCTTTACCACATGCTAAGCGCGCCTGAAAAGGAGCCTGGGATTCTGGGATCAACGCAGCCAAGAACACTCTGTCCCATCTTCCATCTTAATAACGAAACGCTGACTGCCTGCTAAAAGATGCACAATTTATTTTAAATATATGAATAGGATGATTGTTTAAAGAGTTCCAGCTGGTTAAATTTAAGTTCCTGCAATAAAACTCTCCTCCGGCATTCTCTGGCTTCGGGCCTCGAAGGGCTACAGGCCCTCTGCTCTGAATTGTGAACTGCGATCTTGCGCGTTCAGGTTTTCCGGTAGTGGCTTTGCTGTTCTAAGTCAAGGCATCAGTGACTACCTTGACCTCAAGAGGACTTCTTCCACTATTTGAGCAACCTGCTTCTAGACCATTCTTGCCAGTTAGGAAAAGTTTTATTCAGTAAAATATTTTCAGTGAACCACTGGACAAAAACCAGGTGGCTGCTTTCCTTTGATCAGAGAAGTCCTCACTCCCTGTATGAGTCTGTTCTCACACTGCTATAAAGAAATACCTGAGACCAGATAACTTGAAAAGAGGTTTCATTGGCTCATGGTTCTGCAGGCTATACAGGAAGCATGAGGTTGGCATCTGCTCGGCTTCCAGGAGGCCTCAGGAAACCTACAATCATGGCAGAAGGTGAAGGGAGAGCGAACACCTCACACGGCCGGAGCAGAAGCGAGAGAGACAGCAGGGAGGTGCCACCCACTTTTAAATGAGCAGATCTCGCGAGAATGCACTCACTCTCACGAGAACAGCACCAAGAGGGAAATCCACCCCCATGATCCAACCACCTCCCACCAGGCCCCACCTCCAACACTGAGGATTATAATTCCACAGGAGATCTGGGAGGGACACAGATTCAAACCATATCTTTCCCCTTCTTCTTTGAATGTATTCGTTTCTTGACATCCACCTGCCAGGGGAGAATGGCCTTCAGGAGCTCGAAGCAGCCACAGGTGTCAAGTCGGGGCTTTCCCAGGCCTCCTTCAGCAGCTTCTCAGGTTCATTAACAAACATGGCCTGGCCTCCAGGTCAGTCTCCGTTAACGCCTCAAGGCTGCCTGGACTCTTCTCTGCCTCTGTTGCCCCTGCAAGGAAACATTCCCTCAGCTTCCAACATCCCCCTTTGTGCCAGGAGTCACCTGGGTCCTGTTAACACAAGGATGGACCAGGGAGGGTGCCCAGAGCTGACATGGGGTGACAAAGGGCACCAGGACTGCATGTCAGAGAGATCTGGGTAAGAAGCAGCTAGGTACCACATCCTACTTCTAACCCAGAGGGATGGAGCGGAGTAGGGCGAAGGCACCAGAGTGACAGAGAGGGTGTGAGAGTGAATCATGGGTGGGCCCCATTCCTCTCTGACAACCTGTGTTCAGAGAAGCGGGAGATGAATGGGACGGCTGGTTGTCTTCATGAAGTTTAGGAGTTAGGTGGAGAAAAACAGTCAGCAGCAGAACTTTACATATGGTTTAAGAATGGCTGCAATGGAAGATTTTTGTATTTGTTTTTGTTTTAGGTTTTTTATTTCTGTTTTTTTTTTTTTTTTTTTTTTTTTTTTGAGCCAGGATCTCACTCTGTCATCCAGGCTGGAGTGCAGTAGTGCCATCACGGCTCACTGCAGCTTCGACCTCCCAGGCTCAAGTGATCCTCCCGCCTCATCCTCCCGAGTAGCTGGGACTATGGGCATGTGCCACCACACCTGGCTAATTTTTTAATTATTATTTGTAGAGATAAGGTCTCATTATGTTGCCCACATTGGTCTCGAACTCCTGGGCTCGAGTCCTCCCACCTCAGCCTTCCAAAGCGTTGGGATTACAGACATGAGCCACTGCTCCTGGGATGGAAAATTTGTTAAGGGAGGAGGGGACAGGTGAGGAAAATTTGGTTGCAGTTCAAGTGAGAAGAGCCTTCACCGTAGAGCAAAGGAGAGTGGACTTAAGTATACAGGCAGTGGGGGAAAGGCGTGATGTTAGAAGTTTATTCGGACAGCAGCTTGTAGGATGTCTGGAGCCATGTACTCTGCTGTTCATGCTGTGATCACCCTGTTGAGCCTAAAAACATTGTATCAGCCAGGTTTCTGCTGAGTCCTACTGGATAACAAACTCCACAATCCCCGTGGCTTAGAGCAGCAATCATCTATATCGCACTCACAAATGTGCCTGCTGGCCAGAGCAGCTCTCCTTCAGGCCCTGGGTTGCATTTAGTTCTCTTCATGTGTCTCTCATTCTGAGGCCAGTGGCTACCTGGGGTATGTTCTTCCCATGGAGGAAAGCAGAAAGTGCAAGAGGGGTGGGTGGCAGCACTGACACTCTTTGGAACTGACATACTGTCACTCTGCCCACACTCCAATGGCCAAAGCATGTCGTATAGCCAAGCCCAACATCCATGGAGCAGAGAAATACACTCTGCCTACTCTAGTGGGAGACACTTTAGCGTCTTGCAGCAAAGGGCATGCACATAAGATTGGAAATAGATCGAAAGGCAACAGTTCATAAAATTCCTTTCAGCCATGATGCTTGGGGGAAGCAAAGACCCATAGAGAGATGCCAGCAGGGATGCTTGCACGCCCCAGACCAGGCAGCTCCAGGAAGTTCCTTTTCATACCTTTCTCTGGAATGCACAAAATGTCTAGGGTTGTTATCCAATAAAAATGCAACTCCTTTCTATCCTCTACTTCACTGTAAAAGTAGCTAATATTTACTAAGCAGTTACCATGTGCCAGCCACTACTCCAGTAATTAGCATAAATCATCTCCTTTAACCCTCACAAGTCTATTAGGTGGTTACTATTCTTTCTTTTTTTTTTTTTTGAGACGGAGTCTTGCTCTACTGCCAGGCTGGAGTGCAGTGGCACCATCTCGGCTCACTGCAACCTCTGACTCCCTGGTTCAAGCGATTCTCCTGCCTCAGCTTTCCAAGTAGCCGCAATTAAAGGCGCCCGCCACCACGCCCAGCTAATTTTTGTATTTTTAGTGGAGACAGGGTTTCGCCATGTTGGCCAGGCTGGTCTCGATCTCCTGACCTCGTGATCCGCCCGCCTCAGCCTTCCAAAGTGCCGGGATTACAGGTGTGAGCCACCGCGCCCGGCCGGGTGGTTACTATTCTTATCCCCACTTTGCAAATGAGTGAAACCAAGGCATAGACTCTAGATCACACAGCTGGTAAGAATGAGAACGGGATTCAGACCCAAGGAGCCTTGGTTGGAATTTCCTCTATGAACCGCCCTTTTTCGTGGAGGAGGTTGGGGTACAGAGCTCGCCATCGGAACTTAGGACAAACACTTAGGGGTCTTAGTTAGGGGAAATTGGGACTATTGTGCAGGTGCCTGGAACAGGAAGTAACCATGAGACTAGAGGAAGGGAAAGAGATTGGGAGACAGTTTTTAAAAACAAAATAAAGCAAAGGAACAGAAAGCTTTAAAAGCCCTTGAGGATTTCTCTGAAGTACTGAACTATGGAGTTTCAAGAGCTGCTAATATCATTGCATTCCTACTTCAGCCTCTACCTGGCGAGGGACTTGCATTTCCTGTGGGTTCTGGGATGGTTTTTATCCCATTCCCGGCTCATCTCTCACGCGGACGAGCCCGCGTGTGGAGCCAGGTGTAGAGGCGGAGCACAGCTGGCTCTAATTTGAGGGGCCTTCTGCCTTTAAAGATGACCTCACTCCATTCCCTTGACTTTTTAATGTGCAATTCATGCCACTTTTCCAAAATTTGGGTAATGATTTATTGGCTTTCTTTCCTGCATTATCCTGTAGCACGAGGGACTTTTGTTTGTTTAGGGGCTTAATAACTGTTCTTGATAGAAGGTTTGTAAATGTATCTTCTATAGGAGTGACCAAAAAGAATACTTTTTTATTTCCACCATCTGGCCATATTTCAGTCTTGGCCAAAGAATTTCTTTCCACCCTCCTGTGTCTCCTACATCTTGCTCTGAAAGGCCAATGTAGAATAAAGGACAGATGGCTAAGGGCCTTTAGTGTCAACAGACCGAGATTTGAAACTTGCCTCTGACCCTTAACAGCCGTATGACTTTGGGCAAAATGTGTAGACGGCACTACTCGGTCCTTTCCAGGAGCAGCAGCGAATCTCACTCTGAGGGGAGCACTCACCCACGCAGCCCTTGGTGAAAGAAGCAGACTCAAGTTGTTGCTAGTGAGGGCGGCCTTGTTCCCTACTCCGCAGCCACCGCTGATTGGCCATCGCGGGAATCTGACCTCTGAGTGCCTGACATGAAAAGGGAGTGGGCACTGATTGGGCCAATGAGGTTCTCTCTCAGAAATCTAAACTGAGGAAAAGAAGGAGTGAGTCACACACAGAGTAGAGGGGTTATCAGGTCCTGGGATCAGGGTCCAGCCCATAGCTGAAGTCCGAGGGGAGTGGGTGGATGGGCAGAAAGAAGACTCGGAGGGCCGTAGGCAGGCGAATATGGTTTTATTCAGCAGCCGCTCTCTTACACAGCTGATGCAAACTAGCTCTTTTACAGTGTCTGCCATGTCTTGGCTGCTTAGTCCTGCAGCTCCCATGCACACCTGTGCGGCCAGCTCTCCACTGCCTTCAGGGTCAGCAGCTTAACTCTTTCTCTCTCTGGGCATGAGCAAGCCGAGCTATGTCCTGGCTCCCTCTTGTCCATCTGCAAGACAGACAGCTTTGGCTCTCTCTCTATCTCTTTCTCTGGGAGCCAGCACACCTGCACAAGAGCCATGTCCAGCCATGTTGAGCCAAGCTGAGCCTCAAGAGCCCCTGTACAGCATTAGTAGGGCAATTATACCTTCTACAGACAATAGTGGCTCAGAGCCAAGTATGAACTTAAACAAACAGGTTGTGTAACAAGTGGAAGTGTGTGCCTGCGCGCCAAACTCGCTCAGACATGCAGGCGTGGATATCCCCCTCACCCTATTCCTTGACCAAAGCACATCCATGTACCTTACAGGAGTAGACCAGGGTCCAGGCCCTGGTGAGTAGCCTGGTCTCAGTAGGTAGTGATGGAGCTGTTTCACTGCAAAGATTCTTAGAGTCTTAAAAATTTCCTAGGTCTCCATCCTAGAAACTTCCCCTTGCAGCTTCCTGAATGTGTTCCATACCTCAACATATCCTGCTTCCTTTTTTTTTTTTTTTTTAAGACAGAGTCTCATTCTGTTGCCCAGGCTGGAGTGCAGTGGTGCAATCTTGGCTCACTGCAACCTCTCCCTCCTGGGTTCAAGTTATTCTTCTGCCTCAGCCTCCCAAGTAGCTGGGATTACAGGCATGTGCCACCACGCCCGGCTAATTTTTGTATTTTTAGTAGAGACGGGGTTTCGCCACGTTGGCCAGGCTGGTCTTGAACTCCTGACCTCAGGTGATCTGCCCACCTTGGCCTCCCAGAGTGCTAGAATTACAGGCATGAGCCACCGCGTCAGGCCCCTACTGTCATTTTTGAGGTCCTCCCTATGCCCCCTTCAAACTCAGCATCCTGGTGTGCTGAACAATGTGGCCCTCCCCTGCACTGGCTTCCAGGCCTCTCTGGGCAACCTCCAAATTCAAAAACATGCTCTGCTGAACAGAGGGTTCCCCATTTCTACCTTTTGGAAGCACCAAAGAGCTTCCAGAGGCACTGCCGCCCTGCTTTTCTTTCTCACTTCCCCACAAGCCCCCATGAAGGGAGGAGAGCTATATAAAGATGTGTTTCCAGTCAGGCGCGGTGGCTCACGCCTGTAATCCCAGTACTTTTGGAGGCCGAGATGGGTGGATCACAAGTTTGAGAGATCTTGACCATCCTGGCCAATATGGTGAAACCCTGTCTCTACTAAAAATACAAAAATTAGCTGGGTGTGGAGGCACGCACCTGTAGTCCCAGCTACTCGGGAGGCTGAGGCAGGAGAATCGCTTGAACCCAGGAGGCGGAGGTTGTAGTGAGCTGAGATCATGCCACTGCACTCCAGCCTGGTGACAGAGCGAGACTCCGTCTCAAAAAAATAAAATAAGGTGTAGTTCCCTGGTGATATGAAATGGGTGGCTTCCTTCATGCCCCTCCCCATCCCAGGCACAAGTGGCTACAGTTACCTGTTTTCTTTTGCTTCTTTTGTGGTAAAATATACATAAAATTTACCACCTTAACCATTTTATTTATTCTTTTTTTTTTTTTTTTTTTTTTTTGACAGAGTCTTGCTCTGTCACCAGGCTGGAGTGCAGTGGTGAGATCACAGTTCACTGCAACCTCCGCCTCCCAGGTTCAAGTGATTCTCCTCCCTCAGCCTCCCAAGTAGTTGGGACTACAGGTGCCTGCCAGCATGCCAGGCTAATTTTTGTATTTTTAGTAGAGACGAGGTTTCACCGTTTGGGCCAGACTGGTCTCAAACTCCTGACCTCAAGTGATCCACTCACCTCAGCATCCCCAAGTGCTGGGATTACAGGTGTGAGCCCTTAACCATTTAAATTGTACACCTGGCCCTTAACCATTTTAAATTGTGCAGTTCAGTGGCATTAGATAGATTCATAATGTTGTGTAACCAGCACCACCATCCACCTCCATAACTCTTTAATATTGTAAAACTGAAACTCTATGTCTACTAAATAGTAACTCCCCATTCTCCCCATCCCTCAACCTCTGGCAACACCATTCTACTTTCTCTCTTTATGATTTTGACTACTGTAAGTTCTTCAGATAAATGGAATCACAGAGGATTTGTCTTGTTTTATTGTTGTTTTAGAGATAGGCCCTCACTCTGTTGCCCAGGCTGGAGTGCAATGGCACAATCATAGCTGGCTGCAGCCTTGAATTCCTGGGCTCAAGCAATCCTCCCACCTTAGCCTCCCAGTAACTAGGACTACAGGCACCCGCCACCACGCTTGGCTAAATTAATTGTCCTTTGGTGACTGTCTTATCTCATTTAGCATATGTCCTCAAAGTTCACCCATGTTGTAACATGTGCCAGAATTTCCTTCCTTTTGTAGACTGACCAGTGTTTCCTTTTATGTGTAATTACAATTTGCTTATTTATTCATCCATCAGTGGACAACTGAGTTGCTTCCATGTTTTAGCTGTTGTGAATAATGCTGCCCTGAACACAGGTGTACAAATATCTCTTCAAGACCCTGTTTTCGAGTATATACCCAGAAGTGATGATAATTCTCTTTTTAATTTTTTGAGGACCCTCCATAATATCTTCCACACTGGATGCACCATTTTCTTCCTTTCTTTTTCTTTTTCTTTCTTTTTTTTTTTTTTTTTTTTTTTGAGATGAAGTCTCCATCTGTCGCCCAGGCTGGAGTGCAATGGCACGATCTTGGCTCACTGCAACCTCTGCCTCCCAGGTTCAAGTGATTCTCTTGCTTCAGCCTCCCGAGTAGATGGGATTACAGGATTACAGGCACCCACCACCACGCCCGACTAATTTTTTGTGTGTTTTTAGTAGAGACGGGGTTTCACCATGTTGGCCAGGCTGGTCTCTGGTCTCAAACTCCTGACCTCAGGTGATCCACCCGCCTCAGCCTCCCAAAGTGCTGGGATTACAGGCGTGAGCCACCGTCTGTTTTATTTTTTACCTTTCTCCCTAGACTACTCAGCAGAATGTACCATATTACATCCCCACCAACAACACACAAGTGTTCCAATTTCTCCACATCCTCACCAACACTTGTTATTTTCTGAGTTTTTTTTTTAATGGTAGCCATACTAATGAATGTGAGGTGATATTTCATGGTAGTTTTGATTTGCATTTCTCTTTTCATTATCTGACACCTTTAGTAAAATAGCACAAAATAGCCATTTACAAAATGCCCCAGAAGCCAGAGGACCTGGGGGTTTATGGATCACTCAAATAGACCCCTACCAGAGCCGAAAGAGTCCGCTGCAGAGCCCTGCCCTGCAGGTGGCTACTAGGATGGGGGATCTAAAGTCTAATGAGTGTCAGCACAGTGCCCAGACACTGGACGCCGATCAGTACTGACGCTGGAGTAGCCATGAGGCAGAGCATGTGGCAAATGAGAAAACAAAGAAAGGACTTCTTATTGAGATGAACAAAAAGCACCCTTGTTGATCCAGGGGCTGAGAGGGCACATGTATTTGTCAGGAGAAAATAAGATGACCCTGAAAGAGTCACCCCAGCTGTAACAAACACCAATGTCACCCTCTCAGCACGGCCTTCAATGCCTTGGACACCAAAGCAGCATGAATGTGATGTCATCAGGTGGATGACACTTGTGGGGTTGTGAAGAATCCCCAGAACAATGGTTCCAAGGTAAGGGTTACAGAATGTGTCACTGTGCTCCTTGGCACGAACTCTCAGAACAACTGAGATAGAAAGGCTGCCAAGAAAGAGAGGCCAGGCATGGTAGCTCACACCTATAATCCCAGCACTTTGGGAGGCCGAGGCAGGTGGATCACCTGAGGTCAGGAGTTCAAGACCAGCTTGACCAACATGGTGAAACCCTGTCTCTACTAAAAATACAAAATTAGCCAGACGTGGTGGCAGGTGCCTATAATCCCAACTACTCAGGAGGCTGAGGCAGGAGAATCGCTTCAACCCAGGATGCTGAGGTTGCAGTGAGCTAGATCACACCACTGCACTCCAGCCTAGGCGACAAGAGCGAAACTCCTTCTCAAAAAAAAAAAAAAAAAAAAAAAAAAAAGACTGTCAAGGAAGAGAGTCTGGTCCAAGGATCAGAATCATACATTCTTTCCCCTTCAACAGAAGTGTGCTTTTCACTTATTCATTCAAGCATGTTCAAGGACTGTGACATTTCCATGCTGAATTTGACATTTCCAATCCAGCGTTTGCGAAGGGCGCTCTGGGTCTCTTGTGATAATCAGTGTGATATCTGGGGCATGAGGGAATCAGTAAATGCCACCCTCAAATGTGCCACTTCGGCATAAGAATTATTTTGTGCCAAAGTCATTTGAGTTCCTGAAATCCCTTGTCTGCCTAAAAGCAGAAGCTCCCAAAAGAACTCAATTGCCATAAATCCCCTCCCCAGGAGTACCTCTAACAGACACTGGCACAAACTATCACATCTCACGTTTATTCTCCTAAGGGCTCACTTACATTTCCAAAATGTCATTTGCTTTTCCCTAAATGCCCCTTCCCTCCCTCTCTTTCTCCTACTAAGTTGGATATAGTATCTAGACTCCAACTTCTACCCGTTTGAGTTACTCATCTCTGAATGCTCCCATGTGCATGCATGATACACATGCTAATAAACTTCTTTTTTTTTCTGCCTATTAATCTGTCTTCCATTAGTCTAATTTACAGAGCCCCAGCCAGAGAACCTGGAAGAGCAGAAAAAAAAGATGTATTTTCCTTCCCTACAGGCACAAACCGTTATCTGTTCACCAACCAATTTCCTCTTCTTCCCAGGCATTGCAAGACTTCATTTCCCAGCCTCCTTTGCAGTTAAGTGTGGCCATATGACGGAGTTCCAGCCAACAGAACATGAGCAGAAGCAACCCGTGCCACTTCCTAGCACATGAAAAGTTTGTGTGTGTGTGTGTGTGTGTGTGTGTGTATGTTCATTCCTCCATGTTCTTCACCCTCAGACAGCTTGATGTGAACAAGCATGGTGACCCTGGAAGCAACATGCTGAAGATAGCAGAGCCACAAGATGGCAGGATCCTGGGTCTAAGAATCAGTGCTGAGTGCCAGCCAGCTGGCCACAGTATGCACTTTGGACTCCCTATCATGTATAAGCAGGATATATTTTGAGGTTTATTTGTTACAGAAGCTAACATTTCCTTAAATAAAGCCCTTTAGAAGATATGTTTAACCACTACAAGAAAATGTAATTCTGGCCAGACATAGTGACTCATGCCTGTAATCCCAGCACTTTGGGAGGCAGAGGCAGGTGAATCACTTGAGCCTAGGAGTTCAAGACCAGCCTGGACAACATGGCAAAAACCCCATCTCTACATAAAATACAAAAGTTAGCTGGGTATGGTGGCATGTGTCTGTGGTTCCAGCTACTCAGTAGGCTGAGATGGGAGGATTGCTTGAGCCTGGGAGGTGGAGGTTGCAGTGAGCCGAGATGGCGCCACTGCACTCCAGCCCTGGGCGACAGAGAGAGAACCTGTCTCCAAAAAAAAAAAAAAAAAAAAAAAAAAGTAATTCTGTTCTAAACCTTCAAAACTTAGATGTATTTGTGTTGTGGTAAATATCTGTTCCTTTTCTTCTTTTGAGACAGAGTCTTACCTTGTCACCCAGGCTGGAGTGCAGTGGTGCAATCTTGGCTCACTGCAACTTCCACCTCCCGAGTTCAAGTGATTCTCCTGCCTCAGCCTCCCAAGTAGCTAGAATTACAGGCACCCACCACCACAGCCAGCTAATTTTTGTATTTTTAGTAGACATGGGGTTTCACCATATTGGCCAGGCTGGTCTCGAACTCCTGACCTCAGGTGTTCCACCCACCTTGGCCTCCCAAAGTGCTGGGATTACAGGTGTGAGCCACTGCGCCTGGCCCTGTTTCTTTTCTTAAAGCTGCCCAGACTAACTTGATTTTGCCAAATGCTGGAAATTAACATATATTGCTAAGTGCATGGAGAAGAACAGTAAACTGCTTCACCTTCTTGGCATACAAAGGAATCACATCTCTGAATGTCCAGTCACATGTCTACAAGCTCCTGTTACCAGGAAAGTCAGTACCTCCATCCATCTTGAGTCCTCCCCACACCAGGCAAGTAGATTCTGCTGCCATCTTTGCCTCTGCTGCTGCCCCCCAGTATCACTGCTGAAAACTCGTCCCGCAGTCTGCAGGACACCTGTGGACCATTGCGGTGATGCCCCTACTGTTCATACTTCAATGGTAGCCCTCGTTTGGGTTCCCAGACCTCAGTTTCCTTAGGTCACCTTCGCAGACTTGAGAGTCTCCCCAAACCTCCATACCAGCAGGGTGGGTGAGCCCTGCAACTCCCAGCCTCAGCTCACATTGTGCCAGGAGTGGTGCAACCCTTTCACAAGACCGTGGCCAGAGCCCTCCCACAAATCTCCTGACTTAAGATCTTGACCTGGAAGAGACAAATGGGGTCTTCATTCTTCCCTTCCAGGAGACTAGTTTGCTTGTGCCAGAACTCAGCTCACCAGGGAGCCAGCACCTGCTAAGCCGGTTTGACACCAACTCCCACCTGGAAAATGGGAGCTGATTCCCCTTCCCTTGTAAAATGAAGAGGCCATCCAGCGATTATGACCAGAAACCAGATCTATGCCAAGATGTCCTTCTGTCCTTCTGTTTGTTTAAAAACGCAGCTGGGAGCTTTATCTTCTCTATTAAAAGCAATTGTTGCAGATTACACTGAGTTGAGAGGAGTAGATGATGAGCCCCTGGGAAGAAAACAATTTCCATTTGGTTACAAAAACATACAAGCAGACTGCTGAGAAGCTGATACCCTCGTTTTGCTTGTAGAACATATTTTGTATTAGTTCTTTCCTTTTTCAGAGTGTATTAATTTGCATTTGCTCCTTTTTAGAATTTGGCTAATGACTTATGAATTTTTTAAAGACCAATTCTAAGGGAGTTTTCCCTTAAAAAAAAAAAACACAGCATTGTGCTATTTCAAGACCATCTCAGATGAATGAATAAATAAATAAACATAGCTTTAAATCCTCCAAACAACCACCCCAAAAAGAAGCTGTGGGCCCAGCATAACCAGTCTTCCCACACTAGCCACCTGTGCCCTCTTACACCCGCCCTCATCCCCAAGTGCTCTGGCCTGAGGGCAAACAAAACCGACAGCTTGCCTTTTTCTCCATCAGGGTGGAATTCTGAAAAGAAATTTGACTGAAGACAAGATAGAGGGAAACAAGGACCCTCTAAGAAGCATGAGACCAGATGGATTTACAAAGTATGGTGTGAGACGCCTATGGGGCACACTCACTGCTCACCCCGGCTTAGCACCTCTTTCTCCCTGGAGGCCGCATCTGCTGGGGATGCATTCCTGATTTTGAGCGTTCTCTACCCCAGCCAAGTATTTCCAGAGTACTGGTTCCAGCAAAAACTCCCATCAGAAGTCCATGGCCAGTGGGTGGCCATGGGGTCAGCAGAGCCTCCTGCCTCAAACCCACCCACCTCCCAGTACATGATGAGAAGGAAGAGCCAGGCTGCCTGGAAGGACCTGTTCCCACTTCTCCATGCCGTCCCACTCTGGCCCGCTCTGCAGAAGAGCCATTTCCTCCCATGTGCTACTGATTAAGTTTATCAATTCTCTCTTCTTCCTACATTTTGTTTAGATTTATTACTTCCTTTTTCTCCATTTTCTTGGTTCATAGCTTAAAGGGAACAAAGTTCATTAGGTATCAGCTTGATTTATTGTTTCTCGTTTCTCCCTCTCTAATATAAGCACTGGGAGCCATAAATCTCCTCTAAGTACTGCATTGGCAGCATCCCAGGAGTCGAGATGTGTCACTTTCATGGTTTTGTTCCTTAAATATTCTGCGGAGTCCTGAATGTCTTCCCTAATGAAAGGTTTATTTAAGAAAAGATCCGCTTTGCTGAATGCAATAAGAAACAGCTGAAAAAGACATACAACTAGAGGAAGAAAAAGGAAAGAGGTAAAATTATCATTTGTCGATAATGCAGTCTTATAGCCCCGATAACCAAATGAAAAATTCCTAGAATTTTATTAAGAGTGAAATTAGATAAAGTGAATGGATAAAAAAGAAACATTCACAAATCACTTCCTTTCCTCTATACCAACAATTAGAAAATAAAAGAGGAGGGGAAAGACCACCCCCCCCACACACACACAATAGCAACTGTAAAAATCAAACACCCTAGAAATAAGCTTAACAATAAATATGCAGAAACTCTGAAAACTACAGAATTTTACTGAGGGTTTTAAAGGAAGACAAGAGAAGTGTGCTCATGGTGAGAAGCCTCCATGTTGTAACAATGTCTTTTCTTTTTAAATGGATGTATACATTTAATGTGATGTCCACCAAAATTTTAATGGAACTTTTTGGGAAACGAGCCCAAATAATTCTGAAGCTCATCTGGAGAAATAAAGAGACGATGAGACAATTTTCCCCACCTTTCCCCCTGGGGAGGCGGCCAGAGCTGGAAGAGGAGGACTGGGGTTTGGGGAGACAGACGGGGGCAGAGGACTGACTGGCCACCACCCCAGCCCTGTGGTCCCTGTTTTCGAAGTGGTCCTGGAGACTTTGGCGGCCTCCCACTGGGGAGGATGTGAGTCTATTTCAGTCATTCACCAAATACTCACTGAGCCTCAGGCACGATTGTAGGAGCTAGGGCTGGGGCAGTGAAGAGGACAAAGTCCCTGCCCAGGGGGATCTTAGGTTCTGGTTGGGGAGGCCGATAAAAGATTAGCAAATATGAAATTTCACATCAAGGATGCTGTGAGGAAAACTAAAGCAGAGTACGGGAACAGAGGCTGTGCTAATCTAGCAGAGTGGGAAGGCAGGGGAACCACTCTTAGGAGATGGCAGAAGCCCCTTTGTGATGGGATGGGGGTGGTGGGATCATGCAGGTGAGGGCACCTTTAGAACTGGATCCATGGGAAGAAGTGGGAGGACCAGGTGGGAGCAGCTGCACCCTAGACACATCACTGTCTCCTTCAGAATATCCCATAAGGTGTGGCTCCACGTGGCTCCATGCAGTCCCACCTGATTCGTGAAACCCCTGCCCTGAGCCAAGTCAGGTAATTCCTCTCTCTAAGAATTTGAAATTCAGGCCGGGCATGGTGGCTCATACCTGTAATGCCAGCACTTTAAGAGGCTGAGGCAGGCGGATCACCTGAGGTCAGGAGTTCAAGACCAGCCTGGCCAACATGGTGAAACCCCGTCTCCACTAAAAATACAAAAATTAGCCAGGTGTGGCGGCACATGCCTGTAGTCCCAGCTACTCGGGAGGCCGAGGCAGGAGAATCACTTGAACCCAGGAAGTTGAGGTTGCAGTGAGCTGAGATTGCACCACTGCACTCCAGCCTGGGCGACAAAGCGAGACTCTGTCTCGAAAAAAAAAAAAAAAAGAATTTGAAATTCGGACACAGGCCTGAGCAGAGTCCTTGAGTAAATGGGGCACTGAGTGGCAGGGTAGGGGGCAGTTAGGCTCTGAGGGGGAATGGGTAGGCAGGACACCCTGGCCAGTTGAAGAATGGGGCAACTGAAGACAGGAGCCAGTGTGCAGATAGGAGCTGCAGCATGGGAGGGGCCGAGGAGAGAGGGACAAAGAGACAGAGCGAGACACCAAGAGAGACAGAGGAAGATAGAGACATAGACAGAGACAGACGAGGACAGAGAGACAGAGGGAAATAGAGACATAGAGACAGACAGAGAGATACAGGGAGACAGACAGAGTTGGAGACACACACACATATACACACACACACAAACCCACCCAGAGAGAGAGAAACTACCCATGACTTTCTTAGGGCAAGTCAGTGGTGGGTTTCACAATAAATTCCACGAGAATCCATCTTTTATCAATTGGTCACTACATGACCAACTCACCAAGCTTAGTCAGTACACTGATTTTCCAGTCACCATTTTAGGGAATATGCTTTTTACATATTTAATATTATTCTTTACTATCTTACTGGCATTTTAAGAAATGTTTAAATTGTTGAGAATGAGAGGGTCAACTTAGCTTTTTTCTGATCACACTCTTTATATAATGATATTCCAAATTCATAACATATTCGATACAAGAATCTTTCAGTTTATACTGATTTCTCTTGAATTATTTTAAAAGTCATTTTCTGTTTTGCCAATATTTAGCGTTTTTATAATTCTTTTTACCAGTTTCTCTGAATGACCAATTTGATGAATTTAGCAAATGGACAGCCGATTCATTGCTTCTCGCTATTTATGAAGTTGACAAGCAATTTATATTTTATGTAATGGTTTTAAAAGAATTTGAAAGCAGTTTTGATTTTGTCTTCAGATGGCATTTGAAGGAATGTTCAGTTCTGTCCCAGAGCTACAGAGAGAGGGGAGAAAACATGAGAATCAGCACCCAGCACATTTGGGCTGCAGATTCCAGAAAGGGAGGCGGGGGCAGAGACAGGGAGAGGGTTTTGTTAGCTAGGAAGAAAGAGGCAATGGATCTTGGGTCCTGGCCACATGCAGGAACAAATGAAGGTTAGAGCAGACACACAAAGAAAGGGGAGTAGTTGTGGGGTGAGACCTGCAGGAAGGCCCTGGAGGAAGGACAGAGACCCCAGGGTGACTTGGTCTGGGCAGCTTTCCTGTCTCAGGCTTGGCATCCTAGAAACAAGCCCTATGTGAATCATTGTTCCTCGCAATGGGAGAAAACAATGTAGAGTACAAGTAATTAAATATTTACCAAACCCCAGGCACATGTACAACTCGATTGTTTCTGCTTTTATGCCCCTCTATAACAGTGTTATAGGCCGGGCACGGTGACTCATGCCTGTAATCCCAGCACAGTTTGGGAGGCCAAGGCAAGTGGATCATTTGAGGTCAGGAGTTCCAGACCAGCCTGGCCAACATGGTGAAACCCTGTCTCTGTTAAAAATACAAAAATTAGCTGGGCATGGTGGTGCATGCCTGTGGTCCCAGCTACTCAGGAGGCTGAGGCAGGAGAGTCACTTGAACCCGGGATGCAGAGGTTTCAGTGAGCCAAGATTGCACTCCAGCCTGGATGACAAAGCGAGACTCCAACTCAAAAAAAAAAAAAAAAAAAAAGAAAAGAAAAGAAATAAAAGTTATATTGAAAATAATTGGACATTGAGCTTTTCCCATGTTTAGAATTATTTTCTTAGGATAGTATTCCTAGAAATTAGTGGGTCAAAAAGTTAAAACATCAGCGTTCATGCCAAATGGCTTCCCCATTTGGGGTAAAGGGATTTTACCAGTTGATCCCAGAAACATCTGAGAGAGCCCATTGGCCTATACCCTCAATGCCCACTGAGTGTTTGCTCCTTAAGAAAATCCTACGGTTGGCCGGGCACAGTGGCTCACACCTGTAATCCCAGCACTCTGGGAGGCTGAGGTGGGTGGATCACAAGGTCAGGAGATCGAGACCATCCTGGCTAACACGGTGAAACCCTGTCTCTACTAAAAATACAAAAAATTAGCCGGGCATGGTGGTGGGTGCCTGTAGTCCCAGCACTTTGGGAGGCTGAGGCGGGCAGATCACAAGGTCAGGAGCTTGAGACCATCCTGGCTAACATGGTGAAACCCCGTCTCTACTAAAAATACAAAAAATTAGCTGGGCATGGTGGCGGGTGCCTGTAGTCCCAGCAACCCAGGAGGCTGAGGCAGGAGAATGGCATGAACCTGGGAGGTGGAGCTTGCAGTGAGCCACAATCGTGCCACTGCACTCCAGCCTGGGCAACAGAGTGAGACTCCATCTCAAGAAAAAAAAAAGAAAGAAAATCCTATGGTTTAGTGATCTACAGCTGAGAACTATGGAGGATAGTTTTCATTTCGCTCTTGAAACACATATCAAGCCCTACTGTCAACAGTCTTTCCTGTCACACATCTCACTGATTCCAACTCAGGGAGGGAGCTATGTCTTCTGGCAGCATTATTGCATTTGAGTCTCTTCTCTTTGAAATCCAATCTCCAATCGCTGAACCTGGAGATCAACATCAGAAAAAAAAAAAAAAAAGGCCGTGACTATCATAATTGTATGCAGTTAACATTCTCAGCAAGTAGACTGACCGGAAAAGGAGCTCCTATCGTGGAAGGAAATAATCGTGGGAGAAGCCCGGAGTATATTTTCTTTCTTTTTTTTTTTAATTTTGTAACAGAGTCTAGCTGTGTCACCCAGGCTGGAGTGCAGTGGCACGGTCTCAGCTCATTGCAATCTCTGCCTCCTGGGATCAATCGATTCTCCTGCCGCAGCCTCCCAAGTAGCTGGGATTACAGGTGCCCGCCACCACATCTGGCTAATTTTTGTATTTTTAGTAGAGACGAGGTTTTTCCGTGTTGGCCATGCTGGTCTCAAACTCCTGACCTCAGGTGATCCGCCTGCCTCGGCCTCCCAAAGTGCTGAGATTACAGACGTCAGCTACCACGCCCGGCCAGCCCGGAGTATATTTTCTAAAGTAGGAAACCTGGAAGGAGAATTACAACAAAATCCTTACACACATGGATTTTTAAAATGACGAGAGTGGATGGGAGACCTTGAGTCACTTCCCATCTCTTGATTCTACTGTCTCTCTTCTGCACCAAAGAGGAACAGGTGTGTATGTCGGTTAAGGGGTTGGTGGTGGCCTGAGTGGGGTCAAGAGGGTGGGGCAGGGCAGGGCCCTGTGTGAATCCTGATGTCTTTGTACAAGTGACTGTCCTCAGCCAACAAGAGACAAGTTCAGAAACTTAGTCTAAAAAGCCACATTGTTTTCTGCTTTGAAATGCTTTTAATTTAATAATCTAATTTAAAGACAGGGCGGGGCATGGGGGCTCACACCTGTAATCCCAGCACTTTGGGAAGCTGAGGCCGGAAGATCACTGGAACCCAGGAGTTCAAGACCAGCCTGGGCAACATAGTGAGACCCCCGTCACTACACAAAAAATACAAACAAATTAGCCAAGTGTGATGGCACATGCTACGGTCCCACCTATTCAGGAGGCTGAGGTGGGAAGATCACTTGATTCCGGAATGTCAAGGTGGCAGTGAGCTGTGATTGCGCCACTGCACTCTAGCCTCTAGCCTCAGCAACAGAGCAAAACCCTGTCTCAAAAAAAAAAAAAGTGTGTGTCAGAGCATATGAGTGTGTGCATATTCCAATCATGCACCTGCGTGCACCTGGGAGGGCAGGGGTTTAAGTTACAAATTCAGCACTGTCACTCAGTTACAAAAACACCCTCACACTCATTGCCCCTCTCAGCAGAAGAAAATGCTCTAGAGAAAGCTTTTGCCTTCACGCTGGTACAGAGTGAGAAAGCACTGTCAACATCTGAGTGGAAAACCCCAACATTCCGCGGCCTCGAGCAGGTCTCTGCTGGAATCCTGAGGACAGGCTTTGTTCCTGTGTCTGGCCAGCTGCCCAAACACTGACAGTCTACTGTTCTAAAATCCTTAGGTATCATGAGGCTCTGGGTGACCAACAGGAGTGCTCTCAGAGTTTGAGATCCCAAAAAGGGGGTAATAAGGTCTCTTTGCAGGGCCCAGACCCGAGCCCCCAGGATCCCACCAGGGCCTCCGGACCTTTACAGAGGGCTCTCTGCTCATCCAATCCAGGTTTCTCCTCCACTCTGATAGGGGAGGGCTCCTTCCCATCTCCTGGAGGTCCTGTTGCCTCCTGGTCTCATCTGCCCTCTGGCAGAGTCCTGGAGGAAAAGCCAGGAGCAGCAGGTGGGGAGGCCGAGTGCCTCCGCAGAAAACTGCAGTCAGCCAGGCGCGGTGGTTCATGCCTATAATCCCAGCACTTTGGAAGGCCAAGGCAGGTGGATCACCTGAGGTCAGGAGTTCAAGGCCAGCCTGACCAACATGGTGAAACCCCCGTCTCTACCAAAAATACAAAAATTAGCCGGACGTGGTGGTGGGCGCCTGTAGTCCCAGCTATTCAGAAGGCTGAGGCAGGAGAATCGCTTGAACCTGGGAGGCAGGGGTTGCAGTGAGCCAAGATAACACCATTGCACTCCAGCTTGGGCAACAAGAGCAAGACTCTGTCTCAAAAAAAAAAAAAAAAAAAAAAACTGCAGTTATAGCAGGAAGCACCAGGAGCTGGGAGTTTGTTCCTTGAACCCAGGCAGCTCAGAGGAAGTCCGGCTCTCCAGAAGGAAGGGATTCAATGTTCATTCATTCTTTCATTCATTGAACACCTACTGTGTGCCAGATACTCTGGTAGGTGCTTGTGTAACCGTAAACATAAATTTTTTTAAAAAAATGTAAAATTGGCTGAGCGCAGTAGCTCAAGCCTGTAATCCCAGCACTTTGGGAGGCTGAGGCAGGCGAATCACCTGAGGTCAGGAGTTCAAGACCAGCGTGGCCAACATGATGAAACCCTGTTTCTACTAAAAATACAAAAAATTAGCCGGGTGTGGTGACGGGTGCCTGCAATCCCAGCTACTCGGGAGTCTGAGGCAGGAGAATCGCTTGAACCCGGGAGGCAGAGGTTGCAGTGAGTCAAGATCGCACCATTGCATTCCAACCTGGGCAACAAGAGTGAAACTCTGTCTCAAAAAAAAAAAATAAATAAAATTTTCCCTGATACCAAAAGTGAAAGAGAACTTTCTGCTAGAAAACATGAAATTGACAAAGTTCGATGGCTCACACCTGTAATTTCAGCATTTTGGGAAGCTGAACCAGGTGGATCCCTTGATCCTAGGAGTTCGAGACCAGCCTGGGCATCAAGATGAAACGCCGTCGCTACAAAACTTAGCCTGGTTTGGTGGCGCACACCTGTAGTCCCAGCTACTCAGGAGGCTGAAGTTGGAGGACAGATCAAGCCTCAGAGGTTGAGGCTGCAGTGAGGCAAGATCGCACCACTGCACTCCAGCCTGGGCGACAGAGTGTGAGACCTTGTCTCCAGAAAAAAAAAAAAAAAAGCTGGACACGGTGGCTCATGCCTGCAATCCCAGCACTTTGGGAGGCCGAAGCAGGTGGATCACAAGGTCAGGAGTTCGAGATCAGCCTGACCAACATGGTGAAACCCTGTCTCTACTAAAAATACAAAACATTAGCCAGGTGTGTTGGCGCATGCCTGTAATCCCAGCTACTCAGGAGGCTGAGGCAGGGCAATCGCTTGAACCCGGGAGATGGAGGTTGCAGTGAGCCGAGATTGCGCCATTGCACTCCAGCCTAGGTGACAGAGCGAGACTCTGTGTCAAAAAAAAAAACGAAAAGAAAAGAAAAGAAAAGAAAGAAAACACGATTGGAATGCTTTCTCTGTCTCTTTGAGATGCATGTAAATCTTTTTATTTTATTTTATTTTATTTTGAGATGGAGTATTGCTGTTGCCCAGGCTGGAGTGCAGTGGCGTGATCTTGGCTCACTTCAACCTCTACCTCCCGGGTTTAAGCGAATGTCGTGCCTCAGCCTCCCGAGTAGCTGGGATTACAGGTGTGCACCACTATGTCCAGCTAATTTTTTTGTATTTTTAGTAGAGCTGGGGTATCACCATGTTGACCAAGCTGGTCTCAAATTCCTGGTCTCAAGTGATCTGCCTGCATCGGCCTCCCAATGTGCTGGGGTTACAGGCATGAGCCACAGTGCCCAGTCTTTGTAAATCTTTTAAAAAGCCAAATGTAGGCTGGGCATAGTGTCTCATGCCTATAATCCCAGCACTTTGGGAAGCTGAGGCAGGTAGAACACTTGAGGCCAGGAGTTTAAGACCAGCATGGGGGATATGGCAAAACCCCATCTCTACAAAAAATTCAAAAGTGAGCTAGGCTGGTGGTGCATGCCTGTGGTCCCAACTACTCAGGAAGCTGAGGCAGGAGGATCACTTGAACCCGGGAGGTGGAGGTGGAAGTGAGCCAAGATTGCACCACTATACTCCAGCCTGGGTGACAGATCTTGTCTCAAAAAAAAAAAAAAAAAAGGCATTCTTGGTGAAACTTAGACTAGTTTGTTTTGTGACACTCTTGGACTCTCCTGTTTGTATTTGAGGGCCATACATCTAAGAGCCATAAATAGAAACCTTCAATGCCAGGTAATAAACTTTCAATCAGTGTGTCATTTAGTGACAGAGATGAGGGAATTTTTGTGAAAGTACAAGTGGGGATATTGTATTCCTATATAAATTATGATTGAGGCCAGGTTAATTTTTTCTAAGGTTACATATGGATGAGAGAAAGGGTGTGTGCATTTTTATGAGGTCATGGACGGTCAGGGCTTACTAATGTCTCTGAATAAGTATCTTATGCATGGCATTTAACCCTCTCCCAGCTACCTCTTGGAGAAAAAACCAAACAGGTGGACAGCCACCCACAGCCTGCCATTCCTGTGTCAGAGCCCTTGCTGGAAAATCCACTCTCCCATGTGGAGGAAGGTCCATGAACTTGCTCCTCATGGCACAGAATGACTGATAGTCACCCTCCTGTCTCTTGGATGCTGGGTCAAACAGTGAGGAGTGCACGTGCCTGTCTTCATAGGATTAAAGGCACACTTCAAGTCCCAGGCTCCGAGGCCCTGTTGTAGCACTAGATTAGCTCTGTGAGAGTCTGCCGGCACTCCCTGATGCTTCCAATAAGGCTTTCCTCAAATCCCCAAGAACGTAGAGATGGAGAAAAGTCTGCCTTCCAAGAATGATCAAAAAGAGTCTGGAAAGGAAACTGCACAGCTATGTAAGCCCATCTGACAGACCCAGAAAGGCTCCCAGGACTGGAAGGCTCTGCTAGGAGCTCCCCAGTGGAAGAGCCTATCTCAAAACAGATGGCGTCCTCCAGAAGAGTGCCGGGCATGGACGCACAAAAGGAGCCCCCATGGGGCCTGCAAAGTCTTGTTGTGGGCAGCAGCTCTGCCATGGCCTCTAGCGTTCTTGCCCCCTGGGGAAGGCTACCACTTTGAGAGATGGGTGTGTCTCCCGAGTAGACTGGATGCCACTGCCAGTTGATTCACGAAGTCTCCTTGTCCTTATCCCATCTTCCGCAAACAATCTTCCGTTTATGGTTTGCTTTTCCAAATATGGGTCAACTGCAGAGAAAACAATTCACAGATTGTGAGGCCAGGAGAGTTTTCTAATTCCTCTGGCATCAACAATTTCTCACACACACAAAAAGAACTAAATTGGCTTTTTTGGGTTGATACATCAATCTCATAAATTTAATGAACACGAATCTGTCCCAGAGAGAGGATGGGCCAGGTAGACCCACTCAGGGTTCTGCCTAACCCATGCCTGACCATCCACCAACCCCTACAGCAAAAACAGTAAGTTACCATTTGTGTATAAGTTTTTGTGTGGACAAATGTGTTCGGTTCTTTTGCATGTACATCTAGGGGTGAAATTGTTGGGTCAGATGGCAATTCTATGTTTAATATTTTGAGGGAGTGCCAGGCGCTGTTTTCCAAAGTGGCTGCGCCATTTTACATTCCCACCAGTCGCACGTGAGGGCCTCAGTTTCTCCTTGTCCTCACCAACACGTGTTACTCCTTGTCTTTTCATTATAACCATTCCCGTTGTGAAGTGGTATCTCATTGTGGCTTTGACTTGCATTGCCCTGTTGGCTAATGATGTAGAGCATGTTTCCACGTGCTTATTAGACCTTTGTCTATCTATCTGCATATATGAAATATCCATTCAGATCCTTTGCCCATTTTTTAGGAGAAAAACATCCAAATTGCTTACAAATAATTTTTATTTTTATTTATTTATTTATTTATTTTTGAGATGGAATCTTGCTTTGTTGCCCAGGCTGGAGTGCAGTGGCACCACCTCAGCTCACTGCAGCCTCTGCCCCACCCCCGGATTCAAACAATTCTCCTGCCTCAGCCTCCTCAGTAGCTGGGATTACAGGCGCCCGCTACCATGCCTGGCTAATTTTTATATTTTTAGTAGAGACGGGGTTTCGCCATGTTGGCCAGGCTGGTCTCAAACTCTTGACCTCAGGTGATCCATTCACCTCGGCCTCCCAAAATGCTGGAATTACAGGCGTGAACCACCAAGCCCAGCCCACAAATTATTTTTAAAAACGACATAACATTGATACTAAAACATAAAAAGCAAGACAAAAGATAAAGATCAATCTCACATGTCAGGATTGGTACAAACATTTTAAGTAAACCATTAGAATACAGAATTCAGTAGAACATTAAGAGAATTACATAGAGAGGAGTTCAATTCCAAGAATAAACAGACTGTTCAACATGAGAAAATCCATTATTATAATTCATAACATTCAAATAAAGGGAAAATGTCATATGATAATCTTTACATGCTGAACAAGCAACTAACAAAATGTAACCTTCATTCCTCATAAAAAGCCATCATCATTAACTGTTACTAAAAGAATACTCTCCTAGCATGAGAAAAAGTATATATCTCAACCAAAAAGACTGTACCATGCTTAATGGAGATAAAGCATTCCCATTACAATGAGAAGCAGGACAAAGAAATGAGAGATAGAGGGCTGGGCGCGGTGGCTCACGCCTGTAATCCCAGCACTTTGGGGGGCCGAGGCTGGCGGATCACAAGGTCAGGAGATCGAGACCATCCTAGCTAACACAGTGAAACCCTGTCTCTACTAAAAATACAAAAAAAATTAGCCAGATGTGGTGGTGGGCGCCTGTAGTCCCAGCTACACGGGAAGCTGAGGCAGGAGAATGGCGTGAATCCCGGAGGCGGAGCTTGCAGTGAGCCGAGACCGCGCCACTGCACTCCAGACTGGGTGACAGAGCGAGACTCCGTCTAAAACAAACAAACAAAAAAAAGAAAATAAATGAGAGATATAAATATTAGAACAAAGCAGGCAAAAAAGTGCATGAGTTACAGAAAATGCCAGCAAATTCTCAGAAATCTAAAAGAATCAATAGAAAAATGATTACTATTATTAAGTAATATCTACATATGACCTGAAAAATTTAAGTAAGTGGCTAGTTCCAAATTGTGATAAAAAAAAGTTTGGTATTTGGGAACAATCAGAACAGAGCAACGAAACATAAGAGAATACAGGAACAGGGTGCAGTGGCTCACATCTGTAATTCCAACATTTTGGGAGGCTAAGGCAGGCGGATCACCTGAGGTCAGGAGTTTGAGACCAGCCCGTCTTTACTAAAATACAAAAAAAAAAAAAAAAAAAAAAAAAAAATTAGCCGGGTGTGGTGGCACACACCTGTAATCCCAGCTACTCAGGAAGCTGAGGCAGGAGAATTGCTTTAACCCGGGAGGCAGGGGTTGCAGTAGGCTGAGATCACACCACTGCACTCCAGCCTGGGCGACAGAACCAGACTCCATCTCAAAAAATAAATAAATAAAAATAAAAAATAGGCCAGGCACAATGGCTCATGCCTGTAATCCCAGCACTTTAGGAGGCCGAGGTGGGCGGATCACTTGAGGTCAGGAGTTTGAGACACCCTTGCCAACACGGCGAAACCCCGTCTCTACTAAAAATACAAAAATTAGCCGGGTGTGGTGGCGGGCACCTGTAATCCCAGCTACTCAGGAGATTGAGGCAGGAGAATCACTTGAACCCAGGAGGCAGAGGTTGCAGTGAGCTGAGATTACGCCATTGCACTCCAGCTTGGGCAACAAGAGTGAAACTCCGTCTCAGAAAAAAATAAAAATAAATAAAAAATAAATTTAAAAAACAAGAGAATACAGGAACAGGTCAAATACACATGGGAATTGAGTATATGATAAAGGTGGCATTTTAAGCTAATATTATTCAATTAATGCTGTTAGGAAAATTGGCTAATTATTTAAAACAGGGTCTTTATCTCACCCCTTACTATAAAACGATTTCCAGACAGATCAAATACTTAAATGTTAAAAAGGAACATCTAACAGAAAAAAAAAGATGACTAAAAATTTTAAAAAGACATTTTTATTTATTATATAAAATCCAGGAAGCATAAAGAAAAATACAAACAGGGCTAAATAAGAATTTCAAATTTATATACCACAAAAAAGGTTTAAAAAAATGAAAAAAAAATGTGTAAAACAATTGACAAAAGGCCAGTTTCCTCAGTTCTCAAAAAGTTCCTATCAGGCAGGCACAGTGGGTCATGCCTGTAATCCCAGCACTTTGGGAGGCCAAATCGGGCAGATCACTTAAGGTCAGGAGTTCGAGACCAGCCTGGCTAACATGACAAAACCCCGTCTTTACTAAAAATACAAAAATGAGCCGGGCATGGTGGCGGGTGCCTGTAATCCCAGCTACTCAGGAGGCTGAGGCAAGAGAATCGCTTGAACCCGGGAGGTGGAGGTTACAGTGAATTGAGAACACGTCATTGCACTCCAGCCTAGGCGATAGAGCGAGACTCTGTCTCAAAAACAAACAAACAAACAAAAAAGTTCCTATCAAAATGGGGAGAAAAAAAGGACAAACAATCCAATAGAATAATGGAGAAAAGGTATGAAAAATCAACTCATACAACTCACAGACAAAGAAGTATGGCCAGTAAACATCAAGAGATGCTCAGTCTCACCCGTAATTAAAGACAAATCAAAACGATGAGAAACAAGTTTTCACCTACAGAATAATATTAACAAAAACTAAAACTTTGATAACAATGTTGGAGAAAGTTTAAAGAAACAGATACTTACACACTACGGTGGAAATAAATAAGGATTTGGCAATCCAGGAAATTCAATGTTTGACACTTGATTCAAGGATATACCTGTACAATACACTAAATCCATAAATAGGAGACTAGTTAGATCAACTATAATATGTCCACACAGAGATATTATGTAATCTTTTTTTTAAAATGAGGTAGACTCATATGTTGATATGAAAAAGTTGGTAAGTAATGGCCAGGCACGGTGGCTCACACCTGTAATCCCAGCACTTTGGGAGGCCAAGATGGACGGATCACGAGGTCAGGAGATCGAGATCATCCTGGCTAACACAGGGAAACCCCGTCTCTACTAAAAATACAAAAAATTAGCCGTGTATGTTGGCGGGCGCCTGTAGTCCCAGCTACTCAAGAGGCTGAGGCAGGAGAATGGCGTGAACCCAGGAGGCGGAGCTTGCAGTGAGCAGAGATCGTGCCACTGCACTCCAGCCTGGGCGACAGAGCGAGACTCCATCTCAAAAAAAAAAAAAAAAAAAAGAAAAAGAAAAAGTTGATAAGTGACAAGCTGCAAAATAGAAAAATAGTATGATAGATCTACTCCAGTTAGTAATGAATGAGAAAAAGAAAGAGGAATAAAGAAAAAGAGAAGAGATTAAAAAAGGAAGGAAGGGATGGAGGAAGGAGGGAAGGAAAGAGGAAGAAGGGAGGGGAAAAGGAAGGAAAGAGGAAGAAAAGAAAAGGAAGGAAGGAAGGCCTAAAGGAAGGGAGGGAGGGAGAGGGAGGGGGAGAGGGGAGGAGAGAAGAGGGAGTGGGGAGGAGGGAAAAGGAAGGGGGGAGGGGGGAGGGAAGGAGGGAGGGAAGAAGGAAGGAACTGTGAACAGTGTTGTCGTGCAGTGTGGCTGCACCAGTGACTTTGAGTTTACATTAAATCTTCCATGTTGTGTACGTATCCCTCTCTGAATAAATGTTACTTGGAGGTGCGGGCACTAAAAGATGGAGAGAAAAAAACTTCTTTTAAAAATATCCAAGACATTATTTGAGGAGTAGCAAATTTCTGGGTGTTAAACTGGTGTTTATGCCAAAGTCTAGATGGCGACTGTGACCTTATTATATAGTCATAGTCTACTGATGTTCTGTGATGGAAAGGGGGAAAGGAAGGGACAGGGAGAAGGATAAATACAAATTAAACACACATACATTTAAGTGTAGAATGAAAAAAGAAATTTTCAAAAAAAAAATTGGTCAAACCCACACTCAAGGAAAAATGAAAAAGCCTAGGGTTACATGGTTTTTATCCTATTTCTACTGATTATTAGGTTAAGACTCAGAGTAAATCACTTTTCTTTTCTTTTCTTTTCTTTTCTTTTTTTGAGATAAAGTTTTGCTCTTGTTGCCCAGGCTGGAGTGCAATGGCATGATCTTGGCTCACTGCAACCTCCACCTCCTGGTTTCAAGCGATTCTCCTGCCTCAGCCTCTGGAGTAGCTGGGATTACAGGTGCCTGCCACCACACCCCGCTTATTTTTTAAAAAATATTTTTAGTAGAGACAGAGTTTTACCATGTTGGCCAGGCTGGTGTCGAACTCCTGACCTTCAGGTGATCCACCCGCCTCGGCCTCCCAAAGTGTTGAGATTACAGGCATGAGCCACTGTGCCCGGCCCACTTGTTCTTACTATGTTTGGATTTCCAATTTGTAACAGTGTAGAGACTACATATTATATTATTCATTTCAAAGGAGTAAGTGGGAAGATATATAAGGAATACTTTATGTGTTTCCTGGGGAAAACCAGCTTCAATCAATAGAAGAAATACCAGTCCCAATATTGTGAATTTCAAAATAGAAAAAGAACACTGAACATCGACGATAATGTTTTAGAAAAATTTTAAGTTTTATCTCTAATGAGGACAGCAATCTGTTCTTACCCTATTCAAAATCTTCAGTGCTGTTCATATTTAATCTTAAAGAGTCACAGGACATAGTAACAAATGAGTTAGTTAATTATAATGTGAACTGCTCAGATGTATTATTTATCCAAACAGTACACCCCTAAGGGAAAGCTTGTTTGTTTGTTTGTTTGTGACGTAGTCTCGCTCTCATCGCCCAGGCTAGAGTGCAGTGGCTCCATCTCAGCTCACTGCAACCTCTGCCTCCTGGGTTCTAGCAATTCTCCTGCCTCAGCCTCCCTAGTAGCTGGAATTACAGGCGTCTGCCACTATGCCCAGCATTTTTGTATTTTAGTAGAGATGGGGTTTCACCGTGTTGGCCAGGCTGGTCTCGAACTCCTGACCTTAAGTGATCCACCGGTCTCCACCTCCCAAAGGGCTGGGATTACAGGCGTGAGCCACTGCGCCTGGCCAAAATTTGAATAAATAAAAGATCATGACAGCATAATAGAGACTTGTAATACTCAATCGTTCAGAAGTAAATTTTCCTTTTTTTTTTTTTTTTTGATCTTCTCTGTTTTATAAAATTAAAATCAGGTGAACGAACTATATTAAGATTCTAGTGATTTTGTCCACATGTATTATGGGATCAGTGCCTTGGCAATTTCTTGAAATTGAGAGCCCAACACCACCCAAAGGACACAATTGTAGATGCTGAGGAAAACAAAGAAAAGAAAATGACAAAAAGAAATGAAAAGAGAACTCGGGAGGTTGAGGAAGGAGAATCGCTTGAACTCAGGAGGCAGAGGTTGCAGTGAGCCGAGGTCTGCACCACTGCACTCCAGCTTGGGTGACAGAGTGCGACCTCATCTCAATGAAAAGAATAACGAAATGAAAAGAGAAAAACAGAATGATCCAATCTTTTGCTTATGGTCGAAGTTCTTAAAAATCTATTATATCTATGGATCAGTTTGATACTAGCTAAAAATTCGGACGTTAGGGCAACGCCTCCTCAAATTCTGATTCAATACTGCTGGACTTCAAAAATAAAGTCCCCTAAAGTGATTGTCACGTGGGTGGCTCTCAGACAGCATTTTGAGAATAACTACTGTAATGATTAAACCTTGGGGAAAAAATCTTGAAGAGTCATTTGCCTAATTTCTGGCCACTTTCTCATCAGGAGGAAAAAAAATGAAACCAGAAAGAACGCTTCCATTATTATATTCTTGAATTTCTTAATCATTTCTGGGTATCTTGTTCCTTGACTGATCTTTAATTGCAATTCCAAGGCAAAAATAAACACAGTCCTTTCTACTTTGCTATCTAGCATGTAGAATAACTTTTTATCAAAAACAGAATTCGGCTTCTAACTTCACAACTCCTTTGCCCATTCTTTAATTGGGTTGTCTTTTTATTACTGAATTTAAAGAGTTCTTTAATATTCTAGATTCCAGTCCCTTATCAGATATATAATTTTCAAATATTTTCTCCCATCAGTGGGTTGTCTTTGCCTCTCTTGTTGGTATCATGAATGCTTTTAATTTGATAAAGTCCAATTTACCTATTTTTTCTTTGGTTGCTTGTGCTTTTGGTATCATACCTAAGAAGCCACTCCCAAATCCAAGGTGGCAAAGATTTACCTCTATGGTTTTTTTTTTCCTAAGAATTTGTTTTAGGCCAGGTGTGGTGGTTCACGCCTGTGATCCCAGCACTTTGGGAGGCCGAGGTGGGTGGATCACCTAGGTCAGGAGTTCGAGACTGGCCTGGCCAACATGGTGAAACTCCGTCTCTACTAAAAATACAAAAATTAGCTGGGCATCGTGGTGGGCACCTGTAATCCCAGCTACTCAGGAGGCTGAGGCAGGAGAATCACTTGAACCCGGGAGGCAGAGGTTGCAGTGAGTCAAGATGGCACCATTGCACTCCAGCCTGGGTGACAGAGTGAGATGCCGTCTCAAAAAAAAAAAAAAAATTTGTTTTAGCTTACATTTCAGTCTATGATAGCTCTTACAGTTAGCTCTTTGAGCTAATTTTTGTAGACGTATGAGGTAGGTATACAACTTTATTATTATGATTATATTTTGCATGTAGATATCCAGTTGTCCCAGAGCCATCTGTTGAAAAAAAAAAAACAATTCTTTCCCTCACTGTTTTGGAACCCTTATCAAAAATCAATGAACTGTCAATGTGAGGGTTGATTTCTGGGATCTTCTGTTCTATTCCACTGATCTTTATGTCCAACCTTATGCCACTACCGCAATTTTGCTTACTGTTGCTTTTTAGTAAGTTTTGAAATCAGGAAGTGTGAGTCCTCCAACTGTCTTCTTTTTCAGGATTGTTTTGGCTGTTTGCTTGTTTGATTGCTATTGGTAACTCTGGAGACCTTGAGTTTCCACATGCATTTTAGGGGCAGCTTGTCCATTTCTGCAAAGAACCCAGGCAGAATTCTGACGGAGATTGCACTGAATCTGTAGATCAGTTTGGGGAGTCTTTCCGTTTTAACAATATTTAGGTATTTTGATCTATCAACATAAGGTGTCTTTCCATTTATTTAAATCTTTTAAATGTCCACAATATTTTGTAGTTTTAAGAGCATACATTTTACACTTCTGTTTTTAAATTTATTCCTAGGCTTTTTATTTTTTATTTTTTTATTTTTTTGAGATGGAGTCTCACTCTGTCACCCAGGCTGGAGTGCAGTGACACGATCTTGGCTCACTGCAACCTTTGTCTCCCAGGTTCAAGCGATTCTCCTGCCTCAGCCTCCCGAGTAGCTGGGATTACAGGCACCGACGACCACTCCCAGCTAATTTTTGTATTTTTAGTAGAGACAGGGTTTCACCATGTTGGCCAGGCTGGTCTCAGCATTTTATTTTTTCTTGCTATAAATGAAATCACTTGCATAATTTCATTTTCAGATTTCAGATCACAGGTGTATAGAAATACAACTGATTTTGTATATTGATCCTGCAACTTTGTATCCTATAACCTTGCTGAGCATGTTTAGTAGTTCTAAGAGTGTGCCTTGTGTTTTTAACACTATGTATATGGAGAAGAACTGTGATGTTGGGAAAGCTTTCTCAACCCACTTCATTCTGAAAGTTCAAGAAAATGAATTTTGTATAAAAAATGGGGAATACAAAGTACCAACGTGAAATCGCATCCAAAGTGTCTGTGACAATAAAAGAAAATATAGAGCAGAATAACATCCATACAATGAGCAAAACTATACTAATGATTTCAAATAAAGAAAAAATACCTTAAAAGTATCAGAACTGGAAAGACCAAGAAATGAGATTATGGCAGCTGGGACAGATTTTGAAATAAAATGAAAAATGATTTCACATATAAAGATTAAATTAGAAGACACATGAGTGATTCGAATGATGCTTCATGAGAAACAGAATGTGAAAAGGGAGAAATTTTTTAAATAAAAAAGAAATGAACACACATAAGGAATTCAAGAAAAAAAATGACAAATACTGGAAATGTCAAAGAAAATCCAACACACAGATAACAGGAGTCCCTGAAAATGACAATCAAAGCAAGAGAACAGGAAAAATAAATACTAAAAGCTATAATTTAAGGAAACTCTCCTGAAATTAAAAGAAAAGGAGAAAGAAAAAAATGTTTGATACCACATTGCATTACTCAGGAAACATTCAGGAGAGAGAAACCACAAAATAATTTGAAAAAGGAATGTTCAATATAAAGAATTACTGCCAGGCATGGTGGCTCACGCCTGTAATCCCAGCACTTTGGGAGGCCGAGGCAGGTGGATCACCTGAGGTCAGGAGTTCGAGACCAGCCTGGCCAACATGGTGAAATCCCATCTGTACTAAAAAAATACAAAAATTAGCCAGGCATGGTGGTGCACGCCTATAATTCCAGCTACTTGGGAGGAGAATCACTTGAATCTGGGAGGCAGAGGCTACAGTGAGCCGAGATCACGCCACTGCACTTCAGCCTGGGTGACAAAGTGAGACTCTGTCTCAAAAAAAAAGAAGAAAAGAACAGTATGATGAACTCATGAGGTATTTTGTCTATCATTCTACGTCTGTTATTTCTGGCCTCGAAACAATGACAAACCCAGTAACAGTGAGCATCCCTGGAGTCCACATGTGGTCATGAAATATCCTTTCCGACTGACAGGGCTGCATGAGAAAACATACAAAAGGAGCTTGGAACATCTTGAGATACATGATGGCACAGGAACCATCATTCTCTACTGGGCTTGTGTCAAAAGAGACAACCCAAAGAGGGCCGGGCTTGGTGGCTCATGCCTGTAATCCCAGCATGTCGGGAGTATGAGGCAGGTGGATCACGTGAGGTCAGGAGTTTGAGACCAGCCTGGCTAACATGGTAAAACCCCATCTCTACCAAAAAATATAAAAATTAGCCAGGCATGGTGCTGTGTGCCTGTAGTCCCAGCTACTTGGGAGGCTGAGGCAGAAGCATTGCTTGAACCCGGGAGGTGGAGGTTGCAGTGAGCTGAGATCTCACCACTGGACTCCAGCCTGGGTGATAGAGCGAGACCCTGTCTCAAAAAAAAAACAAAAAAAAACCAACCCAAAGAGGTTTCCATTGACCAAAGACAGGACAATTTGAGCTCTGACTACAGTAATAACTGCAACAAATTGAAACCCATCAAATATACTTAAATACATGAGTTCATAATGATATTTAGAAAAATGAATTGGTTGCCTCCAGAGGATGATAAGGAACCCAGTATATTATTTTGCAAGCTGGTAAATGTAGGGACAGAAGGAAGCATTTAACCTGCCTCTCCTATGTGAGCAGTACCACTGGGCAATCCCATTGATGAAAGGAAGCATCTGTTTATAAAGAATTCCAGCAAATAAATGAAAAAAAAAATGGAACTAAAATATCATCATTTGGTAGTGGTGGCGGCTGCGGCTCTTTCCATTATCTTATGTAAAATGCCGAAGCCGTCTCACTAATGTTGCCATCATCTGTCTAGCACCCACAGTCTATTTTCTCGAAGTCTATTTACTTACAAATTGTGTGGAATGACAAAATTGAGAAGCAATAAAATCTGAATCACGGCACAATGAAAAAAATATATGTCACTATTTTGCAACTCCCAGTAAATTAATGGACCTAGGTATTGAGCATCGATAGTGTGAACACCACAAAGGAAAAGCAGCTGGACATTATGCCTCCCCAATGAAGGAACACATCACCACCCAGAGCCTCGCCAAAGAGGTGCAAGCGGAGTCTGATCAAACTTCTAGATCCAGCTGATGTGGGCAGGAAATACAGAGAAAGGAGCACAAGTGGGCACGAGTGGGCAGCCAGCAAAATACAACAGAAACACCACAGTCAAATGGCCCAGGTTCTTCAACAGATAAACTGAAAGGAAAAGAAAGCAGTGAAGGGAGAACCTGTAGATTAACAGAGAGGTAAAAGATATATTTTCAATGGGAGGCTGAGGCGGACGGATCACCTGAGTTCAGGAGTTCGAGATCAGCCTGGCCAACACAGCGAAACCCCATCTCTACTACAAACGCAAAAATCAGCCAGGTGGGGTGGCAGGTGCCTGTAGTCCCAGCTACTGGGGAGGCTGAGGCAGAAGAATTGCTTGAACCTGGGAGGCGGAGGTTGCAGAGAGCCGAGATCGCACCACTGAACTCCAACCTGGGTGACAGAGCGAGACTCCTTCTCAAAAAAAAAAAAAAAGATATATTTTCACCCAGGCAAGACTGAACCAGAGTATCTAGGAATGCCCACTTGGGTGATGAAACACAAGTAAGGGAATGGTTACCGTGTCAGCCAGGCAGTAGTTGCTTTTGCAGGGAGGCAGGAGGCTGTGATGGGGACAGAGAACTCTCTGGTTCTTGCGTTTGGGGTGTTTGCCTTGTAATATTTATAATACTACTTTCAGCTTTACATCTTCTGTATGTTTTTCTGTCTTTATTTTATTTTATAATAAATATATATATATATTTTGAGACAGAGTCTCGCTTTGTCACCCAGGCTGGAATGCAGTGGCGCGATCTTGGCTCACTGCAAGCTCTGCCTCGCCTCCCGGGTTCATGCCATTCTCCCGCCTCAGCCTCCCGAGTACCTGGGACTACATGCGCCCGCCACCACGCCCGGCTAATTTTTTTTTGTATTTTTAGTAGAGACGAGGTTTCACTGTGTTAGCCAGGATGGTCTCGATCTCCTGACCTCATGATCCACCCGCCTCGGCCTCCCAAAGTGCTGGGATTACAGGCGTGAGCCACCGCCCTGGCCTTATTTTAGAATAAAAATATTTTTAAAATAAGACATGTTTAAAAATGTATATATAAATTAATGTATACTTATACAATACATGTCTATTAAAAGAAACTATGTCACATACCACAGTAATATGCATGGCATACTTTGAGTAACATTGACCTTTTCCTATACCTGAGTATCATAGGACATTAGAAGTCACCTTGGCCCAGTTCTCTCTACAGAAACCTCTGTGCCCACCTGGAATGGAAGAACTTCGTGGTGGGGGTAGGGAAGAGTGTGGGAGGAAACTGATGTCTGTGCTGGACAGCTTGAGGATACAAGGCACAGCCAGTGGGCATGGGTAGGGACAGGGCTCCTGTATAAGTACATCCTAAGCCCTGCCCAGCATATGCAGCTGCAACCCAGGAGGCTTCTTCAACCACAGCATTTCCTTGGCCGACCCCTAGGCCCCCTGCAGACCTGTACCAGGCCAGTGGAGATGGCTAGAGAAGCATGACCAGCTGAATGTTCTGAGGCACGTGGCAATCACACCAGCACAGTGTCTTGGAGCCACAAACCCTAACAGCGGTGGTGGAGACGTCCTGAGATACCTGTCCAGCCGTCATTCCCCTTATGGGAGAACTGCACCCCCATCCCAGTAGACTTGCTTGTGCTACACGATCCTGCCCTTCCTGTCACAGCTGACTTGATCAGCAAGGGACATATGCTGGAGGTGGACACCTGTGGTTTGCCGTCCAACATGTATTTCCCCTCCATTCTGCTAAGAGTACCTCAAATTTCTTTTCGGAAGCCTCCCCTCTCTCATGCGGTCAGAGTGGGACAACCCCACCTTCAGTCTGAGATGAGAGTATGCCAACAAATCACCCCTGTCGCCTGGTGTTCGTGGGGAGGTTGGGAGTCCAGACATGTGCCAATCAGCGTATCTCCTTTGGTCTGTGATTGGTTGAGAGATGGGCACTTGACCCAGGCTGGTCCAATCACAGTGAAACTCAGGACTCCTCTAAGGAAGAACGAGAGAGCCCCTCCCCTGCTCCCTCTCTTGTTCTGTGGGGTATGGAGTGAAAATGAAATCTCTAGAATTGCCATAGCCGGTGTTGGGATCTTGATGGAAGGGAGACCCTGAGGATAAAGCCAAAACTCAGAGGCAGGCAGAGCCACGGAACCTGCAGAGAATGGAGCACATTCTCTGATGACTTCCTGAGCCCCTGGGGCCAGTCTAGTCATTCCTCTGGATTTTATTACATGAACCAGTCTTCCTTCCCCTCCTTTTTTATTTAAAATTGAGCCAGTTTGCATTCGGTTTCTGCTCCTTGCAATTAGGTTATGTTAGGAATGTTATGGCTACAAGTAACAGAAAACCCAACTAATGATGATTTAAACAACATGAGTACACTTTTTGCACAAACAAGAAGTCCAAAAGACAATGCCCAGGACTGCTCACATAGCTTAGCAGTATCAAAACCCTGGCACTTTCCATTCTTTCACCCTACCATCCTCAACATATTGGCTTCTTGTCCCTATGGTTGTCACACTGTAATGTCATAGCTGCTGCAGCTCCAGAAATAACATCTGATATTAAGAAACCAAGACCTTTTCCATGAGGCCCCCAGTAGGAACACAGTGATGCCTCCTTTACCAGGACTGAATCACACAGTTGTATGGAGGCTGTAGAATCAAGTATCTGGCAAAAAAATAATAATAATAAGATCATCTTAGACCATCACAGTCAGTCACCTGGGATGGGGCACATTGGTTGGCACCTGAAACAAAACTGGAGTTTTCTTGACAAGAACGAAGGGGCAGGTGACTTTTAAGCAGGCAACCAGGACTGTCTGCCAGTTAGATTCTCTCTCCCAAAAATGTGGAATTGGGACTCAAGGACACTAGTCAGTGGCGCAGTTAAATGCTTCTGACAAGCCCGAGGCGGCGTCCCAGTGACGGCAGCCTGTGCCTGGAGAAGCTGGGAAGGGATCTTCAGAGAGAGAGAGAAGCAGATGGACAGGAAACTGAGAGGGGAGAGTAAATGGCCTCCGAGAGAATGCAAGAGGCAGCAACACTTCAGTTCTGAGGTCCACCACCCCAGTTACTGGTCCCGGCAGTAGGAGGACTGCTGTACACTATGCCTAGGAGTTTCATGGGACACGTCTGTATCCTCCAAATCCTCCTCTCCTCTGCCACTCTGCCACAACTCCTCCCTTACTTTTTTTTCTTACATTAGTTGTAGTGGGTCTTGTCAATGGCAACTAAAAGTGCTTTGAGGCCAGACGCAGTGGCTCACACCTGTAATCCCAGCACTTTGGGAGGCCAAGGCGGGTGGATCACTTAAGGTCAGGAGTTCAAGACCAGCCTGGCCAACATGGTGAAACCCAGTCTCTACTAAAAATACAAAAATTATCTGGGCATGGTGGCAGATGCCTGTAATCCCAGCAACTCAAGAGGCTGAGGCAGGAGAATCGCTTGAACCCAAGAGAATCGCTTGAACCCAGAGGTGGAGGTTGCAGTGACCAAGATCATGCCACTGCATTCCAGTCTGGGTAACAGAGTGAGACTCCATCACACACACACACACACAAAAGGCCAGGTGCGGTGGCTTACGCCTGTAATCTCAGCACTTTGGGAGGCTGAGGTGGGCAGATAACCTGACGTCGGGAGTTCGAGACCAGCCTGACCAACATGGAGAAACCCCGTCTCTACTAAAAATACAAAATTAGCTGGGCACGGTGGCACATGCCTATAATCCCGGCTACTTGGGAGGCTGAGGCAGGAGAATCACTTGAACCCGGCAGAGGTTGCGGTGAGCGGAGATCACACCATTACACTCCAGCCTGGGCAACAAGAGTGAAACTCCATCTCAAAAAAAAAAAAAGTGCTTTGAATAAGACAATGATGTCCTGAGATGCAAGGAGATCTCCAGGATAGGTCCCAGAACTATGGGGAGACCACAGACCCTGACTCTAGCACCCCTGGCAGACAGGAACCCTGAAGCTCAGATCTTCCCCAGCAGGTCTGTGGAGCCATATTTTTCCTGGACAACAAGCTAATGAAGACGACACCAGGCCACATGTGGCTTCAGCTCTGGTGCCTGGCCCCAGCCCCATCAGATCTGGCCAAGAGTCCTAGTTCAAGTCCCAGCTTCAGCACACTCAATTCAAGGCCTTCATGTGCAAATCCACTTGTCTGCTGCCCAGCCCCTTACACCAGTGTAATCAGATAGGGAACCCACAGGGCTGCCTGATTTTCAGCCAGGATACCAGGGTCACCTGACTTCCAGGGGTGTTCACTGTAAGTAACCATGGATTGCAGTACCATTATTAGAATAATAGCAGCTAGCATTTATTTAGTACTTACTATGTGCTATGTACTATACTGATATGGTCAAATTGTGTCCTCCCCCAACCCCTCTACCTCAGAATGTAACCTTATTTGGAGATAGAGTCCTTACAGAGGTGATCAAGTAAAAGTGGGGTCATTAGGGTGGGCCCAGTGATGGGTGTCCAGTCTGATGGGTGTCCTTATAAAATGGGACAATTTGGACACAGAGGAAAGATGAAATGAAGATACAGGGGAAAACCATGTGAACATAAAGACAGCCATCCACAGGCCAGCAAGAGGCCTCCAACGGATCCTTCCCTCCAGCTCTCACAAGGACCCGACCCTCACAACACCCTGATTTTTGACTTCTAATCTCCAGAACCGTGAGACGGTAAGGTTGTTATTTTAAGCCATCCATTTGGTGGTAAAGTAAGTTCTCACTTATCATCAGTGGGTTCTTATAAACTGTGACTTTAAGTGAAACAACGTATAACGAAACCAATTTTACCATAGGCTAACTAATACAAACAAGAGTTAAGTTCCTACAGCATATTTCTGGTCAAAAAAGCACCACCAAACTTCAAAATAAAGACCCCAGGCACTTCTAATATTAAAAATAGAAATAGGCTGGACGCCTTGGCTCATGCCTGTAATCCCAGCACTTTGGGAGGCCAAGGCGTGTGGATCACCTGAGGTCAGGAGTTTGAGACCAGCTTGACCAACATGGTGAAACCCCATCTCTACTAAAAATACAGAATTAGGCCCAGTGCGATGGCTCATGCCTGTTATCCTAGCACTTTGGGAGGCCAAGGCGGACAGACCACCTGAGGTCATGAGTTCAAGACCAGCCTGGCGAACACGGTGAAACGTTGTCTCTACTAAAACTACAAAAATTAGCCAGGAGGACCGGGAGCGGTGGCTCACGCCTGTAATCCCAGCACTCTGGGAGGCCGAGGCAGGTGGATCACGAGGTCAGGAGATGGAGACCATCCTGGCTAACACGGTGAAACCCCGTCTCTACTAAAAATACAAAAAATTAGCTGGGCGTGGTGGCGGGCGCCTACAGTCCCAGCTACTCGGGAGGCTGAGGCAGAAGAATGGCGTGAACCCAGGAGGTGGAGCTTGCAGTGAGCCCAGATTGCGACACAGCACTCCAGCCTGGGTGGCAGAGCGAGACTCCATCTCAAAAAAAAAAAAAATTAGCCAGGAGTGGTGGCACACACCTGTAGTCCCAGCTACTCAGGAGGCTGAGGCAGGAGAATCGTTTGAACTCAGGAGGTGGAGGTTGCAGCGAGCCAAGATCACGCTACTGCACTCCAGCCTGGGCGACAGAGCAAGACTCTGTCTCAAAAAAAAAAGAAAAAAGAAAAGAAAAAGAAAAAAAAAATTAGCCGAGTGTGGTGGTACATACTTGTAATCCCAGATACATACTCGGGAGGCTGAGGCAGGAGAATCACTTGAACCCAGCAAGCAGAAGTTTCAGTGAGCCGAGATTGCACCACTGCACTCCAGCCTGGGCGACAAGAGCGAAACTCTGTCTCAAAAAATAAAATAAATGTGAGCCATACATATCTTTAAGAAAGATTAATAAAAACAAGTAAGACAATCTTCCGGTTTCTGGTGAATCAGTGAGTGATGGTGGTCCTAGTCATGGTGGGTTAAATCAAGGAATAAATGTCTGCAAAGCCAACATTGGAAGGAGCACCATGCAGTTCAGAAACAAATAATCCTGAATGCCGTAGGCTCACTGGGCCCTTTCCTACCGCATCTGTTATGGCAGTGCATCTCTATGATTATTGTAGATTTTATGAATTTTTTTTTGAGATGGAGTCTCGCTCTGTTGCCCAGGCTGAAGTGCGGTGGCATGATCTAGGCGCACCACAACCTCCACCTCCTGGGTTCAAGCGATTCTCCTGCCTCAGCCTCCCAAGTAGCTTGGATTACAGACATGCACCACTACACCCAGATAATTATTGTTTTTACTATAGAGACAAGGTTTCACCGTGTTGGCCAGGCTGGTCTCAAACTCCTGGCCTCAACTGATCCACCCACCTCAGCCTCCCAAAGTGCTGGGATTATAGGTGTCAGCCACTGTGCCCAGCCAATTTTATTAATTTTTATTTTATAATCGTTGCATCCTTTCACTTTCCAACCTGCTGATTATCGTTCAAGGTCTCAGGTGGCTGGCGCCTCTCCCAGCAGCTGAGGACACAGGGCGGGAACCAGCCCTGGACAGGATGCCATCCCATTTCAGGGCCATTCACACACACCCACACTCACTCAGACCGGGGCCATGCAGACACACCCATTCACAGCTTTTGGGGTTTGGGAGGAAAGTGGAGTACCCAGAGAAAACCTATGCAGACATGGGGAGGAATGGATGTTTCTCCCCCTCATCGACATTGTAACACAGTGACACAGAGTGAAGTGACGCCCCTCAAGGACCTGCGTGCTTTGTTATGGCAGCCCTAGCAAACTAAGACATATGCTAAAGTACTTTCATTCATCATCTTATTTAATCTTTAGGATGAATCCTTATATCCTGCAGTACTATTATTATGCCCATTTAACAGATATGTGAGCTGAGGTTTAGAGATATGAAGTAATTTGCCCAAGGTCATGTGGCACATACATGGTAGAGCCCAGATTTGAACTGCTCTTGACCATTCTACCACCCTACTTCCCAAGACAGCGTCTGTCCAGCCAACCCAGAGTAAGCAAATTTTTCTCCTAGCCATGACCCTCCTAAAAAGTCCCCAAATGACGTCTGTGTCAGCCAGACATGGTGGCTCATACCTGTAATCCCCGCACTTTGGGAAGATGAGGTGGGAGGGTCACTTGAGGCAAGGAGTTTGAGACCAGCCTGGGCAACACAGTGAGACCCTGTCTCTTCCCTATCTTATAAACTTATCTAGGCCTGATGGTGCACATAGTCCTAGCTACTCAGGAGGCTGAGGCAGGAGGATCGCTTGAGCCCAGGAGTTTGGGGTTACAATGAGCCATGATCGATACCACTGCATTCCAGCCTGGGCAACAGAGCAGATCACTTGAGCCCAGGAGTTTGGGATTACAGTGAGCCATTGTCACACCACTGCACTCCAGCCTGGGCAACAGAGCAAGACCCTGTCTCAAAAAAAAAAAAAAAAATTAGGAAAAGGAAGTTTGTAAAGAGGAGATATAGTGGGATAAAATGGAGATTTCTCTTCCCATCAGAGCCTTTACTCCACATCATGGGGAGCTGGGCAGGGCCCCAAGGAGGGCTCTCATTGCTGAGTGTGGCAGGCCACAGGGAGGGGACCCAAATGAGGCCAAGTCTGCATTCCACTGTGTCTAAAATTGTGGTGCTTTGGTCACTGGTAAAAGACCCAATGCCGGCCAACTTAAGCAAGAGGAAGATTGGGAGGATCCTGGGGACTCCCAGAATTCATGGCTTGAAATTGAGCAAGAAGCGAGTGTATCCTGGGCTAGGGTGGGGAAGCCTGGGCCACAGCCTAAGTCCAGGGACACGTGGCCACCAAGGTGGTGGCTCTGCATTAGATCTAAGCCCCACAAGAGCTTGTCTAGATGACTGAGCTCTGTGGCCTCCCTGCTCCATGGGGTGGGCCGAGGTGGGTCTGGCTCCTGTCTTCAGGCTTTTGCAGCTGGAATTACTCCCTGCAAGAATATATAGATGGAAGAGAGGTAATCCCTGCAGAGGAAAATGGGGTAATGATAGAAAGAGGAGATGTGGGCCTCAGAGCCTATGGCCACGGGTGGTCACACATACTCCAACGGGAAACCTGGGAGGAGTCCCATCTTTCCTACCTCAACAAGAGAGGAGCCCAGATAACAGCCAGACAGAAAGAAAAACCATCCCAGTGCACACCACAGTGCCGGTCCCCAACTCCAGCCCCAGGCCTTTCTTTTGGGGAGAGGAAGTGAAGTACCCTAAGGCTCATGCCACCTGGTTACACAGGAGAGGAGAGGACAACCAAAAGGCACGAGGTGGAGGCAGGAAGTGGCGACAGGGACTAAGTGAGATCGGCCTGGCTTTCTCCAAAAAGTGCCCCAACTCATGTGCAGAACTTTGACCAAATTTAGTGAGACATCCGCCACTGATTAGTAGCCAAAAAATGTCCAGTGCCATCATCTACCACTGTCAGCCAACTCTACTGCCTTCCTACGATAATTCCACCTGCTTTCCCTGCCGCCCACACACAAATACTTATCTGGACCACCAAGTATCGTCATGACTTGGGAAGGCACTTAGAGGAAGTTGGTGCCACCAGGAGACCAGCAGGCCACCCTCTGGCAAGCCATGGCTCACCCATCCTGGCCAGCAAGCTCCCTTGCCAGAAGCACCCCCAGGGCTGGCGCTCTCCTAGTCACATCTGCAGCTCCCAAACCTCCTGCTGGCTCAAGGACTGGTTTCTGGACCTGCCTGGGTTTCTGCGGCCAGCCGAGCCTTTCTGTGCAGATGCATCTCCTATTTCATCACTCCTGCGGAAGCAGAGGGGCACAGAGAGAACCTGGCTCACTCCTGCTCTGCCACTTGCTGCCGTGTGGCCTCGGGCAGGTTACTTAACATCTTTGAGACGTTGGTGCCTGACACACAGTAATCATTCAACAGAGGCTGATTATGATTTCCTCACACCCAGAGAACACCTGGCACTGCTCGGCAAGAGAACGGGATCTGCTGCTGTTCAGCTTCTTGTAGAATTCACACCAAGCTCCTGCAATCTCAGCACTTTACTGTGGATGCCTTTGAGAATATGATGACTGCTGTGGATCCCTTGTAAAAATACATATAGGGCCAGGCGTGGTAGCTCATGCCTCTCATCCCAGCACTTTGGGAGGCCGAGGTGGGCGGATCACCGGAGGTCAGGAGTTCAAGACCAACCTGGCCAACGTGGTGAAACCCCATCTCTACTAAAAATACAAAAATTAGCCGGGCATGGTGGTGCACACTTGTAATCCCAGCTACTTGGGAGGCTGAGGCAGAAGAGTGGAACCTGGGAGGCGGTGGAGGTTGCAGTGAGCCGAGATCGCACATTGCACTCCAGTCGGGGCAACAAGAGCAAAACTCCATTTCAAAAAAAAAAAACATACAGGGCTGGGCGCAGTGGCTCATACTTGTAATCCCAGCATTTTGGGAGGCCGAGACAGGCAGATCACTTGAGCTCAGGAATTCGAGATCCAGCCTGGGCAACACGGTGAAACCCCATCTCTACAAAAAATTTAAAAAATTAGCTGGGCATGGTGGTGCGCACCTATGGTCCCAGCTACTTGGGAGGCTGGGGTAGGAGGATCACTCTAGCCTAGGAGGTGGAGGTTGCAGTGAGCCGAGATTGTGCCACTGCACTCCAGCCTGGGCAACAGAGTGAAACCCTATCTCAAAAAAAATAAATAAATAAAATATATATGTATATATGTAACATTCTTGAAATGACAAGATGATAAGGACAGAAAAGAGATTAGTGACTGCTAGGGGCAGGGACAGGGAGGGGAGAGAGGAGTGGGTGTAAATATTAATATAAAAGGGTAGCATGAGGGATCTTTGGGGTGATGGAACAGTTCTGTATCTTGATTGTGGTGGGAGTTACACCAATCTATACATGTGATAAAATTGCATAGAACTATACCCACACACATGCACATAAGTGTATGTAAAACTCTCTAAGTCCAAATAAGGCCTGGATCGTACCAATGTCATTTCCTCGTTTACCTATTGTGCTTAAGTAATGTAGATATTACCATTGGGGGTAACTGGTCGAAAGGCACACAGAGCCTTGCTACTATTTTTACAACTTCTTGTGAATCTATAATTATTTCAAGATTAAAAGTTTTTAAAATAAGCTATATAAGTGCATATTTATATATGTACAGTTCTGCATCTGACCCCAGGGGCTTCACATCTCCCTGAGGTTCCTCTGGCTTCCTAGGGTGAAAGGAGGCCCGAGGCTGCATTCTCAGGCCCTTCGCCCACCACAGTCTACATTCCTGCATCACCACCCATGCCCTTTATATTCAGCTGCCTCAGGTCCCCGATAAGATGGAAAACCAGACAGCTCCAAGAGAGAGGGTGGCATACGGGAAAGATGATTCAGCTGCTTTTCTGGAGGGCGGGGTGGACATTTGTACATGCACACACACACTCTCACCGTGCTCTGGGGGGTGGGCGTTTGCGTGCACACACACACACACATACTCTCACCATGCTCTGGCGGGTGGACATTTGCACATACGCACACACACACATACACACACACACTTACCATGCTCTGACAACAGCCGGGGACTCGTGTGGTGCTGCACGGACTGGAGAGGTGCCCTCTATCTAAGCACTCTTGGAGGTCTCCCCTCAGTCAGAATTCCTCCATGGCACTGGGACCACAAGTCTTGACTTTCCCAAGTCTTTTTTTCTTTTTTTTTTGAGATGGAGTCTTGCTCTGTTGCCCAGGCTGGAGTGCAGTAGCATGATCTTGGCTCACTGTAACCTCTGCCTCCCCGGTTCAAGTGATTCTCCTGCCTCAGCATCCTGAGTAGCTGGGATTACATACGCACACCACCACGCCCAGCTAATTTTTATATTTTTAATAGAGATGGGTTTTGCTATGTTGGCCAGGCTGGTCTCGAACTCCTGACCTCAGGTGATCCGTCCGCCTTGGCCTCCCAAAGTGCTGGGATTATAGGCATGAGCCACTGTGCCTGGCCCCAAGTCATCTTCTCATTCCTAGTCCACACCACAGACTTTCAGACAAATAACTCCAATTTGGAGAGAAAATTAACCACCTTGTCTGTGTTCTAAATTCCTCCTGAGTCCATTGATGCCAACACCCCAGGGACCAGGCTCTGCCTTTGCCCAGAACATACCATGAAGCCTAAGGGTCCAGCGTCATTCCTTCAGCACTTTAATGTACTGCTGCCCTCTGCTGGTCATTTCAGGATAGTACTTAGAAATCAGTATTAGGCCGGGCGCGGTGGTTCAAGCCTGTAATCCCAGCACTTTGGAAGACCGAGGAGGGTGGATCACCTGAGGTCAGGAGCTGGAGACCAGCCTGGCCAACATGGTGAAACCCTGTCTCTATTAAAAATACAAAAAATTAGCCGGGCGTGGTGGCGGGCACCTGTAATCCCAGCTACTTGGGAGGCTGAGGCAGGAGAATTGCTTGAACCCAGGAGGCGGAGGTTGCAGTGAGCCAAGGTTGTGCCACTGCACTTCTGCCTGGGTGACAGAGCGAGACTCTGTCTCAGGAAAAAAAAAAAGAAAGAAAGAAAGAAGGAGGGAGGGAGGGAAAGAAAGAAAAGAAAGAGAAAGAGAAAGAGGAAGGAAGGAAGGAAGGAAGGAAGGAAGGAAGGAAGGAAGGAAGGAAAAAGAAAGAAAGAAAGAAAGAAAGAAAGAAAGAAAGAAAGAAAGAAAGAAAGAAAGAAAGAAAGAAAGAGAAAGACAGACAGACAGAAAGAAAGAAAGAAAGAAAGAAAGAAAGAAAGAAAGAAAGAAAGAAAGAAAAGAAAAGAAAAGAAAAGAAAGAAAGAGAAAGAAAGAAAGAAACTGGGCTGCACAACTGGTGAGTGGCGGGTAAGTGAGCATTACTGCCAGAGCTCCACTTGCTGTCAGATCAGTGGTGCATTCCACTCTCATAGGAGTACAAACTCTATTGTAAAACTGTGCCTGTGAGGTTGTGTGCTCCTTATGAGAATCTAATGCCTGATGATCTGGTGGAATAGTTTTATCCCAAATCACCACCTCCCACCCCGTCTGTGGAAAAATTGTTTTCCATGAAACCCAGTCCCTGGTGGCAAAAATCTTGGGGACCACTGCCATAGACAGTTCTTTTGGATAAACATAGAAATGGGACCTTGTGGTCTTAAAGCTTGAAACTTAAACATTTGTTTTCTCTGAGTTCCTTCCTTAGGAAAGGACTAGTAGACCTCTCAAAAAGCATCAAAGAACTGAAACTCACCAGATCATGGCAACCAGACAATGAGATGCCAGACCCCTGATTTTGTTTCCTTACCCCTCCCTAGGTCCTATTTTCCAATACATTGTTACATTTCTTCTCTGCTATGTAAACCCCCAAGTTTAGTTAGTCAGGGAGATGGGTTTGAGACTGATCTGCCATCTCCTCCGCTGCAGCACCGTCTTCCTTGGCAACACTCGTCCTCTCAGTCACTGGCTTTCTGTGCTGCAAGCAGCAGACCTAGCCTGAACCCCTGGTGTTTCAATAACAATCTTAGGGAGGCAGTGCTGTAGAGCAGTTGAGAGCAGAGACCGCTTTCTAGCTGTGTCACCTTGGGCAAGTCATGTCACCTCTAACCTTCAGTTTCCTCATTGTAAAAGAGAGAGAATGATACATGCTTCCAAGGCTTACTGTGAGAACTGAAGGAAGTGATCCATGTAAAGTGTGAAGCATGATACCCTAAACAGAAAAGGCATTCAATGTTAGTTGCTAGTGTGAGAGTGTGTGTACAGTTAAAGAAAAAACTCTTTCTCCACTCACAATACTTCTGACCCAAATGTGTGGGTTTTCTATGCCATAGCAATTTTCCAATTCTTGGTGGAAATCCCAGCTGGGTGTCTTACAACTTAATTCAATTTTGACACTAACTACCTGGAGTTAACACACCTCCTACAGGTTAAGGGTTCAGTCCTACAAAATTGACCCAACTTCAGATGTCAATCACAAGTAGTGGGTCCCCAGGTTATCCACACTCCTACATCTGACCTAGCTACAAACTGGGGGCTTCCATAACCCCCTCATTAGGTTTGATAATTTGATATAACAGCTCACCTGTGAGCTCAGAGAAACACTTTATTATTGCCAGTTTACTAGAAAGGAATTTTTTTTCTTTTAGAGACAGGGTCTTGCTCTGTTGCCCACGCTGGTGTGAAGTGGCATGATCATAGCTCACTGCTGCCTTGAACTCCTGGGCTCCAGCGATCCTCCCACCTGAGCCTCCCACCCAGCAAGTAGCTGGGACTATAGGTGTGCACCACCACACCTGTAGGATATTATAAAGGATATAAATGAACAGCCAGATGAAGAGGTACACAGGGCGAAGTGTGGAGCAGTCCCCAAACAGCATCTTTTGTCTCCGTGGAGCTGGGGTGCTCATCTTCCCAGCATGTGAATGCACTAACCAATCCAGAAGCTCTCTGAACCCCATCAGTTAGGGATTTTATGGAGGTTCATTCCATTACATAGACATGATTGATTAAACCACTGGCCATTGATTAACTCAATACCCAGCCCCTCTCCCCTCCCTGGAGGCAGGGAAGTTGAAAGTTCTGAATCACATAGTTCATTCCTCTGGTGGCCAATCACCATCCAGAGGTGATTAAAGAGCCACTTTATTAGCATCAATTCAGGTATGTTAGCAAGGGGCTTATTATGAATACAAAGATGCTCCTTTCACTGCTATCATTCAGGAAAGCTCAAAGGTTTTAGGAACTCTATGCCACGAACAGGGGATGAAGACTAAATATATATTTCTTACTGTGTCATAATATTAAAACAGCCAAGAGTAATAAGGGGGCTGTGCACCTCACGCAGGTAGGAAAACCTCTAAGAAAATGTGGTGTCGGGAGAGCCCTCCAGCCTGGGTCCCCTGAGGATGTCAATCTAGAGCAGGGTTTCTCACTCTGGGCACTATTTCCATTTTGGAGCAGATTATTCTCTGATGTGGCAGCTGGCCTGTACACTGTAGGGTTTCTAGAGCAGGGTTTCTGGAGCCTGTACACTGTACGGTTTCTAGAGCAGGGTTTCTCACTCTGGGCACTATTTCTATTTTGGAACAGATTATTCTCTGATGTGGCAGCTGGCCTGTACACTGTAGGGTTTCTAGAGCAGGGTTTCTGGAGACTGTACACTGTGGGATTTCTAGAGCAAGGTTTCTGACTCTGGGGCACTATTTCTATTTTGGAGCAGATTATTCTCTGATGTGGTGGCTGGCCTGTACACTGTAGGGTTTCTAGAGCAGGGTTTCTGGAGCCTGTACACTGTAGGATTTCTAGAGCAAGGTTTCTCACTCTGGACACTATTTCTAGTTTGGAGCAGATTATTCTCTGATGTGGCGGCTGGCCTGTACACAGTAGGGTTTCTAGAGCAGGGTTTCTGGAGCCTGTACACTGTAGGATTTCTAGAGCAAGGCTTCTCACTCTGGGCACTATTTCTATTTTGGAGCAGATTATTCTCTGATGTGGTGGCTGGCCTGCACACTGTAGGGTTTCTAGAGCAGGGTTTCTGGAGCCTGTACACTGTAGGATTTCTAGAGCAAGGTTTATCAATCTGGGCACTATTTCAATTTTGGAGCAGATTATTCTCTGATGTGGTGGCTGGCCTGTACACTGTAGGGTTTCTAGAGCACGGTTTCTGGAGCCTGTACACTGTAGGATTTCTAGAGAAAGGTTTCTCACTCTGGGCACTATTTCTATTTTGGAGCAGATTATTCTCTGATGTGGCAGCTGGCCTGTACACTCTAGGCTTTCTAGAGCAGGGTTTCGGGAGCCTGTACACTGTAGGATTTCTAGAGCAGGGTTTCTCACCCTGGGCACTATTTCTAGTTTGGAGCAAATTATTCTCTGATGTGGCGGCTGACGTGTACACTGTAGGGTTTCTAGAGCAGGGTTTCAGGAGCCTGTACACTGTAGGATTTCTAGAGCAGGGTTTCTCACTCTGGGCACAATTTCTATTTTGGAGCAGATTATTCTCTGATGTGGCAGCTGGCCTGTACACTGTAGGGTTTCTAGAGCAGGGTTTCTCACTGTGGGCACTATTTCTATTTTGGAGCAGATTGTTCTCTGACGTGGCGGCTGGCCTGTACACTGTAGGGTTTCTAGAGCAGGGTTTCTCACTCTGGGCACTATTTCTATTTGGAGCAGATTATTCTCTGATGTGGTGGCTGGCCTGTACACTGTAGGGTTTCTAGAGCAGGGTTTCTCACTGTGGGCACTATTTCTATTTTGGAGCAGATTGTTCTCTGACGTGGCGGCTGGCCTGTACACTGTAGGGTTTCTACAGCAGGGTTTCTCACTCTGGGCACTATTTCTATTTGGAGCAGATTATTCTCTGATGTGGCGGCTGGCCTGTACACTGTGGGGTTTCTAGAGAAGGGTTTCTCACTCTGGGCACTATTTCTATTTGGAGCACATTATTCTCTGATGTGGCGGCTGGCCTGTAAACTGTAGGGTTCCTAGAGAAGGGTTTCGGGAGCCTGTACACTGTAGGGTTTCCAGAGCAGAGTTTCTCACTCTGGGCACTATTTCTATTTTGGAGCAGATTATTCTCTGATGTGGCGGCTGGCCTGCACACTGTAGGGTTTCTAGAGCAGGGTTTCTCACTCTGGGCACTATTTCTATTTGGAGCAGATTATTCTCTGATGTGGCGGATGGCCTATACACTGTAGGGTTTCTAAAGCAGGGTTTCTCACTCTGGGCTCTATTTCTATTTAGAGCAGATTATTCTCTGATGTGGCGGCTGGCCTGTACACTGTAGGGTTTCCAGAGCAGGGTTTCTCACTCGGGGCACTATTTCTATTTTGGAGTAGATTATTCTCTGATGTGGCGGCTGGCCTGTACACTGTAGGGTTTCTAGAGCAGGGTTTCTCACTCTGGGCACTATTTCTATATGGAGCAGATCATTCTCTGATGTGGCAGCTGGCCTGTACACTATAGGGTTTCTAGAGCAGGGTTTCTCACTCTGGGCACTATTTCTATTTGGAGCAGGTTATTCTCTCATGTGGCGGCTGACCTGTACACTGTAGGGTTTCTAGAGCAGGGTTTCTCACTCTGGGCACTATTTGTAGTTTGGAGCAGATTATTCCCTGATGTGGCAGCTGGCCTGTACACTGTAGGGTTTCTAGAGCAGGGTTTCTGGAGCCTGTACACTATAGGGTTTCCAGAGCAGACTTTCTCACTCTGGGCACTATTTCTAGTTTGGAGCAGATTATTCTCTGATGTGGTGGCTGACCTGTACACTGTAGGGTTTCTAGAGCAGAGTTTCTCACTCTGGGCACTATTTCTAGTTTGGAGCAGATTATTCTCTGATGTGGCGGCTGGCCTGTACACTGTAGGGTTTCTAGAGCAGGGTTTCTCACTCTGGACACTATTTCCATTTGGAGCAGATTATTCTCTCATGTGGCGGCTGGCCTGTACACTGTAGGGTTTCTAGAGCAGGGTTTCTCACTCTGGGCACTATTTCTCTTTGGAGCCGATTATTCTCTGATGTGGCGGCTGGCCTGTACACTGTAGGGTTTCTAGAGCAGGGTTTCTCACGCTGGGCACTATTTCTCTTTGGAGCACATTATTCTCTGATGTGGCGGCTGGCCTGTACACTGTAGGGTTTCTAGAGCAGGGTTTCTCACTCTGGGCACTATTTCTAGTTTGCAGCAGATCATTCTCTGATGTGGCGGCTGGCTTGTACACTGTAGCGTTTCTAGAGCAGGGTTTCTCACTCTGGACACTATTTCTATTTGGAGCAGATTATTCTCTGATGTGGCGACTGGCCTGTACACTCTAGGGTTTCTAGAGCAGTGTATCTCACACTGGGCACTATTTGTATTTGGGGCAGATTATTCTCTGATGTGGCGGCTGGCCTGTACACTATAGGGTTTCTAGAGCAGGGTTTCTCACTCTGAGCACTATTTCTATTTGGAGCACATTATTCTCTGATGTGGCGGCTGGCCTGTACACTGTAGGGTTTCTAGAGCAGGGTTTCTCACTCTGGGCACTATTTCCATTTGGAGCAGATTATTCTCTGATGTGGCGGCTGTCCTGTACAATGTAGGGCTTCTAGAGAAGGGTATCTCACTCTGGGCACTACTTCTATTTGGAGCACATTATTCTCTGATATGGCGACTGGCCTGTATACTGCAGGGTTTCTAGAGCAGGGTTTCTCACTCTGGACACTATTTCTATTTGGAGCAGATTATTCTCTGATGTGGCGGCTGGCCTGTACACTGTAGGGTTTCCAGAGCAGAGTTTCTCACTCTGGGCACTATTTCTGTTTTGGAGCAGATTATTCTCTGATGTGGCGGCTGGCCTGTACACTGTAGGGTTTCTAGAGCAGGGTTTCTGGAGCCTGTACACTGTAGGGTTTCTAGAGCAGGGTTTCCCACTCTGGGCACTATTTCTATTTGGACCAGATTATTCTCTGATGTGGCGGCTGCCCTGTACACTGTAGGGTTTCTAGAATACGGTTTCTCACTCTGGGCACTATTTCTATTTGGAGCAGATTATTCTCTGATGTGGCGGCTGGCCTGTACACTGTAGGGTTTCTAGAGCAGGGTTTCTCACTCTGGGCACTATTTCTATTTGGAGCAGATTATTCTCTGATGTGGTGGCTGACCTGTACACTGTAGGGTTTCTAGAGCAGAGTTTCTCACTCTGGGCACTATTTCTAGTTTGGAGCAGATTATTCTCTGATGTGGCGGCTGGCCTGTACACTGTAGGGTTTCTAGAGCAGGGTTTCTCACTCTGGACACTATTTCCATTTGGAGCAGATTATTCTCTCATGTGGCGGCTGGCCTGTACACCGTAGGGTTTCTAGAGCAGGGTTTCTCACTCTGGGCACTATTTCTCTTTGGAGCCGATTATTCTCTGATGTGGCGGCTGGCCTGTACACTGTAGGGTTTCTAGAGCAGGGTTTCTCACGCTGGGCACTATTTCTCTTTGGAGCACATTATTCTCTGATGTGGCGGCTGGCCTGTACACTGTAGGGTTTCTAGAGCAGGGTTTCTCACTCTGGGCACTATTTCTAGTTTGCAGCAGATCATTCTCTGATGTGGCGGCTGGCTTGTACAGTGTAGCGTTTCTAGAGCAGGGTTTCTCACTATGGACACTATTTCTATTTGGAGCAGATTATTCTCTGATGTGGCGACTGGCCTGTACACTCTAGGGTTTCTAGAGCAGTGTATCTCACACTGGGCACTATTTGTATTTGGGGCAGATTATTCTCTGATGTGGCGGCTGGCCTGTACACTGTAGGGTTTCTAGAGCAGGGTTTCTCACTCTGAGCACTATTTCTATTTGGAGCACATTATTCTCTGATGTGGCGGCTGGCCTGTACACTGTAGGGTTTCTAGAGCAGGGTTTCTCACTCTGGGCACTATTTCCATTTGGAGCAGAAATTATTCTCTGTATGTGGCGGCTGGCCTGTACACTGTAGGGTTTTCTAGATGCAGGGTTTCTCACTCTGGGCACTATTTCTATTTGGAGCAGATTATTCTCTGATGTGGCGGCTGGCCTGTACACTGTAGGGTTTCTAGAGCAGGGTTTCTCACTCTGGGCACTATTTCTATTTGGAGCAGATTATTCTCTGATGTGGCGGCTGGCCTGTACACTGCAAGGTTTCTAGAGCAAGGTTTCTCACTCTGGGCACTATTTGTAGTTTGGAGCAGATTATTCTCTGATGTTGCGGCTGGCCTGTACACTGTAGGGTTTCTAGAGCAGGGTTTCTCACTCTGGGCACTCTTTCTATTTGGAGCAGATGATTTTTCTGATATGGCGGCTGGACTGTACACTGTAAGGTTTCTAGAGCAGGGTTTCTCACTCTGGACACTATTTCTATTTGTAGCAGATTATTCTCTGATGTGGCGGCTGGCCTGTACACTGTAGGGTTTCTAGAGCAGGGTTTCTCACTCTGGGCACTATTTCTATTTGGAGCTGATTATTCTCTGATGTGGCGTCTGGCCTGTATACTGTAGGGTTTCTAGAGCAGGGTTTCTCACTCTGGGCACTATTTCTATTTGGAGCTGATTATTCTCTGATGTGGCGTCTGGCCTGTATACTGTAGGGTTTCTAGAGCAGGGTTTCTCACTCTGGGCACTATTTCTATTTGGAGCAGATTATTCTCTGATGTGGGGGGTGGCCTGTACACTGTAGGGTTTCTAGAGCAGGGTTTCTAACTCTGGGCACTATTTCTAGTTTGGAGCAGATTATTCTCTGATGTGGCGGCTGGCCTGTACACTCTAGGGTTTCTAGAGCAGGGTTTCTTACTCTGAACACTATTTCTATTTGGAGCAGATTATTCTCTGATGTGGCGGCTGGCCTGTACACTGTAGGTTTTCTAGAGCAGGGTTTCTCACTCTGGGCACTATTTCTAATTTGGAGCAGATTATTCTCTGATTTGGCGGCTCGCCTGTACACTGTAGGATTTCTAGAGCAGGGTTTCTGGAGCCTGTACACTGTAGGATTTCTAGAGGAAGGCTTCTCACTCTGGGCACTATTTCTATTTTGCAGCCGATTATTCTCTGATGTGGCGGCTGGCCTGTACACTGTAGGGTTTCTAGAGCAGGGTTTCTGGAGCCTGTACACTGTAGGATTTCTAGAGCAAGGCTTCTCACTCTGGGCACTGTTTCTATTTGGAGCAGATTATTCTCTGATGTGGCGGCTGGCCTGTACACTCTAGGGTTTCTAGAGCAGGGTTTCTCACTGTGGGCACTATTTCTATTTTGGAGCAGATTGTTCTCTGATGTGGCGGCTGGCCTGTACACTGTAGGGTTTCTAGAGCAGGGTTTCTGGAGCCTGTACACTGTAGGATTTCTAGAGCAAGGCTTCTCACTCTGGGCACTATTTCTATTTGGAGCAGATTATTCTCTGATGTGGCGGCTGGCCTGTACACTGTAGGGTTTCTAGAGCAGGGTTTCTCACTCTGGGCACTATTTCTATTTGGAGCAGATTATTCTCTGATGTGGCGGCTGGCCTGTACACTGTAGGGTTTCTAGAGCAGGGTTTCTCACTCTGGGCACTATTTCTATTTGGAGCAGATTATTCTCTGATGTGGCGGCTGGCCTGTACACTGCAAGGTTTCTAGAGCAAGGTTTCTCACTCTGGGCACTATTTGTAGTTTGGAGCAGATTATTCTCTGATGTTGCGGCTGGCCTGTACACTGTAGGGTTTCTAGAGCAGGGTTTCTCACTCTGGGCACTCTTTCTATTTGGAGCAGATTATTTTTCTGATATGGCGGCTGGACTGTACACTGTAAGGTTTCTAGAGCAGGGTTTCTCACTCTGGACACTATTTCTATTTGGAGCAGATTATTCTCTGATGTGGCGGCTGGCCTGTACACTGTAGGGTTTCTAGAGCAGGGTTTCTCACTCTGGGCACTATTTCTATTTGGAGCTGATTATTCTCTGATGTGGCGTCTGGCCTGTATACTGTAGGGTTTCTAGAGCAGGGTTTCTCACTCTGGGCACTATTTCTATTTGGAGCAGATTATTCTCTGATGTGGGGGGTGGCCTGTACACTGTAGGGTTTCTAGAGCAGGGTTTCTAACTCTGGGCACTATTTCTAGTTTGGAGCAGATTATTCTCTGATGTGGCGGCTGGCCTGTACACTGTAGGGTTTCTAGAGCAGGGTTTCTTACTCTGAACACTATTTCTATTTGGAGCAGATTATTCTCTGATGTGGCGGCTGGCCTGTACACTGTAGGTTTTCTAGAGCAGGGTTTCTCACTCTGGGCACTATTTCTAATTTGGAGCAGATTATTCTCTGATGTGGCGGCTCGCCTGTACACTGTAGGATTTCTAGAGCAGGGTTTCTGGAGCCTGTACACTGTAGGATTTCTAGAGGAAGGCTTCTCACTCTGGGCACTATTTCTATTTTGGAGCCGATTATTCTCTGATGTGGCGGCTGGCCTGTACACTGTAGGGTTTCTAGAGCAGGGTTTCTGGAGCCTGTACACTGTAGGATTTCTAGAGCAAGGCTTCTCACTCTGGGCACTGTTTCTATTTGGAGCAGATTATTCTCTGATGTGGCGGCTGGCCTGTACACTGTAGGGTTTCTAGAGCAGGGTTTCTCACTCTGGGCACTATTTCTATTTTGGAGCAGATTGTTCTTTGATGTGGCGGCTGGCCTGTACACTGTAGGGTTTCTAGAGCAGGGTTTCTGGAGCCTGTACACTGTAGGATTTCTAGAGCAAGGCTTCTCACTCTGGGCACTATTTCTATTTGGAGCAGATTATTCTCTGATGTGGCGGCTGGCCTTTACACTGTAGGGTTTCTAGAGCAGGGTTTCTCACTCTGGGCACTATTTCTATTTTGGAGCAGATTATTCTCTGATGTGGCGGCTGGCCTGTACACTGTAGGATTTCTAGAGCAGGATTTCTCACTCTGGGCACTATTTCTATTTGGAGCAGATTATCTCTGATGTGGCGGCTGGCCTGTACACTGTAGGCTTTCTAGAGCAGGGTTTCTCACTCTGGGCATTATTTCTATTTTGGAGCAGATTATTCTCTGATGTGGCGGCTGGCCTGTACACTGTAGGGTTTCTAGAGCAGGGTTTCTCACTCTGGCCACTATTTCTATTTGGAGCAGATTATTCTCTGATGTGGCGGCTGACCTGTACACTGTAGGGTTTCTACAGCAGGGTTTCTCACTCTGGGCACTATTTCTATTTGGAGCAGATTATTCTCTGATGTGGCGGCCGGTCTGTACACTGTAGGGTTTCTAGAGCAGGGTTTCTCACACTGGGCACTATTTCTAGTTTGGAGCAGATTATTCTCTGATGTGGCGGCTGGCCTGTACACTGTAGGGTTTCTAGAGCAGGGTTTCTCACTCTGGGCACTATTTCTATTTGGAGCAGATTATTCTCTGATGTGGCGGCTGGCCTGTACACTGTAGGGTTTCTAGAGCAGGGTTTCTCACTCTGGGCACTATTTCTATTTGGAGCAGATTATTCTCTGATGTGGCGGCTGGCCTGTACACTGCAAGGTTTCTAGAGCAAGGTTTCTCACTCTGGGCACTATTTGTAGTTTGGAGCAGATTATTCTCTGATATTGCGGCTGGCCTGTACACTGTAGGGTTTCTAGAGCAGGGTTTCTCACTCTGGGCACTCTTTCTATTTGGAGCAGATTATTTTTCTGATATGGCGGCTGGGCTGTACACTGTAAGGTTTCTAGAGCAGGGTTTCTCACTCTGGACACTATTTCTATTTGGAGCAGATTATTCTCTGATGTGGCGACTGGCCTGTACACTGTAGGGTTTCTAGAGCAGTGTATCTCACACTGGGCACTATTTGTATTTGGAGCAGATTATTCTCTGATGTGGCGGCTGGCCTGTACACTGTAGGGTTTCTAGAGCAGGGTTTCTCACTCTGAGCACTATTTCTATTTGGAGCACATTATTCTCTGATGTGGCGGCTGGCCTGTACACTGTAGGGTTTCTAGAGCAGGGTTTCTCACTCTGGGCACTATTTCCATTTGGAGCAGATTATTCTCTGATGTGGCGGCTGGCCTGTACACTGTAGGGTTTCTAGAATACGGTTTCTCACTCTGGACACTATTTCTATTTGGAGCAGATTATTCTCTGATGTGGCGGCTGGCCTATACACTGTAGGGTTTCTAGAGCAGGGTTTCTCATTCTGGGCACTATTTCTAGTTTGGAGCAGATTATTCTCTGATGTGGCGGCTGGCCTGTAAACTTTAGGGTTTCTAGAGCAGGGTTTCTCAGTCTGGGCACTATTTCTAGTTTGGAGCAGATTATTCTCTGATGTGGCGCCTGGCCTGTACACTTTAGGGTTTCTAGAGCAGGGTTTCTGGAGCCTGTACACTGTAGGGTTTCTAGAGGAGGGTTTGTCACTCTGGGCACTATTTCTATTTTGGAGCAGATTATTCTCTGATGTGGCGGCTGGCCTGTACACTGTAGGGTTTCCAGAGCAGTGTTTCTCACTCTGGGCACTATTTCTATTTGGAGCACATTATTCTCTGATGTGGCGGCTAGCCTGTACACTGTCGGGTTTCTAGAGCAGGGTTTCTCACTCTGGGCACTATTTCTAGTTTGGAGCAGATTATTCTCTGATGTGGCGGCTGGCCTGTACACTGTAGGGTTTCTAGAGCAGCGTTTCTCACTCTGAGCACTATTTCTATTTGGAGCAGATTATTCTCTGATGTGGCGGCTGGCCTGTACACTGTAGGGTTTCTAGAGCAAGGTTTCTCACCCTGGGCATTATTTCTATTTGGAGCAGATTATTCTCTGACGTGGTGGCTGGCCTGTACACTGTAGGGTTTCTAGAGCAGGGTTTCTCACTCTGGGCACTATTTCTATTTGGAGCAGATTATTCTCTGATGTGGCGGCTGGCCTGTACAATGTAGGGTTTCTAGAGCAGGGTTTCTGGAGCCTGTACACTATAGGGTTTCCAGAGCAGAGTTTCTAACTCTGGGCACTATTTCTAGTTTGGAGCAGATTATTCTCTGATGTGGTGGCTGACCTGTACACTGTAGGGTTTCTAGAGCAGAGTTTCTCACTCTGGGCACTATTTCTAGTTTGGAGCAGATTATTCTCTGATGTGGCGGCTGGCCTGTACACTGTAGGGTTTCTAGAGCAGGGTTTCTCACTCTGAGCACTATTTCTATTTGGAGCAGATTATTCTCTGATGTGGCGGCTGGCCTGTACACTGTAGGGTTTCTAGACCAGGGTTTCTCACTCTGGGCACTATTTCTATTTGGAGCAGATTATTCTCTGATGTGGCGGCTGGCCTGTACACTGCAGGGTTTCTAGAATACGGTTTCTCACTCTGGGCACTATTTCTATTTGGAGCAGATTATTCTCTGATGTGGCGGCTGGCCTATACACTGTAGGGTTTCTAGAGCAGGGTTTCTCACTCTGGGCACTATTTCTAGTTTGGAGCAGATTATTCTCTGATGTGGCGGCTGGCCTGTACACTTTAGGGTTTCTAGAGCAGGGTTTCTGGAGCCTGTACACTGTAGGGTTTCTAGAGGAGGGTTTGTCACTCTGGGCACTATTTCTATTTTAGAGCAGATTATTCTCTGATGTGCCGGCTGGCCTGTACACTGTACGGTTTCTAGAGCAGGGTTTCTCACTCTGGGCACTATTTCTATTTGGAGCAGATTATTCTCTGATGTGGCGGCTGGCCTGTACAATGTAGGGCTTCTAGAGAAGGGTATCTCACTCTGGGCACTACTTCTATTTGGAGCACATTATTCTCTGATATGGCGACTGGCCTGTATACTGCAGGGTTTCTAGAGCAGGGTTTCTCACTCTGGACACTATTTCTATTTGGAGCAGATTATTCTCTGATGTGGCGGCTGGCCTGTACACTGTAGGGTTTCCAGAGCGGAGTTTCTCACTCTGGGCACTATTTCTGTTTTGGAGCAGATTATTCTCTGATGTGGCGGCTGGCCTGTACACTGTAGGGTTTCTAGAGCAGGGTTTCTGGAGCCTGTACACTGTAGGGTTTCTAGAGGAGGGTTTCTCACTCTGGGCACTATTTGTATTTTGGAGCAGATTATTCTCTGATGTGGCGGCTGGCCTGTACACTGTACGGTTTCTAGAGCAGGGTTTCTCACTCTGGGCACTATTTCTATTTTGGAGTAGATTATTCTCTGATGTGGCGGCTGGCCTGTACACTGTGGGGTTTCTAGAGCAGGGTTTCTCACTCTTGGCACTATTTCTATTTGGAGCAGTTTACTCTCTGATGTGGCGGCTGGCCTGTACACTGCAAGGTTTCTAGAGCAGGGTTTCTCACACTGGGCACTATTTGTATTTGGAGCAGATTATTCTATGATGTGGCGGCTGGCCTGTACACTGCAGGGTTTCTAGAGCAGGGTTTCTCACTTTGGGCACTATTTCTAGTTTGGAGCAGATTATTCTCTGATGTGGCGGCTGGTCTGTACACTGTAGGGTTTCTAGAGCAGGGTTTCTCACTCTGAGCACTATTTCTATTTGGAGCAGATTATTCTCTGATGTGGCGGCTGGCCTGTACACTGTAGGGTTTCTAGGGCAGGGATTCTCACTCTGGGCACTATTTCTATTTGGACCAGATTATTCTCTGATGTGGCGGCTGGCCTGTACACTGTAGGGTTTCTAGAATACGGTTTCTCACTCTGGGCACTATTCCTATTTGGAGCAGATTATTCTCTGATGTGGCGGCTGGCCTGTGCACTGTAGGGTTTCTAGAGCAGGGTTTCTCACTCTGGGCACTATTTCTATTTGGAGCAGATTATTCTCTGATGTGGCGGCTGGCCTGTACACTGTAAGGTTTCTAGAGCAGGGTCTCTCACTCTGGGCACTATTTCCATTTGGAGCAGATTATTCTCTGATGTGGCGGCTGTCCTGTACAATGTAGGGCTTCTAGAGAAGGGTATCTCACTCTGGGCACTACTTCTATTTGGAGCACATTATTCTCTGATATGGCGACTGGCCTGTATACTGCAGGGTTTCTAGAGCAGGGTTTCTCACTCTGGACACTATTTCTATTTGGAGCAGATTATTCTCTGATGTGGCGGCTGGCCTGTACACTGTAGGGTTTCCAGAGCAGAGTTTCTCACTCTGGGCACTATTTCTGTTTTGGAGCAGATTATTCTCTGATGTGGCGGCTGGCCTGTACACTGTAGGGTTTCTAGAGCAGGGTTTCTGGAGCCTGTACACTGTAGGGTTTCTAGAGCAGGGTTTCTCACTCTGGGCACTATTTCTATTTGGACCAGATTATTCTCTGATGTGGCGGCTGCCCTGTACACTGTAGGGTTTCTAGAATACGGTTTCTCACTCTGGGCACTATTTCTATTTGGAGCAGATTATTCTCTGATGTGGCGGCTGGCCTGTACACTGTAGGGTTTCTAGAGCAGGGTTTCTCACTCTGGGCACTATTTCTATTTGGAGCAGATTATTCTCTGATGTGGCGGCTGGCCTGTACACTGTAAGGTTTCTAGAGCAGGGTATCTCACTCTGGGCACTATTTCTATTTGGAGCAGATTATTCTCTGATGTGGCGGCTGGCCTGTATACTGTAGGGTTTCTAGAGAAGGGTTTCTCACTCTGGGCACTATTTCTATTTGGAGCAGATTATTCTCTGATGTGGTGGCTGGCGTGTACACTGTAGGGTTTCTAGAGCAGGGTTTCTCACTCTGGGCACTATTTCCATTTGGAGCACATTCTTCTCTGATGTGGCGGCTGGCCTGTACACTGTAGGGTTTCTAGGGCAGGGTTTCTCTCTCTGGGCACTATTTCTACTTTGGAGCAGATTATTCTCTGATGTGGCGGCTGGCCTGTACACTTTAGGGTTTCTAGAGCAGGGTTTCTGGAGCCTGTACACTGTAGGGTTTCTAGAGGAGGGTTTGTCACTCTGGGCACTATTTCTACTTTGGAGCAGATTATTCTCTGATGTGGCGGCTGGCCTGTACACTGTACGGTTTCTAGAGCAGGGTTTCTCACTCTGGGCACTATTTCTATTTGGAGCAGATTATTCTCTGATGTGGCGGCTGGCCTGTACAATGTAGGGCTTCTAGAGAAGGGTATCTCACTCTGGGCACTACTTCTATTTGGAGCACATTATTCTCTGATATGGCGACTGGCCTGTATACTGCAGGGTTTCTAGAGCAGGGTTTCTCACTCTGGACACTATTTCTATTTGTAGCAGATTATTCTCTGATGTGGCGGCTGGCCTGTACACTGTAGGGTTTCCAGAGCAGAGTTTCTCACTCTGGGCACTATTTCTGTTTTGGAGCAGATTATTCTCTGATGTGGCGGCTGGCCTGTACACTGTAGGGTTTCTAGAGCAGGGTTTCTGGAGCCTGTACACTGTAGGGTTCCTAGAGGAGGGTTTCTCACTCTGGGCACTATTTGTATTTTGGAGCAGATTATTCTCTGATGTGGCGGCTGGCCTGTACACTGTACGGTTTCTAGAGCAGGGTTTCTCACTCTGGGCACTATTTCTATTTGGAGTAGATTATTCTCTGATGTGGCGGCTGGCCTGTACACTGTAGGGTTTCTAGAGCAGGGTTTCTCACTCTGGGCACTATTTCTATTTCGAGCAGATGATTCTCTGATGTGGCGGCTGGCCTGTACACTATAGGGTTTCTAGAGCAGGGTTTCTCACTCTGGGCACTATTTGTAGTTTGGAGCAGATTATTCTCTGATGTGGCGGCTGGCCTGTACACTGTAGGGTTTCTAGAGCAGGGTTTCTGGAGCCTGTACACTGTAGGGTTTCCAGAGCAGAGTTTCTCACTCTGGGCACTATTTCTAGTTTGGAGCAGATTATTCTCTGATGTGGCGGCTGGCCTGTACACTGTAGGGTTTGTAGAGCAGGGTTTCTCACTCTGGGCACTATTTCTATTTTGGAGCAGATTGTTCTCTTACGTGGCGGCTGGCCTGTACACTGTAGGGTTTCTAGAGCAGGGTTTCTCACTCTGGGCACTATTTCTATTTGGAGCAGATTATTCTCTGATGTGGCGGCTGGCCTGTACACTGTAGGGTTTCTAGAGCAGGGTTTCTCACTGTGGGCACTATTTCTATTTTGGAGCAGATTGTTCTCTGACGTGGCGGCTGGCCTGTACACTGTAGGGTTTCTAGAGCAGGGTTTCTCACTCTGGGCACTATTTCTATTTGGAGCATTATTCTCTGATGTGGCGGCTGGCCTGTACACTGTGGGGTTTCTAGAGAAGGGTTTCTCACTGTGGGCACTATTTCTATGTGGAGCACATTATTCTCTGATGTGGCGGCTGGCCTGTAAACTGTAGGGTTCCTAGAGAAGGGTTTCGGGAGCCTGTACACTGTAGGGTTTCCAGAGCAGAGTTTCTCACTCTGGGCACTATTTCTATTTTGGAGCAGATTATTCTCTGATGTGGCGGCTGGCCTGCACACTGTAGGGTTTCTAGAGCAGGGTTTCTCACTCTGGGCACTATTTCTATTTGGAGCAGATTATTCTCTGATGTGGCAGCTGGCCTGTACACTGTAGGGTTTCTACAGCAGGGTTTCTCACTCTGGGCACTATTTCTATTTGGAGCAGATTATTCTCTGATGTGGCGGATGGCCTATACACTGTAGGGTTTCTAAAGCAGGGTTTCTCACTCTGGGCTCTATTTCTATTTAGAGCAGATTATTCTCTGATGTGGCGGCTGGCCTGTACACTGTAGGGTTTCCAGAGCAGGGTTTCTCACTCGGGGCACTATTTCTATTTTGGAGTAGATTATTCTCTGATGTGGCGGCTGGCCTGTACACTGTAGGGTTTCTAGAGCAGGGTTTCTCACTCTGGGCACTATTTCTATATGGAGCAGATCATTCTCTGATGTGGCGGCTGGCCTGTACACTATAGGGTTTCTAGAGCAGGGTTTCTCACTCTGGGCACTATTTCTGTTTGGAGCAGGTTATTCTCTCATGTGGCGGCTGACCTGTACACTGTAGGGTTTCTAGAGCAGGGTTTCTCACTCTGGGCACTATTTGTAGTTTGGAGCAGATTATTCTCTGATGTGGCGGCTGGCCTGTACACTGTAGGGTTTCTAGAGCAGGGTTTCTGGAGCCTGTACACTATAGGGTTTCCAGAGCAGAGTTTCTCACTCTGGGCACTATTTCTAGTTTGGAGCAGATTATTCTCTGATGTGGTGGCTGACCTGTACACTGTAGGGTTTCTAGAGCAGAGTTTCTCACTCTGGGCACTATTTCTAGTTTGGAGCAGATTATTCTCTGATGTGGCGGCTGGCCTGTACACTGTAGGGTTTCTAGAGCAGGGTTTCTCACTCTGGACACTATTTCCATTTGGAGCAGATTATTCTCTCATGTGGCGGCTGGCCTGTACACCGTAGGGTTTCTAGAGCAGGGTTTCTCACTCTGGGCACTATTTCTCTTTGGAGCAGATTATTCTCTGATGTGGCGGCTGGCCTGTACACTGTAGGGTTTCTAGAGCAGGGTTTCTCACGCTGGGCACTATTTCTCTTTGGAGCACATTATTCTGTGATGTGGCGGCTGGCCTGTACACTGTAGGGTTTCCAGAGCAGGGTTTCTCACTCTGGGCATTATTTCTAGTTTGGAGCAGATCATTCTCTGATGTGGCGGCTGGCTTGTACACTGTAGCGTTTCTAGAGCAGGGTTTCTCACTCTGGACACTATTTCTATTTGGAGCAGATTATTCTCTGATGTGGCGACTGAGCCTGTACACTGTAGGGTTTCTAGAGCAGTGTATCTCACACTGGGCACTATTTGTATTTGGAGCAGATTATTCTCTGATGTGGCGGCTGGCTCGTACACTGTAGGGTTTCTAGAGCAGGGTTTCTCACTCTGAGCACTATTTCTATTTGGAGCAGACTATTCTCTGATGTGGCGGCTGGCCTGTACACTGTAGGGTTTCTAGAGCAGGGTTTCTCACTCTGGGCACTATTTCTATTTGGAGCAGATTATTCTCTGATGTGGCGGCGGGCCTGTACACTGTAGGGTTTCTAGAATACGGTTTCTCACTCTGGGCACTATTTCTATTTGGAGCAGATTATTCTCTGATGTGGCGGATGGCCTGTACACTGTAGGGTTTCTAGAGCAGGGTTTCTCACTCTGGGCACTATTTCTAGTTTGGAGCAGATTATTCTCTGATGTGGCGGTTGGCCTGTACACTGTAGGTTTTCTAGAGCAGGGTTTCTGGAGCCTGTACACTGTAGGGTTTCTAGAGGAGGGTTTCTCACTCTGGGCACTATTTGTATTTTGGAGCAGATTATTCTCTGATGTGGCGGCTGGCCTGTACACTGTAGGGTTTCTACAGCAGGGTTTCTGGAGCCTGTACACTGTAGGGTTTCTAGAGCAGGGTTTGTCACTCTGGCCACTATTTCTATTTGGAGCAGATTATTCTCTGATGTGGCGGCTGGCCTGTACACTGCAGAGTTTCTAGAGCAGGGTTTCTCACTCTGGGCACTATTTCTATTTGGAGCAGATTGTTCTCTGATGTGGCGGCTGGCCTGTACACTGTAGGCTTTCTAGAGCAGGGTTTCTCGCTCTGGCCACTATTCCTATTTGGAGCAGATTATTCTCTCATGTGGCGGCTGGCCTGTACACTATAGGGTTTCTAGAGCAGGGTTTCTCACTCTGGGCACTATTTCTCGTTTAGAGCAGATTATTCTCTGATGTGGAGGCTGGCCTGTACACTGTAGGGTTTCTAGAGCAGGGTTTCTCACTCTGGGAACTATTTCTATTCGGAGCAGATTATTCTCTGATGTGTCGGCTGGCCTGTACACTGTAGGCTTTCTAGAGCAGGGTTTCTCACTCTGGGCACTATTTCCAGTTTGGAGCAGATTATTGTCTGATGTAGCGGCTGGCCTCTACACTGTAGGCTTTCTAGAGCATGGTTTCTCGCTGTGGCCACTATTTCTATTTGGAGCAGATTATTCTCTGATGTGGCGGCTGGCCTGTACACTGTAGGGTTTCTAGAGCAGGGTTTCTCACTCTGGGCACTATTTCTATTTGGAGCAGATTACTCTCTGATGTGGTGGCTGGCCTGTACACTATAGGGTTTCTAGAGCAGGGTTTCTCACTCTGGGCACTATTTCTCGTTTGGAGCAGATTATTCTCTGATGTGGCGGCTGGCCTGTACACTGTAGTGTTTCTAGAGCAGGGTTTCTGGAGCCTGTACACTGTAGGGTTTCTAGAGCAGGGTTTCTCACTCTGGGCACTATTTCTATTTGGAGCAGATTATTCTCTGATGTGGCGGCTGGCCTGTACACTGCAAGGTTTCTAGAGCAGGGTTTCTCACTCTGGGCACTATTTGTATTTGGAGCAGATTATTCTCTGATGTGGCGGCTGGCCTGTACACTGTAGGGTTTCTAGAGCAGGGTTTCTCACTCTGGGCACTATTTCTATTTGGAGCAGATTATTCTCTGATGTGGCGGCTGGCCTGTATACTGTAGGGTTTCTAGAGCAGCGTTTCTGGAGCCTGTGCACTGTAGGGTTTCTAGAGCATGGTTTCTCACTCTGCGCACTATTTCTATTTTGGAGCAGATTATTCTCTGATGTGGCGGCTGGACTGTACACTGTAGGGTTTCTAGAGCAGGGTTTCTCACTCTGGGCACTATTTCTATTTGGAGCAGATTATTCTCTGATGTGGTGGCTGGCCTGTACACTGTAGGGTTTCTAGAGCAGGGTTTCTCACTCTGGGCGCTATTTCTATTTGGAGCAGATTATTCTCTGATGTGGCGGCTGGTCTGTACACTGTAGGGTTTCTAGAGCAGGGTTTCTCACTCTGGGCACTATTTCTATTTGGAGCTGATTGTTCTCTGATGTGGCGGCTGGCCTGTACACTGTAGGGTTTCTACAGCAGGGTTTTTCACTCTGGGCACTATTTGTATTTGGAGCAGGTTATTCTCTGATGTGGCTTCTGGCCTGTACACTGTAGGGTTTCTAGGGCAGGGTTACTCACTCTGGGCACTATTTCTATTTGGAGCAGATTATTCTCTCATGTGGTGGCTGGCCTGTACACTATAGGGTTTCTAGAGCAGGGTTTCTCACTCTGGGCACTATTTCTAGTTTGGAGCAGATTATTCTCTGATGTGGCGGCTGGCCTGTACACTGTAGGGTTTCTAGAGTAGGTTTTCTGGAGCCTGTATACTGTAGGGTTCCTAGAGCAGGTTTTCTCACTCTGGGCACTATTTCTAGTTTGGATCAGATTATTCTCTGATGTGGCATCTGGCCTGTACACTGTAGGGTTTCTAGAGCAGGGTTTCTCACTCTCGGCACTATTTCTATTTGGAGCAGATTATTCTATCATGTGGCGGCTGACCTGTACACTGTAGGGTTTCTAGACCAGGGTTTCTGGAGCGTATACACTGTAGGGTTTCTAGAGCAGGGTTTCTCACTCTGGGCACTATTTCTATTTGGAGCAGATTATTCTCTCATGTGACGGCTGGCCTGTACACTGTAAGGTTTCTAGAGCAGGGTATCTCACTCTGGGCACTATTTCTATTTGGAGCAGATTATTCTCTGATGTGGCGGCTGGCGTGTATACTGTAGGGTTTCTAGAGAAGGGTTTCTCACTCTGGGCACTATTTCTATGTGGAGCAGATTATTCCTTGATGTGGCGGCTGGCCTGTACACTGTAGGGTTTCTAGAGCAGGGTTTCTCACTCTGGGCACTATTTCTATTTGGAGCAGATTTTTCTCTGATGTGGCGGCTGGCCTGTACACTATAGGGTTTCTAGAGCAGGGTTTCTCACTCTGGGCACTATTTCTATTTTGGAGTAGATTATTCTCTGATGTGGCGGCTGGCCTGTACACTGTGGGGTTTCTAGAGCAGGGTTTCTCACTCTGGGCACTATTTCTATTTGGAGCAGATTATTCTCCGATGTGGCGGCTGGCCTGTACACTGCAAGGTTTCTAGAGCAGGGTTTCTCACTCTGGGCACTATTTCTATTTGGAGCAGATTATTCTCTGATGTGGCGGCTGGCCTGTACACTGTAGGTTTTCTAAAGCACTGTTTCTCACTCTGGGCACTATTTCTATTTGGAGCAGATTATTCTCTGATGTGGCGGCTGGCCTGTACACTGTAGGGTTTCTAGATCAGGGTTTCTGGAGCCTGTACACTGTAGGATTTCTAGACCAGTGTTTCTCACTCTGGGCACTATTTATATTTTGGAGCAGACTATTCTCTGATGTGGCAACTGGCCTGTATACTGTAGGGTTTCTAGAGCAGGGTTTCTCACTCTGGGCACTATTTCTATTTGGAGCAGATTATTCTCTGATGTGGCGGCTGACCTGTACACTGTAGGGTTTCTAGAGCAGGGTTTCTCACTCTGGGCACTATTTCTATTTGGAGCAGATTATTCTCTGATGTGGCGGCTGGCCTGTACACTGTAGGGTTTCTAGAGCAGGGTTTCTCGCTCTGGGCACTAGTTCTATTTGGAGCAGATTATTCTCTGATGTGGCGGCTGGCCTATACACTGTAGGGTTTCTAGAGCAGGGTTTCTCACTCTGGGCACTATTTCTAGTTTGGAGCAGATTATTCTCTGATGTGGCGGCTGGCCTGTACACTGTACGGTTTGTAGAGCAGGGTTTCTCACTCTGGCCACTATTTCTATTTGGAGCAGATTATTCTCTGATGTGGCGGCTGGCCTGTACACTGTAGGGTTTCTGGAGCAGGGTTTCTCACTCTGGGCACTATTTCTATTTTGGAGCAGATTATTCTCTCATGTGGCGGCTGGCCTGTACAATGTAGGGTTTCTAGAGCAGGGTTTCTCACTCTGGGCACTATTTCTATTTGGAGCAGATTTTTCTCTGATGTGGCGGCTGGCCTGTACCCTGTAGGGTTTCTAGAGCAGGGTTTGTGGAGCCTGTACACTGTAGGGTTTCTAGAGCAGTGTTTCTCACTCTGGGCACTATTTCTATTTTGGAGCAGATTATTCTCTGATGTGGCGGCTGGCCTGTACACTGTAGGGTTTCTAGAGCAGGGTTTCTCACTCTGGGCACTATTTCTACTTTGGAGCAGATTATTCTCTGATGTGGCGGCTGGCCTGTACACTGTAGGGTTTCTACAGCAGGGTTTCTGGAGCCTGTACACTGTAGGGTTTCTAGAGCAGGGTTTGTCACTCTGGCCACTATTTCTATTTGGAGCAGATTATTCTCTGATGTGGCGGCTGGCCTGTACACTGCAGGGTTTCTAGAGCAGGGTTTCTCACTCTGGGCACTATTTCTATTTGGAGCAGATTATTGTCTGATGTGGCGGGGGGCCTGTACCCTGTAGGGTTTCTAGAGCAGGGTTTCTCACTCTGGGCACTATTTCTAGTTTGGAGCAGATTATTCTCTGATGTGGCGGCTGGCCTGTACACTGTAGGATTTCTAGAGCAGGGTTTCTGGAGCCTGTACACTGTAGGATTTCTAGAGGAAGGCTTCTCACTCTGGGCACTATTTCTATTTTGGAGCAGATTATTCTCTGATGTGGCGGCTGTCCTGTACACTGTAGGGTTTCTAGAGCAGGGTTTCTGGAGCCTGTACACTGTAGGATTTCTAGAGCAAAGCTTCTCACTCTGGGCACTGTTTCTATTTGGAGCAGATTATTCTCTGATGTGGCGGCTGGCCTGTACACTGTAGGGTTTCTAGAGCAGGGTTTCTCACTCTGGGCACTATTTCTATTTTGGAGCAGATTGTTCTTTGATGTGGCGGCTGGCCTGTACACTGTAGGGTTTCTAGAGCAGGGTTTCTGGAGCCTGTACACTGTAGGATTTCTAGAGCAAGACTTCTCACTCTGGGCACTATTTCTATTTGGAGCAGATTATTCTCTGATGTGGCGGCTCGCCTTTACACTGTAGGGTTTCTAGAGCAGGGTTTCTCACTCTGGGCACTATTTCTATTTTGGAGCAGATTATTCTCTGATGTGGCGGCTGGCCTGTACACTGTAGGATTTCTAGACCAGGATTTCTCACTCTGGGCACTATTTCTATTTGGAGCAGATTATCTCTGATGTGGCGGCTGGCCTGTACACTGTAGGGTTTCTAGAGCAGGGTTTCTCACTCTGGGCATTATTTCTATTTTGGAGCAGATTATTCTCTGATGTGGCGGCTGGCCTGTACACTGTAGGGTTTCTAGATCAGGGTTTCTCACTCTGGCCACTATTTCTATTTGGAGCAGATTATTCTCTGATGTGGCGGCTGACCTGTACACTTTAGGGTTTCTACAGCAGGGTTTCTCACTCTGGGCACTATTTCTATTTGGAGCAGATGATTCTCTGATGTGGCGGCCGGTCTGTACACTGTAGGATTTCTAGAGCAGGGTTTCTGGAGCCTGTACACTGTAGGATTTCTAGAGGAAGGCTTCTCACTCTGGGCACTATTTCTATTTTGGAGCCGATTATTCTCTGATGTGGCGGCTGGCCTGTACACTGTAGGGTTTCTAGAGCAGGGTTTCTGGAGCCTGTACACTGTAGGATTTCTAGAGCAAGGCTTCTCACTCTGGGCACTGTTTCTATTTGGAGCAGATTATTCTCTGATGTGGCGGCTGGCCTGTACACTGTAGGGTTTCTAGAGCAGGGTTTCTCACTCTGGGCACTATTTCTATTTTGGAGCAGATTGTTCTTTGATGTGGCGGCTGGCCTGTACACTGTAGGGTTTCTAGAGCAGGGTTTCTGGAGCCTGTACACTGTAGGATTTCTAGAGCAAGGCTTCTCACTCTGGGCACTATTTCTATTTGGAGCAGATTATTCTCTGATGTGGCGGCTGGCCTTTACACTGTAGGGTTTCTAGAGCAGGGTTTCTCACTCTGGGCACTATTTCTATTTTGGAGCAGATTATTCTCTGATGTGGTGGCTGGCGTGTACACTGTAAGGTTTCTAGAGCAGGGTTTCTCACGCTGGGCACTATTTCTATTTGGAGCAGATTTTTCTCTGTTGTGGCGGCTGGCTGTACACTGTACGGTTTCTAGAGCAGGGTTTCTCAGTCTGGGCACTATTTCTATTTTGGAGTAGATTATTCTCTGATGTGGCGGCTGGCCTGTACACTGTGGGGTTTCTAGAGCAGGGTTTCTCACTCTGGGCACTATTTCTATTTGGAGCAGATTACTCTCTGATGTGGCGGTTGGCCTGTACACTGCAAGGTTTCTAGAGCAGGGTTTCTCACACTGGGCACTATTTGTATTTGGAGCAGATTATTCTCCGATGTGGCGGCTGGCCTGTACACTGTAGGGTTTCTAGAGCAGGGTTTCTCACTTTGGGCACTATTTCTAGTTTGGAGCAGATTATTCTCTGATGTGGCGGCTGGCCTGTACACTGTAGGGTTTCTAGAGCAGGGTTTCTCACTCTGAGCACTATTTCTATTTGGAGCAGCCTATTCTCTGATGTGGCGGCTGGCCTGTACACTGTAGGGTTTCTAGAGCAGGGTTTCTCACTCTGGGCACTATTTCTATTTGGAGCAGATTATTCTCTGATGTGGCGGCTGGCCTGTACACTGTAGGGTTTCTAGAATACGGTTTCTCACTCTGGGCACTATTTCTATTTGGAGCAGATTATTCTCTGATGTGGCGGCTGGCCTGTACACTGTAGGGTTTCTAGAGCAGGGTTTCTCACTCTGGGCACTATTTCTAATTTGGAGCAGATTATTCTCTGATGTGGCGGCTGGCCTGTACACTGTAGGGTTTCTAGAGCAGCGTTTCTCACTCTGAGCACTATTTCTATTTGGAGCAGATTATTCTCTGATGTGCCGGCTGGCCTGTACACTGTAGGGTTTCTAGAGCAAGGTTTCTCACCCTGGGCATTATTTCTATTTGGAGCAGATTATTCTCTGACGTGTTGGCTGGCCTGTACACTGTAGGGTTTCTAGAGCAGGGTTTCTCACTCTGGGCACTATTTCTATTTGGAGCAGATTATTCTCTGATGTGGCGGCTGGCCTGTACACTGTAGGGTTTCTAGAGCAGGGTTTCTGGAGCCTGTACACTGTAGGGTTTCCAGAGCAGAGTTTCTAACTCTGGGCACTATTTCTAGTTTGGAGCAGATTATTCTCTGATGTGGTGGCTGACCTGTACACTGTAGGGTTTCTAGAGCAGAGTTTCTCACTCTGGGCACTATTTCTAGTTTGGAGCAGATTATTCTCTGATGTGGCGGCTGGCCTGTACACTGTAGGGTTTCTAGAGCAGGGTTTCTCACTCTGAGCACTATTTCTATTTGGAGCAGATTATTCTCTGATGTGGCGGCTGGCCTGTACACCGTAGGGTTTCTAGACCAGGGTTTCTCACTCTGGGCACTATTTCTATTTGGAGCAGATTATTCTCTGATGTGGCGGCTGGCCTGTACACTGCAGGGTTTCTAGAATACGGTTTCTCACTCTGGGCACTATTTCTATTTGGAGCAGATTATTCTCTGATGTGGCGGCTGGCCTATACACTGTAGGGTTTCTAGAGCAGGGTTTCTCACTCTGGGCACTATTTCTAGTTTGGAGCAGATTATTCTCTGATGTGGCGGCTGGCCTGTACACTTTAGGGTTTCTAGAGCAGGGTTTCTGGAGCCTGTACACTGTAGGGTTTCTAGAGGAGGGTTTGTCACTCTGGGCACTATTTCTATTTTGGAGCAGATTATTCTCTGATGTGGCGGCTGGCCTGTACACTGTACGGTTTCTAGAGCAGGGTTTCTCACTCTGGGCACTATTTCTATTTGGAGCAGATTATTCTCTGATGTGGCGGCTGGCCTGTACAATGTAGGGCTTCTAGAGAAGGGTATCTCACTCTGGGCACTACTTCTATTTGGAGCACATTATTCTCTGATATGGCGACTGGCCTGTATACTGCAGGGTTTCTAGAGCAGGGTTTCTCACTCTGAACACTATTTCTATTTGGAGCAGATTATTCTCTGATGTGGCGGCTGGCCTGTACACTGTAGGGTTTCCAGAGCGGAGTTTCTCACTCTGGGCACTATTTCTGTTTTGGAGCAGATTATTCTCTGATGTGGCGGCTGGCCTGTACACTGTAGGGTTTCTAGAGCAGGGTTTCTGGAGCCTGTACACTGTAGGGTTTCTAGAGGAGGGTTTCTCACTCTGGGCACTATTTGTATTTTGGAGCAGATTATTCTCTGATGTGGCGGCTGGCCTGTACACTGTACGGTTTCTAGAGCAGGGTTTCTCACTCTGGGCACTATTTCTATTTTGGAGTAGATTATTCTCTGATGTGGCGGCTGGCCTGTACACTGTGGGGTTTCTAGAGCAGGGTTTCTCACTCTGGGCACTATTTCTATTTGGAGCAGTTTACTCTCTGATGTGGCGGCTGGCCTGTACACTGCAAGGTTTCTAGAGCAGGGTTTCTCACACTGGGCACTATTTGTATTTGGAGCAGATTATTCTCTGATGTGGCGGCTGGCCTGTACACTGTAGGGTTTCTAGAGCAGGGTTTCTCACTTTGGGCACTATTTCTAGTTTGGAGCAGATTATTCTCTGATGTGGCGGCTGGTCTGTACACTGTAGGGTTTCTAGAGCAGGGTTTCTTACTCTGAGCACTATTTCTATTTGGAGCAGATTATTCTCTGATGTGGCGGCTGGCCCGTACACTGTAGGGTTTCTAGAGCAGGGATTCTCACTCTGGGCACTATTTCTATTTGGACCAGATTATTCTCTGATGTGGCGGCTGGCCTGTACACTGTAGGGTTTCTAGAATACGGTTTCTCACTCTGGGCACTATTCCTATTTGGAGCAGATTATTCTCTGATGTGGCGGCTGGCCTGTACACTGTAGGGTTTCTAGAGCAGGGTTTCTCACTCTGGGCACTATTTCTATTTGGAGCAGATTATTCTCTGATGTGGCGGCTGGCCTGTACACTGTAAGGTTTCTAGAGCAGGGTATCTCACTCTGGGCACTATTTCTATTTGGAGCAGATTATTCTCTGATGTGGCGGCTGGCCTGTATACTGTAGGGTTTCTAGAGAAGGGTTTCTCACTCTGGGCACTATTTCTATTTGGAGCAGATTATTCTCTGATGTGGTGGCTGGCGTGTACACTGTAAGGTTTCTAGAGCAGGGTTTCTCACGCTGGGCACTATTTCTATTTGGAGCAGATTTTTCTCTGATGTGGCGGCTGGCCTGTACACTGTACGGTTTCTAGAGCAGGGTTTCTCAGTCTGGGCACTATTTCTATTTTGGAGTAGATTATTCTCTGATGTGGCGGCTGGCCTGTACACTGTGGGGTTTCTAGAGCAGGGTTTCTCACTCTGGGCACTATTTCTATTTGGAGCAGATTACTCTCTGATGTGGCGGTTGGCCTGTACACTGCAAGGTTTCTAGAGCAGGGTTTCTCACACTGGGCACTATTTGTATTTGGAGCAGATTATTCTCTGATGTGGCGGCTGGCCTGTACACTGTAGGGTTTCTAGAGCAGGGTTTCTCACTTTGGGCACTATTTCTAGTTTGGAGCAGATTATTCTCTGATGTGGCGGCTGGCCTGTACACTGTAGGGTTTCTAGAGCAGGGTTTCTCACTCTGAGCACTATTTCTATTTGGAGCAGACTATTCTCTGATGTGGCGGCTGGCCTGTACACTGTAGGGTTTCTAGAGCAGGGTTTCTCACTCTGGGCACTATTTCTATTTGGAGCAGATTATTCTCTGATGTGGCGGCTGGCCTGTACACTGTAGGGTTTCTAGAGCAGGGTTTCTCACTCTGGGCACTATTTCTATTTGGAGCAGATTATTCTCTGATGTGGCGGCTGGCCTGTACACTGCAAGGTTTCTAGAGCAAGGTTTCTCACTCTGGGCACTATTTGTAGTTTGGAGCAGATTATTCTCTGATGTTGCGGCTGGCCTGTACACTGTAGGGTTTCTAGAGCAGGGTTTCTCACTCTGGGCACTCTTTCTATTTGGAGCAGATGATTTTTCTGATATGGCGGCTGGACTGTACACTGTAAGGTTTCTAGAGCAGGGTTTCTCACTCTGGACACTATTTCTATTTGTAGCAGATTATTCTCTGATGTGGCGGCTGGCCTGTACACTGTAGGGTTTCTAGAGCAGGGTTTCTCACTCTGGGCACTATTTCTATTTGGAGCTGATTATTCTCTGATGTGGCGTCTGGCCTGTATACTGTAGGGTTTCTAGAGCAGGGTTTCTCACTCTGGGCACTATTTCTATTTGGAGCAGATTATTCTCTGATGTGGGGGGTGGCCTGTACACTGTAGGGTTTCTAGAGCAGGGTTTCTAACTCTGGGCACTATTTCTAGTTTGGAGCAGATTATTCTCTGATGTGGCGGCTGGCCTGTACACTGTAGGGTTTCTAGAGCAGGGTTTCTTACTCTGAACACTATTTCTATTTGGAGCAGATTATTCTCTGATGTGGCGGCTGGCCTGTACACTGTAGGTTTTCTAGAGCAGGGTTTCTCACTCTGGGCACTATTTCTAATTTGGAGCAGATTATTCTCTGATGTGGCGGCTCGCCTGTACACTGTAGGATTTCTAGAGCAGGGTTTCTGGAGCCTGTACACTGTAGGATTTCTAGAGGAAGGCTTCTCACTCTGGGCACTATTTCTATTTTGCAGCCGATTATTCTCTGATGTGGCGGCTGGCCTGTACACTGTAGGGTTTCTAGAGCAGGGTTTCTGGAGCCTGTACACTGTAGGATTTCTAGAGCAAGGCTTCTCACTCTGGGCACTGTTTCTATTTGGAGCAGATTATTCTCTGATGTGGCGGCTGGCCTGTACACTCTAGGGTTTCTAGAGCAGGGTTTCTCACTGTGGGCACTATTTCTATTTTGGAGCAGATTGTTCTCTGATGTGGCGGCTGGCCTGTACACTGTAGGGTTTCTAGAGCAGGGTTTCTGGAGCCTGTACACTGTAGGATTTCTAGAGCAAGGCTTCTCACTCTGGGCACTATTTCTATTTGGAGCAGATTATTCTCTGATGTGGCGGCTGGCCTGTACACTGTAGGGTTTCTAGAGCAGGGTTTCTCACTCTGGGCACTATTTCTATTTGGAGCAGATTATTCTCTGATGTGGCGGCTGGCCTGTACACTGTAGGGTTTCTAGAGCAGGGTTTCTCACTCTGGGCACTATTTCTAGTTTGGAGCAGATTATTCTCTTATGTGGCGGCTGGCCTGTACACTCTAGGGTTTCTAGAGCAGGGTTTCTCACTCTGGGCACTATTTCTAGTTTGGAACAGATTATTCTCTGATGTGGCGGCTGGCCTGTACACTGTAGGGTTTCTAGAGCAGGGTTTCTCACTCTGGGCACTATTTCTATTTTGGAGCAGATTAGTCTCTGATGTGGCGGCTGGCCTGTACACTGTAGGGTTTCTAGAGCAGGGTTTCTCACTCTGGGCACTATTTCTTTTTGGAGCAGATTATTCTCTGATGTGGCGGCTGGCCTGTACACTGTAGGGTTTCTAGAGCAGGGTTTCTCACTCTGGGCACTATTTCTATTTGGAGCAGATTATTCTCTGATGTGGCGGCTGGCCTGTACTTTGTAGGATGTTTATCAGCATCCCTGGCCTCTACCCACTAGGTGCCAGTGGCAGAACTCTTCCCACCCACCCCATGGTGATAACCACGTATGTCTCCAGATATGATAAAGGACTAGTACCTGGAATATATAAAGAACTCTCAAAACTCAACAGTAAATAAAACAAGCCAATTAGAAAATGAACAAAAGACATAAAGAGTCATTTCACCAAAGACGATACAGAGATGACAAATAGGGACATGAAAAGATATTCAACATCATTAGCCACTAGGGAAATGCACATTCAAACCTTAATGAGGTTTTGTGATAGGTACATACCTATCAGACAAGATGCGGTATGTTCAGGGTGGTATGGCTGAAGACTACACACCTATCAAATGGCTAAAATCTAAAACAGTGATAACACCCAATGCTGGCAAGATGTGGAGAAACTGGATCATTCCTACACAGCTGATGGAAATGTAAGATGATAGTCACTCTGGAAAAGTTGGCAGTTCTTACAAAACTAAACACACAACTACCATACGACCCAGCAGCTGCACTCCTGGGCAATTATCTCAGAGAAATGAAGACTGTGTTCACACCAAAACCTGCACACACGTTTATTGCAGCTTTATTAATAGCCTTAAACTGGAAACCATCCAGATGTCCTTTAACAGGTGAATGGTTAAACACACTGTGGTACATCCATACTGTGGACTACTACTTGGCAATGAAAAGGAGTGAACTACTGATACACACGACCTGGATGAATCTCCAGGGAATTATGCTGAGTGAAAAAAGACAATTCCCAAAGGTGACATGTTGTATAATTCTATTTATATAACAATGTTGAAATGAAAAAGTCACAGAAATGGAGAACTGTTTTGTGGTTGCCAGGATAATGGAGGGGGTGCGGGCAGGAGGGAAGTGGGTGTAGCTATTAAAGAGCAACAAGAGGGAGCCTTGTGATGATGGGAATGTTCAGTATCTTGACTGTGGTGGAAACACAAACCTATGTAAGTGGTAAGATTGCACAGAACTTAACACACATGCACACATACACAAATAAACCAGTATCCTGGTTGTCCTATGCTAGTTTTGCAAAATGTTACCATTGAGAGAAACTGAACAAAGTATACAAAGGATCCCTCTGTGTTATTTCTTACTACTGCATATGAATCTACAATTATCTCAATAAAAATTACCAATAAAAAAGTCTCCAAATATTGCCAAAGGTCCCCATGGCAAAACTGTCCCTGGTTGAAAGCTACTGTTCTAGGCCAGGCATGGTGGCTCACACCTGTAATCCCAGCACTTTGGGAGGTTGAGGCAGGCAGATCACTTGAGATCAGGAGTTCAAGACCAGCCTGGCCAACAGGGTAGTCTCTGCTAAAAATACAAAAATCAGCTGGGTGTGGTGATGGGCACCTGTAATCCCAGCTACTCGGGGGGCTGAAGCAGGAGACTCACTTGAATCCAGGAGGCGGAGGTGGCAGTGAGCCGAGATCGCGCCACTACACTCCAGCCTGGGCAACACAGCAAGAGCCCATCTCAAAAAAACAAACAAACAAACAAACAAACAAAAAGCTAGAGAGTAATCAGACTTTAACCCAGGTCGGGGAGGAGGCTGGCCCAGGGTGAGCAGTACTGCACCGAAGACGACAGTGGTCCAGGAGTTCCAAGGGGTGCCCAGTAGGAGGGGAATGAGCTGGGACCTGGAGGAGCCAGGACACTGCTGAGGAGCTGCATTGCGGAGCTGACCAGCAGTGGATGTGAAACAAGGCTCTGCCCTCCCAAACATGCCAGAGGAAGGTAATAACCCTCAAAACGGCAGGCTGACATCTGGATTACACATGTGGAAACGTTTTTGTGAATCGAGATACTTTTCTCAGGGTTAGGAGAACGGCTGTACAAATTGACACATCCACATGATGGAATTAAAGAGGTAGCACCATTCTTATTGACATCAATTCTAGTGGTCTCACGCAGTGTGATAAACTACTCCAAAACGTGTAGCATAAAACAGCAGCAGTGTTTATTTTCCTAAACAATCTGCAATCCGGCGGAGGGGTGGCTGGGCAGGGGTCTTCTCTGCTGTGTTTGAATCAGCCTCTATGGCTGGGGATGGAGTCACCTGCAGGCCCGCTCACTCCCACTTGGCACCTGTACTGTTAAGACTCCTTGGGCGTCTCTCCTCCCCAACCCAACTGGACTTCTTACAAGTCAGCTCAGGGATCCCAAGTCATGTGTCCCAAGACAGGCAGACTAGGTGGATGCTGTAGCAACCTTTTCCAATCTAGCCTCAGACGTCACTCACCATCATGCTGCCACATTCCACTCAATAGAAGTGTGTCACAGAGACTGGCCCATATTCAAGGGGAGAGGAATCAGGCTCTACCTTTTACAGGAGGAGTATTAAATAATTTTTAGACATATTTTAAAACTACTACAACATGGAAAGATGGTCACAATATATTAAAAAGCAAATTACAGTCCAGGTGTGGTGGCTCACGTCTGTAATCCCAGCACTTTGGGAGGTCAAGAAGGGTGGATCACCTGAACCCAAGAGGTGGAGGTTGCAGTGAGCCGAGATGGCACCACTGCACTCCAGCCTGGGCAACAAAGACTCCGTCTCAAAAAAAAAAAAAGCATCAAATTACAGAACACTATGAACAGCCTGGCAGAGCTAGTAGCCCCTTTGCTGCCTACCCTTGCCCAGTCTTGAGCCCTAAACCTGGGCCTTGATCTCTGCCACCCCCAGCCTTCCAGAAGAGCCTCAACCTCAGGTCAGCAAATCCTGTGGGAGGGTGGCTTTGCCTGAGGCACACCCAGATAGAAGTCCCAACTCCATCATAAAGTAACTCAGAACTTCTTTCCTCAGTAGGAAAACAGGAGTTATAATAGCACCTACCTTAGAGTCATTGTGAGGATCCAGTGAGCTACCCATGCAGTGTTTAACCCAGCACCTAGTACATAGTAAGTGCTCAGGTGCTGGCTACCCCAGCTGGGCAAGCCTAAGTTGGCATAGGCCTACCCACTGGGAGCCACAACCCTGAAGAACATTTTTTGGCAACGATTAGTGCAAGCCCAAAAAAGCAGTGTGACTCCAGCATCCAGGGCTCCTGGTGACTTCAGACTCCATCCCCTATCACAGTGGACCAGACTGTGCCTGCAGCAGTTCCTGCAGGACATGCCTTATGGATTATGTGCTAAGCATTATGCGAGGCAAGGCAGACACAGGGACTGTAGAGCACAGTCCCTCCCCTGAGGGAGCTCACACTCTAGTACAAAGGGGTCAGATGCTTTAACAGAGGAATGTAATGCAGGGTAACAGGTGCAAACAGAAAAAGTTGTGCAGTGCTCAAACACTGCAGAGTGGGAGTGATTACCCCTGGAAATGGGAGGTTGGAAAAAGGTTTTCATAGATGAGTGTTTGCCAGGTGGATGAGGAAGGAAACCCAGGGAGGGTGGACAGGGTAGTCAAAAGACAAGGGGTGCAGATGGATACAGCGTTTTCTGGGAACCACAGCAGTTCAGTGACTGGAGGGCTCTCTTCTTGCTAGAACCATCAGTCGCGGTTCAGATTTAAAACTCATTTTGAATGGTCAGGAGCATATCAAGATCACTGCTTTTGTGGGAAGGCCTTGGTGTTTCTACTGGAATAACAATGTGGTCACTGGACTTAAATATGCATATCTTATCACATTAGGGAAGCATCCTTTTTCTTAAATTGTCTAATTCATGACAGGATTATAGGTCGAATTTTACAGAATTGTTTTCATCTACACAAACAAGGTTATTTTAAAAGAATAAACTTATCTTTGTTGGAGTTTGGTAACGGGTCTCAACTAGACACATTTTTGTAAATTGAATTTTCCATTCCTCTTTTTTTTTTTTTTTTTTTTGAGATAGGGCCTCGCTCAGTTGCCCAGGCTGGAGTGCAGTGGCATGATCTCAGCTCACTGCAACCTCTGCCTCCCAGGTTCAAGCGTTTCTCGTGCCTCAGCCTCTCGAATAGCTGGGACTACAGGTGTGTGCTACCATGCCCAACCGATTTTTGTATTTTTAGTAGAGATGGGGTTTCACCGTGTTGGCCAGGCTGGTCTCAAAGTCCTGACCTCAAGTGATCCGTCCACCTCAGCCTCCCAAAGTGTGGGGATTATAGGCGTGAGCCGCCACACCTGGCCTCCATTCCCTTATTTTTAACCTGGTCAGCTTATGATGAAAGAGAATCACTGGATCCTTTAATAACAAAAACTCACCCAGTAAACATGAGCCCAGTTTTAAAAGTACAACTTCCGTGGTTTTTACATTCATTTCTTATTAGCCAGTTCTAGTATTTTATCTCTTTGAATAAATTATGATCATTCATCCTCCCAGGAAACTATTTTGAGTTCCAAAGTGATTGTGGGTAACGTATTTTTAAAATCATAACAGTTCTCTTTACTCATTGTCTTTTCTTAATTCGATTTGACAGGTATTTTTCATTACATCAGAATAATGTTTTTTGTTTTGTTTTGTTTTGAGACGGAGTCTTGCTCCGTTGCCTAGGCTGGAGTGCAATGGCATGATCTCAGCTCACTACAACCTCCACCTCCCAAGTTCAAGCAATTCTCCTGCCTCAGTCTCCCAAGTAGCTGGGATTCCAGGCACCCACCACCACACCCGGCTAATTTTTATATTTTTAGTAGAGACAGGGTTTCACCATGTTGGTCAGGCTGGTCTCCAACTTCTGACCTCAACTGATCCGCCCGCCTCTGCCTCCCAAAGTGCTGGCATTATGGGCGTGAGCCACCGTGCCAGCCTATATCAAATGAATTCTATTAGATTTATAATTGTGATTTGCCAATTAATTTTTCTTCATTTAGCTTTATCATTTCCATCTACTTTTTCATTTTTTTATAGACAGAATCTCACTTTGTCGCCCAGGCTGGAGTGCAGTGACGCCATCTCAACTCGCTGCCACCTCAGCTTCCCAGGTTCAAGTGATTCTCGTGCCTCTCAAGTAGCTAGGATTATAGGTGTACACCACCATGCCTGGCTAATTTTTTTATTTCTGGTAGAGACGGGGTTTTGCCATGTTGACCAGACTGGTCTCGAACTCCTAGCCTCCAGTGATCCGCCTGCCTCGGCCTCACAAAGCTCTGGGATTACAGGCGTGAGCCACCCCACTCCGCCTACTTAAGTTGTATATTTTTTAAACTTCTTTGGCTGCATCCCTAGCATATAATGTGTATGCAGAGTGTACTGGGCCAGGCACAGTGGCTCACGCCTGTAATCCCAACACTTTGGGAGGCAGAGGTGGATCACTTGAACCCAGGAGCTTGAGACCAGCCCTGACAAGATAGAGAGACCCCATCCCTGCAAAAAAGTAAAAAATTAGCACCAGGCATGGTGGCTCATGCCTGTAATCCCAGCACTTTGGGAGGCTGAGGTTGGCAGATCACCTGAGGTTGGGAGTTCAAGACCACCCTGACCAACATGGAGAAACCCCAACTCTACTAAAAATACAAAATTAGCCGGGAGTGGTGGCGCATGCTTGTAATCCCAGCTACTCAGGAGGCTGAGGCAGGATAATTGCTTGAACCCGGGAGGCAGAGGTGACTGTGAGCTGAGATTGCACCAACTGCACTCCAGCCTAGGCAATATGAGCGAAACTCTGTTTCAAAAAAAAATAAAAAATTAAAAAAAAATAAAAAATTAGCTGGGTTTGGTGTGTATGCCTGTATTCTTAGTTTCTTGGGAGGCTGAGGTGGGAGGACTGCTTGAGCCTGGAAGGTCGAGGGGCTGCAGCGAGCTATGATCCCACCACTACACTCCAGCCTGGGCGACAGAGTGAGATCCTGTCTCAAAAGATAAATAAAAATAAAAAGTGCACTGAATGAATAAATTTTCAAATGCTTGAGGTGGCAGAGGAGATGGAAAAAGGATGGGTTCAAACAATAATAAAATACATACACAGCTTGTTTTATTGTGTATCACTTTATTGCCTTTGCAGATACTGCACTCTACAAATTGAAGGTTTGTGGCAACACTGAGTCAAGCAAGTCTGTCAGTACCATTTTCCCAATAGCATGTGCTCACTTCATGTCTGTGTCACATTTTGGTAATTCTTGCAATATTTTAAACTTTTTCATTATATCTGTTTTGGTGATCGTGATCTTTGATGTTACTATGGTAATTGCTTTGGGATGACTGAACCACCCCACATAAGACTGTAAATTGAATCAATAAATGTATGTTTGTTCTGATTGCTCCACCAACCAGCTGTTCCATCTCTCTCCCTCTCCTTGGGCCTCTCTATTCCCTGGGACACAATATTGAAACTAGGTCACTGAATAACCCGGCAATGCTTCTATGTGTTCAAGCAAAAGGAAGAGTCGCACAACTCTCACTTCAAATCAAAAACTAGAATGATTATCCGCTTAGTGAGGACGCCATGTTGAAAGCTGAGATAGGCCAAAGCTAGGCCTCTTGCACCAGTTAGCCAAGTTGTGAATACAAAAGTTCTTGAAGTTAATTAGAAGTACTACTCCAGTGAACACATGAGTAAGAAAGCAAAACAGTCTTATTGCTGATATGGAGAACGTTTCAGTGGGTCTAGATAGAAGATTAAACCAGCCACAACACTCCCTTAAGCCAAAGCCTAATCTAGGGCAAGGCCTTAACTCTCTTTAGTTCTATTGAAGGGTGAGAGAAGTGAGGAAGCTACAGAAGAAAAGTCTGAGACTAGCAGAGGTTTGGTTCACGAGGTTTAAGGAAAGAAGCAATCTCTGCAACATAAAAAACAGACTTTCAATGTAGATGAATCAGCCTTCTACTGAAGACAATGCTACTTAGGACTTTCATCGCTAGAGAGAAGTCAATGCCTGGCTTCAAAGCTTCAAAAGACAGGCTGATTCTCTTGTTAGGGGCTAATGCACCTGGTGACTTTAAGTTGAGGCCAGTGCTCATTCATCGTTCTGAAAATCCTAGGGCTCTTAAGAATTACACAAAATCTCCTCTGCCTGTGCTCTGTGAATGAAACGACAAAGCCTGAATGACAGCACATCTGTTTATAGCATGCTTTACTGAATATTTTAAGACTGCTGTTGAGAACTACTGCTCAGGAAAAGATTCCTTTCAAAATATTACTGGTCACTGACAATGCACCTGGCCATCCAAGAGCTCTGATGGAGATGAACAAGGAGATTAATGCTCTATTTATTTATTTATTTTTCGAGACAGTCTTGCTGTGTCCCCCCAGGCTGGAGTGCAGTGGCATGATCTCAGCTCACTGCAACCTCCACTTCCCCGGTTCAAGTGATTCTTGTGCCTCAGCCTCCAAAGCAGTTGGGACTACAGATGCGCACCACCATGCCAGCTAAATTTTTGTTTTAGTAGAGACAGGGTTTCACCATGTTGCCCAGACTGGTCTAGAACTCCTGAGCTCAGGCAATCCACCCACCTCAGCCTCCCAAAGTGCTAGGATTACAGGCGTGAGCCAAACCATGCCTAGCCAGATTAATGTTTTTATGCCTGCTAATACAACATCCATTCTGCAGCCCATGGGTCAAGGAGTAATTTGGACTTTCAAGTCTTATTATTAAGAAATATACTTCAAAGGCTACAGTTGCCATAGTGATTCCTCTGATTAATCTGGGTAAAGTAAACTGAAAGCCTTCTGGAAAGGATTCACCATTCTAGATGTCATTAAAAATATTCTTGATTCACAGGAGGAGATAAAAATATCAACATTAACAGGAGTTTGAAGGAAGCTGATTCCAACTCTCATGGATGACTTCGAACGGTCCAAGACTTTAGTGGAAGAAGTAAATGCAGATATGGTGGAAACAGCAAGAGAACTGGAAGTGGAGACTGAAGATGTGATTGAATTACTGTAATCTCATGACAAAACTTTAGTGGATGAGGCGTGCTTCTTATGGATGAGCAAAGAAAGTGGCTTCTGGCCTGGCACAGTGGCTCTCGTCTGTAATCCTAGCACTTTGGGAGACCGAGATGGGTGGATCACTTGAGGTCAGGAGTTTGAGACCAGCGTGGCCAACAGGGTGAAACCCCATCTCTATTAAAAATACAAAAATTAGCCAGGCATGGTAGTGGCTGCCTGTAATCCAGGCTACTCGGGAGGCTGAGGCAGGAGAATCACTGGAACCCCGGAGGCAGAGGTTGCAGTGAGGCGAGATGGTGCCATTGCACTCCAGCCTGGGTGACAAGAACAAAACTCCATCTCAAAAAAAAAAAAAAAAAAAAAGTGGTTTCTTAAGATGGGATCTACTCCTGGTGAAGATGCTGTGAACACTGTTGAATGACAGCAAAGGATTTAGAATATTACAGAAACTTAGTTGATAAAGCAGTGGCATGGTTTGAGAAGACTCCAATTTTGAAATAAGTTCTACTGTGGGTAAAATGCATCAAACAGCGTTAACATGCTACAGAGAAATCTTTTGTGAAAGGAAGAGTCAATTAACGTGGCAAACTTCATCACTATCTTATTTTGAGAAATTGCCACAGTCATCCCTACCTTCAGCAACCACCACCCTGACTGGTCAGCAGCCATCAACATTAAGACAAGATCCTCCACCAGCAAAAAGATTACGACATGCTGAAGGCTCAACCGTTAGCATTTTTTTGTTTTAGTTAAGGTATGTACTTTTTTTAATATATATAATGCTATTGGGTACTTAATAGGCTACAGTATAGACACAGCTTTTATATGCACTGGGAAACCAAAAACTTGTGTGACTTACTTTATAGCACTATTTGCTTTATTGCAGTGGTCTGGAACCAAATCCACAGTATCTCCAAGGTACGCCCGTAGAACGGTCAAGATGTGGTGAATCAGATACGCAACACAGAGGAGTTAAGGAAGAACCCCCAGTTCTTGCTCAGGCAAATGGCTGTTATGAACTGAACTGTCTCTCCCAAAACTCATTATGTTGAAGTCCTAACCCCCAATGTGACTGTATTTAGTGACAGGGCCTTTAAAGAGGCAATTAAGGTTAAATGAGGTCCTAAGGGTGGGGCCCTAATCCAATAGGACCAATGTCCTTATAAAAGGAAGAGACACCAGATGTATGTGTGCAGAGCGAAGAGGCCTGGCCTGGCGCAGTGGCTCATGCCTATAATCCCAGCACTTTGGGAGGCCAAGGCGGGCAGATTGCTTGAGCTCAGGAGTTTGAGACCAGCCTGGGTAACATGGTGAAACACCATCTCTACCAAAAATACAAAAAATTAGCCAGGCGTGGTGGCATGCACCTGTATTCCCAGCTACTTGAGAGGCTGAGGTGGAAGGAATCACTTGAGCCCAGGAGGTTGAGGGGGCAGTGAGCTGTCATTGTGCCAGTGCACTCCAGCCTGGGTGACAGAGCAAGACCCCGTCTCACACACACACACACAAAAGAGAAAAGGACATGTGAGGACACAGCAAGAAGATGGCCATCTGCGAGCCAAGGAGAGAGGCCTCAGGAGAAATCAAACCTCCTGACACGGTGATCTTAGACTTCAAGCCTCTAAAACTGTGAGAAAAGAAAATTCTGTTGCTTGGGCCTAGTCTGTGGCATCCTGTTATGGTAGACTTAGCAAACTAATATATACTTCGTGAATGGTGGGCACCGATTACCGACTACAGGAGTGGACCTGGGAGATGGCAAGCAGAAATGTCCAGGTGGCTGCTGACTATTCATGTTGGCAGAACAAGCCAGAGGTAGAGATTTGGGCATTATAAATGAAAGTGGAACCATGGCAGTGAATCATATAACTTCTGGAGATGTATAAAAGTAAAATGAGGTCACAATGGAACCCTAGAAAACACCACCAACTCCAAAGGAAGAGGTGCCCCCCTGAAGAAATGTTAAAATAGGTCAAGGAACACAGGAAAATCTGGAGAGACTGGAGCCATGAAAACTAAGAGAACACTTAAAGAAGTGGGCCCAACAGTGCCAAGTGTAACACAAAGATCAAGCCAGATAAAAACTTAGGAGGATAGCAAGTTGGAGATCAATGGTCCCCTTGACAGGAAAATGATCAGTGGCTGGGTAGCAGTAGAATGTCACGTGTCAGTGAAGGAGAAGAGAGGGACAGAAAGGGTAGACAACTCTCAAGAAGCATGGTCGTTAAGGATGAAAAAGGCAGCGGCTGGAAAGGGACATCAGGTTCAGGGAGGGTCCCCTTAAATGTAAAATTATTCAACACCTACATCCATTAGAGGAAAGGCTAAAGACACAGAAGTGAAAACTTTGCGGAGAAAAGGCAGGGTGGACTGAAAACCAGAAAATGAAATGGCACAGGGGGATGACTGATACTCACATGGAAAGAGAGACGTCTTTTTTTCCCAAGGAGGTAAGGATTGCAGATGAGTCTGTAGGTGCAAGATGAGAAACTGAGGGTTTCTGCTTTCACCAGGAAGAAAGGATAGTCATCCAGTGAACATGAGAGGGTGTGATAAGGTAAACTATTTTAAGAAAATAGTGAAATTTTTTAATGTTTCTTTTTTTTTTTTCAGCAAGTCAAACCAGAGAAAATGGTGAAACTTTTAAGTGACAGCTGACTCGAGACAGACGGCCCTATAGCTGAGGACCCAGGTAAGGTTAGATGATCAATGTGTAGCGGCACCACTCTGCAACGGTGCGACTTCTCCAGAAGTTGTTCGAGGAGGAAAGAGAAGTCATTAGAGTAGCCCACAGTGGTGTCTGCTGGGGAAACGCCGCAGACCAACGCAAGGATGGGCGTAAACAACCCCAAGAAGAGCTGGGCTGCCTCCTGTCTCTGCATTCCCATCACTTCTTTCCTTCTTGGTTTTATCCTTAACCACGAAGAGCAGTTCTCACCCTTAATGTTGACTCAACATTTCCTTTTGATAATAAATACTTGCTTAGCATCTACCTTTACTGCCCGACGTCAAGTCACAGACAACCTACTTAACAGACATAAGTTTAAAAGACCCACTTAATGCCCTAAGGGTAATATAAGCTAGATATAAAATGAAATTTACAATAAAATATGCATTTCCATCTGCATATCCCAGGCATAACTGCAAGAAAACACGGAATGAAGCAATGAGATGCTCCTGGCTATGTGCAGAATCCCAGGAAGAAACAGGTACAATCACAGATTACCCAAGCCATGCTAGACTTGAAACTCAGATACCGTGGGTAGTGTGATGGGTCCTTCAGGAACAACAAAAATCAACCAATTGCTGCATTTTTTAAAAAGCGAAGTCTCAGGCTGCCAGAAAAACAACTTTAGTACACAAACTGGAACACTTTGGTATCAGGCAACCCAGCACCTCAGAGGTGGAGAAAACAACAAACATATATACATATCACCAGCAGTTTATCACTTGAGCTTGTTTGGTCACCACCCCATTTCCTGTGACTGAAATGGGGAGAGGAGAATCCTACTATCAGTGATGACCATCTTGGATTAGGACTACAGGAATGGGCTATACTGGGGGCTTTGACCACCTCCCTAATGTTACCCAAATAGGAACCATAATGCCTCTCATCTGAACAGAAAGAGCAAAAAGGGCTTCAGAAGGCAGAAAGCTCAGAGGTAAAGAAGGTGGCTCAAGCCAGCTCACAGGCACTGCCATTGAGGTAATTCTCTTTAATACTGTGGTGTCTCCTTCCCTAAGATGTCTCACTGCTGATGAGGCCATCTCTTTGGAATGTTCTATTTATCTATAAAACACTTCTGCACATTTTAGACTTGAGCCCAGCTGCCAGGGTGCCAGACAGGAAACTGCAGAGCTTGAAGGCCAAGCCTCCTATCAGAGTCCCAGTGGAGCAATGAACATCTGGCTGGGCCACTATTCCCACAATTTCTCTATCCCATACTCTCTGCTTCCTTATTAAGTGGCTGGGTGGGTTTGGCAAGCAGAAATGAGGTATGTGAAAAGTGAGATGGCTGCAGGGACTGGGCCCTGGCACGTCGGGTTCCAAGTTGGGGCTCCATCTGCAGCAAGAGCGCCCCTACTGCAACCCCCTTCGCTGCCTTCACCACCTCCAAAGGGGGCCGAGTCTTAGAGGTGGGCTTCGGCATGGCCACAAGAATATGGAAGGTGCAGGAGGTCGCCATCCAGGAACACTGGATCATGGAGTGCAATGACAGCATCTTCCAGCTGCTCCAGGACTGGACCCAGCAGCAGCCACACAAGGTCATCCCCTTGAAAGTCCTGTGGAAGGAGGTGGCGCTCCCCTGCCAGGTGGTCGCTTTGATGGGATCCTGTATGACGCGTACCCACTGTAGAAGGAGACCTGGCACACACTAGCTCAACTTCATTGAGAACCACACTTTTCACCTGCTGAAGCTGAAGGGAGTATTGCCCTCACCTCCTGCTACCTCACCTCCTACAGGCAGCTGATGAAGTCCAAGTACTCAGATGTCACCACCATCTGAGACGCAGGTGCCTGTGCTATTGGAGGCAAACTTTCGGGGGAAGAACATCCTCAGGGCAGTGATAGCATTGGTCTTGCAGATGATCATGTCGTCCCTGGTCACCAAGCCTTCAGCCCACACAGACCTGGCCAAACAATCCTCTGCCACCCCTCCTCAGTGGCTGGGAGCTCAGGCTCTGGCCTATCATGGCTCCATGACTGATCCTGGCTGTGTCACTGGGCAGCTTTTCTGGCCTCTACAATGGGAACACTACTGCTTCCCCGCCAGGGTCCTTGAGGGCAAAATCAACACTAACACTGGGCTTGCCCCTCCCTCCCTCAAAATAAAGGCAAGATGAACTCTCAGAGGAACAGCAGCAGGTAGAGGGGTAGCAAGGATCAAGTGTGGAGAGCAGACTCTAGATGAGAATGTAACACAGCAGATGACAGGATGTGCAAGTCAGGAGATCTAAGAGTTCTCCTTCTGCCAGTTACCACTGGGACACTTCAAATCTTTGAGATTGTCTTCTCATATGCAAAGCGAAGATGGCTGAATACCCTTACCAACCTCAGAAGGCTGTTTGGGTGGAAGGGACTGAATGACTTATTGTATGCAAACACACTTTGTAAAGCACTTTAGAGACAAGTTATTATTGTCGCCATCATTATTTTTAAGGAAGGTGAATCATGGAGAGGACCCTTAGGGCCTTGGGGCAATCAAATAAAGAATGGTCACAGACTTCATACAAGTCAAACCATGTTTCCTAGTCTACTTGCCAGTGGGAAAAACAAGAATGAAAGAAAACTTGCTGAGAGTGACTGTTTGAGGTCTAGAAAGAATAGCTGGGAAAACCTGTAAGGTTGAAAGGTGTTCAGCTTCTCTTAGGGTTTTATTTGTAGCAGAGATGGGATCTCACTATGTTGTGTGGACTGGCCTCAAACTCCCGGGCTCAAATGATCCTCCCACCTCAGCCTCCCAAAGTGTTGGGATTACAGGCATGAGTCACTGCGCCCAGCACTCTTAGGCTTCTTCAGAAATATACTTTCCCCAAAATTTCCCTAAGATTTGTTCCACCTAGATATTACCCAAAAGGATTTGGCGGTAAAATCGATGTGGGTACAGGCTTCCTCAACAAGGAATGCTTGGACACCTGAGTAATGAATTTCCAATGAGGATATGGGATGCAGGGAGTGCAACATTTATTTCATAACAGAACCCCTTTTCCACAGAGCAGCTGACAGGGGGCTGCATGAAACATACTTTGGAAATTAAAGTGAACTCTCCACTTGGGCATAATGTTATGTGGGCACATGGATTGGCTTAAAAGGGAAACAAGAATACTTCAACATTTGATCAACAGTAGGCAGTTGCTGGACATTTTAGAAAAAGGAGAAATCCATTTTTTGACCATGGCTAAACATGGGGAAACAGCATCACATTTTCCTGAACCACCCTAATCCCAGCCCCTCAAGATCCACCAGGTATGCAACCCCAAACCCCAGTCACATACATTAAATCTACACTTTTATTTTTTTGTTGTAAAATGTGCTTTTTCCTCAATGAACTTTAATCAGTCCAGGACCTACAAACACACACACACACACACACACACACACACACACACACACACACCCCACCCCACCCCCACCCTCCAACCAGGTGAAAAATCCCCGGCGATTAGTCTATAACAAATATTGACACGAGGGGGGACAAAAGCATGTTGAAATGTATTAGAATCAGAACCTGTACAAAAAAAAAAAAATTAAAATATAACCTGAAACTGTTCAAGTTCAGAAGTCTAGTTAAGTCTTTTTCTCTTGCCAGGAGAATGCCATCATCAGAGGGCTCTGGGTCATCAGCCAAGGAGGGGTGAAAAGACAGAAGCAGCAACAGGTCCTTCAGCAGACAGAGGGGCATCGATGCCACCATCCCTACCCAGGTGCAGCCAGGAGGAGTTAAAGATCTTGGGAGAGCAAGCATTAGCCGGCAGTTCCAGTGGGCAGCTGGGGCCTACACACCGAAAACAAGGCTGAGTAGTCAGAGGCAGCAGGAAGAGTGGCCAGGAGAGAACGCCAAGCCGGAAGGAACCATTTCTGCCACCCAGCAGACCCACAGCACCCTCTGTCTGTGCTCAGATACCAGAGGTTAGTCAACCCAGCGCTCTCAACTAATTGGAGATCGGAGCTGGGCTTAAGAGGCTGAAAACCCGTGGGTTTAGTAAACACAGCCCAGCATCACGTCCCTCCACGGCCTGAACTGGAGCTGCCAACAAGGGATGAGGCAGGAGAGGGAAAGCAGCGCATCTTGACGCCTGGCTAGAAATCACTGCACCATCGTGAGGACTGTGGTACCAGGGGCTGGAGAGGAGTGCCCCCTCCTCACAAGGGGAGGGGCCTCCTTCACAATCATCCCTGGGGGCTGGTTAAAGCTGCCTCCGGCTTATAACCAGCCTGACAAAATGACGTGGAGCAAAAGAAAAACTGGGAGGGAGACAAGCCCTTACACAGAGACAAGAACCTCCTGGAGGGAAGCTGGGCAGTGTCTGACCCTGTTTTGGGATGGCATTGGTGGAGCCCCTGAGTCTGAAGGGAACAACTGGGGAAGGAGGGAGTGGGTGAGGGGGAGTAACAGTTTTTCTGGAACAGTACCAACAGGGTGGGGAGGCGCTGGTGAGGGGACGGGCAGGTCTGGAACTCACTGCAGGTAGAGAGGGGAGGAAATGGGCCCTTGGTGTCCCCTCCCCACCTGACCCAGGCCTGGTGAGTGCCAGCTGCCCCAGCCGGCCCTAGTGGCGGCTGGAGACCAGACCTTTCACTTTGGACATCTTCTTGGTGGGCTGCCTCTGCTCAGCGTGAGGGGGACACTCCCGTTCAGCCAGCTGCTGCTCCATCTCCTGAGCCGAGGAGGATGCGGTGGCTTTGAGTGTCTTCTTGATGTTGGTAACCTGGTGGGGAGATATAGAATTGGAGTGCTCAGCCTGTATGTGCTCACCAAAACTTGCTCTCACTATGTCTTCACTTCAGACAGGAAGCTAAAATCCTCTGCAAGAAAACCTGAAATTCTCTTCAGAAATCCAGATGAGCAGAAACGAGCCTGGGCTACTCACAGCAGATTTGTGGAAATGAGTCAAGCAAAAATGTGGGACTAATGCTCTCCTGGTTGAAACAAATGGAAGGGGAACATTTGGCAAAGAGGCACATCACCAACAGTGAAATAAATCGTGATTAAAATGTCCTCAGAAAGAGGGACCCAAGAATTCTACACTCTGCTGTTATTCATTTATAAAACCACAAATATTTTCATAAAAACTTTGGGAATACAGCTCCATGAACCTTCTTGAATAAACCAGTAGAGGATGAACTTCAGCCAACTAAGTGAGAAATGAAGAAAATGTAATAGAAGTACTGGCAAAATGCTATGACACTACCGTGTGCAGTATAGCTTTCTTTCACTTAACAAAATACAGACTCGTAAATACTTAAGCAGCTCTTGAACATTTTACCACGTCAGAACAGATATCCTCTGTGACACTTGAACCCTATTCTATTAGGAAGGTTCTCCAGTTTTCCAGTTTTTTGAATTGGTTCCTAGTTTGGGTTTCAGTGCTACTCTGAACAGCCCTTTATGTTTACCTTTGCATACTTCTGTGAACATCTATGGAAGATACTCCTAGAAGTGAGCTTTCCAGATCAAAGTCGATTTACATTTTACATTTGAATCAGTACTGCTATATTGCCTGCTGAAAAGTGACTATTCCAAACCTTTGCTCCTCAGTTCGTTGAGAGGAAGAAACAGCAGGAAGAGGATGGTGGTGGTAGGGAAGAACAGTGCAGTCAAATAAGTAATAGCTTTTTTAGTCTTTTTTTTTTTTTTTTTTGGAGACAGAGTCTTACTCTGTTGTACAGGATGGAGTATAGTGGCACAATCACAGCTCACTGCAGCCTCAACTGCCCAGGCTTAAGTGATCCTCCCACCTCAGCCTCCTGAGCAGCTTGGACCACAGGCGCTTGCCACCATGCCTGGCTAATTTTTAAAAACTTATTTGTAGAGACAAGGTTTCACCACGTTGTCCAGGCTGTTTTCAAACTCCCAGGGTCAACTGACCCTCCTACCTTGGCCTCCCAAAGTGCTGGGATTACAGGCATGAGCCACCACACCCAGCCAGTTTTCTACATAGTGAAAAGGAGTTGTCAGGGTCAAAAGTTCTCAACAGTCAGAATATTATGAGCTTGAGGGTAAGAGACAGTCCAAATGCAAAGACAAAACAATGCTATGAGGGTGAGACAAAAATTGGGTTCCTGGAGGAGAGCCATCATCTGCAGAATCCACCTTAACTAGATCATAAATTGTTTTTTGTTGTCACTATTTTGAGACAGGGGGAAAAGCCATGCCCTAAACTTCTGTAACCTCAATCAACGCTGTAGCCTTTCTGAAGAGAGAATGACAGAGGACTGTGGGCTGGAACAGTCATTACAGAGGGCAGGCTGGGCATGGTGGCTCACACCTATACTTCTAGCACTTTGGGAGGCTGAGCAAAGAGAATTGCTCAAGAGCAGGTGTTCAAGACCAGCCTGGGCAACATAGTGGGACCCTGTCTTTCTTAAAAAAAAAAAAAAAAATTTTAGCCAGGTATGGTGGCATGCACCTGTAGTCCCAGCTACTCAAGTGGCTGAGGCAGGAGGATCGCTTAAGCCCAAGAGGTAGAGGCTACAGTGAGCCATGTCTGCACCACTGCACTCCAGCCTAGATGACATTCAAGTAAGACCTTATCTCAACAAAAAGACATAAAAGAAAAAAACATGTGCCTGGTGTGGTGGCACATGCCTATAGTCCTAGCTATTCAGGAGGCTGAGGCAGGAGGATCACTTAAGTCCAGGAGTTTGAGGCTGCAGTGAACTATGATTACACCACTGATTCCAGCCTGGGTGACACAGCAAGACCCAGTGCCTGGAAATATATAAATATATATATATATATATATATAAAATTTAAAAAAAAATATATATATATATATATAATAAACAGGGAGGGGAATTCAACTCTGGGTTTATCCAGTGTCCTGCCAGACAACAAAACACAATCTGGGAACCCCAGAACCCTGAGGCATCTCGCCCTCCCAGCGGCTCACTGCCACTTTGGTGTACCTCATTCAGTGAGTCACCTGGCAAGGTGGTGAGTGAATGATCTGGAGCAAGCCAATGGCTTATCACTCTTTCTCTGATAAAAGAAATATTATTTGTTTTAAGACTTTTTTTAAAAAATAGAAATGGGATCTTGCTATGTTGCCCAGGCTGGTCTCAAACTTCTGGCATGAACCAATTTGCCTGCCTCAGCCTCCTAAGTAGCTGGGACTACAGACACATACTATCATGCCCAGCTAAGGCATATTTTGATGACATTGGAGGAAAAATTAAGAAATTTGACTTCTCAGGGAACACTGCTTTATAAAATAACATTCTAAGGCTTCTCCAATTTGATATATTTTCTAAATATCCAGAAGAAAATGAACTAAAATCATAATAAGAGGTAACGACATGACTTTAGTTTATTTATTTGCATGTCAGTTACCTCTAACTTCCAAAGAAGATCCTGCAATTTAACATTACCTGAGGGAATGTGTTTTAAAGTCTCCCCAAAAGCTGACAAAATTTTAATCAAATAAGACATTAGAAAACAAACAAGTTTTTGTTTCAAGGACTGTATTTCCAAAATGGGGTATCTTTCCAAGCAAATAATTACCTTTCCCATTTGGCAAAATAGCTTTATTAAAAATTAAAAAAACAAAACCAAAAAAAATTCCTAATTTCATCTTGTCTGATAAGCACTATTTAGCCTTATTTCCTCAAGTTATTTGTGTAATAATTTTTACTAAACAATCAGCTTAGGCCAGGCACAGTGGCTCACGCCTGTAATCCCAGCACTTTGGGAGGCTGAGGCAGGCAGATCACGAGGTCAGGAGATCGAGACCATCCTGGCTAACGCGGTGAAACCCCATCTCTACTAAAAATATAAAAAGTTAGCCGGGTGACGTGGCGGGCACCTGTAGTCCCAGCTACTCGGGACGCTGAGGCAGGAGAATGGCGTGAACCCGGGAGGCAGAGCTTGCAGTGAGCCAAGATCGCGCCACTGCACTCCTGCCTGGGCTACAGAGCCAGACTCTGTCTCAAAAAAAAAAAAAAAAATCAGCTTATACTACAAATAGTTTTCTACATTATTTAACATGTCTTAGATTTACTGACAGTCTCATAACCCCTGCATGAGTAAGGAAAAGGCATTAATCAATCCCCAAATAATGGTTATATTTTCAATCCGCTTCACCTATGTTTTTGTAGCATAAAGTCATTATCAGCCTATCAGAAAGTGACAACCGGCATTTATTTCTCTCTTTAGAGTGGCCCAAGGTGATTTGGGCCGGCTTTGGACTCAGAGTATCTATGGCTGGGCTGAGTGATGAGTCCCTGACCTGCCAGCCAAGGAGCAAACTCTGCCTGTGGCACATCCACCAACGGCAACGCTCCGCTGCCAGCCTCTCAGCAACTGACCAGTTCAACTGACTCCCAAGGCTTTGCTGTTTTACTCTTTTTCTTTTCAAAGCTCAACACTTCCAATGCTTCTCCTTCACAGAGCCACAAACTCATGGTTCTCACTCTGGTCCTGAGGGAGCCCGCGCATCATCCTTCTGCAGTCACAGAAGGGCTGACCCTCTGCTTCATTTCTGTACTGCCACTCCCTACCATAACGCAGCCTCCCTCTCTCATGGTGACTCAATTCTATTTAAAAGCCTTTGAGATTCAAGATCCTGTCAAAAGCTTTTGAACAAATAAGTAGACAGAAGCATGGACACTTTCCCCTGTTATTCAGATGCCTATTTACTTCCTCAAGCCATTTTCTCCTGTAGAAACTGCTCTCATTCAGCTTTTTTAGGGGCTCAGTAACCCTGACATGCAATAAAAAGAAATAAGACTTGGCCCAGGGAAAAACTTGGTTTTTTCTCTAGTTCTGAAATACCAAGATCAGGTACCTTCCTTCCCACTCCTCAACACATGCCCTGCACTCAAGCCATCTCAGCCACACTCGTCCCCCACACCACACTTGGAAGCAGTCATTCCCCCTATGCCCTTCTGTTGTTCATGCACCCCGGGGGTTACCGCTCCTCCCCAGGTTGCCCCTCTGATCCTGCCTGGAGAGTTGAGCACCTGGTCCATACAAACTGCCCTGACTGCTGCAGCCCACACTGATCTGCCACCCTTCAATCTGTACTTGCCTGGCAGTGCCTCTCCCTCTTCGATGGCCTCCCACACCACTGCATCTCCTTTGTGTTTCAGATGCACACACCTCACTCCTCCAATAAGACTGCTGACAAATCTAAGTCCTCTACAGTCGTTACCACTTTGAGGCAAAATGTAAACATCCTGCAGAGGAAAAGAGGGCTTCTTGGGCAAGTGTCTCTAAGCCTAGGAAATGAGCCTTTTATCCTCCACAAAGGCCTGGCCTGGGCTGGGGCAGGGCCATGGCCCTCACACTGGGATCCATTACAGAGACACTTTGCTCAAGTCAGCTTTACCACTGCATTTACAACACACAACTCACAAACGAGACTTCTGAAGCACTGACAGACTCTCCTAGTGGAAGGGGATCTTAAAATTCAACTAGCTTCTTCCAGTAGCTGGGCAGTTGTAACCGCAGACAGCTCCTTCTAGGACTCCAAATTGGCCACCCAGGTAGGTCAACCAATTAAACCCATTCTGGTCTCGTAGACTTTCTTAAGAATTCCAATTCCTCTTCCACAGTCACCCTTCAACTGACAACAAATATCATCACCACAGACTTGTCTTCTTTTACCTAAATTTGGTAGAGTTCCTTATGACTTTCTTCCTCCAGTGGCCTGGCTTACAGGCTCCTCAAAACATGAACCTCAGAAATTTTCAAGTAAGATTGCACTGCTAGCAAAAATGCAGCCTAGCTCCATCAGAGACCTTAAATATTTAGGCAAAAGGAGAAAGAGCTTTCTGGGGCAGGAAACCTTCCTTCAGTTGAGGGGCAAAGCAAAGGCAGACGAGAGGAAACACAGTGCACAACTGGAAAAGTGCTACAAAGAAAAAGAGAACTGGGTGATGGAGAGTCCCTTTCCAAGAGGTACCAGGAAGCATACTTTTGGTGCATTGTATAAATCTCAAGATTGTCACTAACTCCTAGGAGATTTTCTACATAATGGAAAACAGAGCTTACTTTGTCCAGTTACACTTTACGACCTCCATGACTGGAACACAGCCTACTTTGTAAATGTAGCAATAGTTATAAATTAACATTCCACCTAACATCAGACATAGGCACATCCAAATATAAAGAAAAATGAGGCCGGGCGCGGTGGCTCAGGCCTGTAATCTCAGCACTTTGGGAGACCGAGGCAGGCGGATCACTTGAGGTCCGGAGGTGGAGAACAACCTGGCCAACATTGCGAAACCCCGTCTCTACTAAAAATACAAAAATTAGCTGGGCGTGGTGGCGGGCACCTGTAATCCCAGCTACTCAGGAGGCTGAAGCATGAGAATTGCTTGAACCCAGGAGGCGGAGGTTGCAGTAGTGAGCCAAGATCATGCCACTGCACTCCAGCCTAGGCAACAGAGTGAATTTCCATCTCAAAAAAGAAAAAAAGAAAAGTAGGTTGGGCATGGTGGCTCACGCCTGTAATCCCAACAAAGAGGGAGCCAGAGGTGGGAGGATAGCTTGAGGTTAGGCGCTCAAGACCAGCCTGAATAATACAGCAAAACCCAGTTCTCCCTAAAAAAAAAAAAAAAAAGAAAAGAAAAAAAATCAGCCAGGTGTGGTAGCATACACCTGTAGTCCTATAGTCCTAGCAACTTGGGAGGCCGAGGTGGAAAGACTGCTTGAGCCCAGGAGGTTGAGGGTGCAGCGAGCTGTGTTTGCACCACTGCACTCCATGCACTCCAGCCTGGGTGACAGAGACTCTGTCTCAAAAAGAAAATACTTTCCAAAATCAAATTTAAATGTGAAAGTGCTTTGTAATGCTCTAAGTATTACCTCCCCACCACAGTGCTTCCTCAGAAATAATGAAACAGCTCATAATGGTCCCCCAGGTATGCTGGAACTAGGAACTAATATGGGTTATTTCCACAAAAGCCTAAATGGAGAGAATATTCTTCGGCAGTCTGTGATAGGGCTGACTTCATTAAGAAGGAGGGCTCTTAAAGCTACAACTCACCAGAAGAAAGCTGTTGTTATAAGATTCAGGAGGGGGACATCACGTTTTTCCCTCTGAAAACAAGCAATCTAATTTAAGGACAAATAAAGAAAAGATCACCAATCAGTTGACAAAATTGGCTTTTAAAAGTTAGGCCAAGGGTAACAGAGGCATAAATACAAACAGAATACGACAGAATCACCCTGATTCTTTGTAGATTTCTTTTCCTTTCAAGTCAGTAGCTATTTGGTGAGTATCTTCTGTGTGCCTCAAGTAGGTGGCAAGCAGCCTTCAACACTTAGCAGCCAGATCATGCATTTGCTAAATGGAAAAAATGACAAGGTCCTAAGCTTTGGCCATGCTCAGGGAACAGACCATATTGGTCTGGTTCAGATTTTCTAAAAGATTATTACGTCAATGGACTGTTTTAATTGGTGGTGGAGGTGGCCTTGGCCTTTTGCTCAGATTTCTTTTTCTCAAACTTAAATCCTTACCGCCACCTGCTGGCAGCACCAGGCTCTGCTCGTGCACACACCCACCCTCTGTGTTTAAATAACCAAAATTTAAAGAGTCTACACTGTTGTGTAACTACACGGTGTGCCTCAAACTTTAGCCAAGTGTCTACAATAGCTCTGTGCACACCCGCCTTTCTTTTGTCTGATGCTATTTATAATGAAAATAAACTTGAACAGTTCAAAATTCTAAAACAAGTATCATTCATCTTTGTTAATGACCTTGATACCAAAGATTAGGTAGTGTGGTTAGCCTCCCAACCTCATTTTGTACAGAGTTTGATTTATAGGGAAGAATAAACAGAAAGGAGAAAGCGGTTAGCCCTTCCTACTTTGTTCAGACCTCAATCCCAAGTCAGAGAAAAGGCCACCATCATCAAGAGGGTTGTTGCACAGCTTATTAGAAAAGCAGCAAGCTTATTTTCCTAATTGTCTTTGCTTTGGACTAATGTTAAATATAGTTAACACTTCCTTGCCCAGGCTGGTCTCGAACTCCTGGACTCACGCAATACTTCCTCCTCGGTCTCTCAAAGTGTTGGGATTACAGGTGTGAACCACTGCACCCAGCCTCATACTTCCTTGGCTAGTCGGATTAAACATGGTCTATGAATTGAACATCCACAGAGTATATGTATATAGGGTGGTGTGTGTGTGTATTCAAAAAAATTAGCTCAAGTTCATGAAAAGCAGAGTTCAGCAGTCCACTGACACACTTTTATGGTGTGCCAGAAATATTCAGTTCAACATTTGAGTACCTACTATGGGTTAGGCATGAGACAAGACGCTCGTCTTACAAATAGGACACAGGTTTTATTTTCAAGGAGTGCATATAACAGTATAGAGAATCACTCCAAATTTCACAAATCCCCCTTTGAAAGGCACCATCTACTCATCTCTTATGCTTCTTAGCTGGAATTACGGGTCCCACTCCGCCACTCTTAGACACCTGATTTTCAAAATTCATTAAGCATCATTAATACTTCAAACTCCATTCACACTAGAAAAGAACTTCCAATGCTAAGGAAAATCAGTGCAGGGCTCCAAATAAATTGTGAAGTGAGGTCACTTCATGTGTCAGGTTACAGGTACACAAATGCCCATAACGCAAAGGCTGGGGCCTACATCTGTCCAAGAAGCTAAAAGTTTCCTCAACAACCAGGTGTCACTAAAACCACACTTACATCCTCTTTACTTCACTTGCAGCTCATCTGCCAAATTTTATCCCTTTCTTCTTTCCGTATGAAACATGTCATGCATTTTACACATTTATAATATATATGTACAGTTCACAGAGAAAGAATAAAATGAAACTATGTGCCCACCACGCAACTTAAGAAGCAGAACACTCCCAGGGCCTTGAAGCCCCACATGCCCCTGCCCAGCTGTACCCCTCCCTCCACTCCACCTGGTAACTTACCACCATCCTTCTATCCATTTTTAAGATCCATCCCCAAACTCATTTTCTTTTGCTCTATAGCTGCAAAGTACATGTGTACTGAAACTACAACATTCTCTGTTCTCCAAGCCTGATTGATCACCCTATGCTGACCAGGAATCAGAAAAAAGAGACAGAACACCAAGAGCAGGAGCCGTGTCACACTCATCCCTGTAACCCAGCACCTAGCCCAGGCCCACTTGTTGGTGACTGCTTGTTTCATCTACACCAAGATTCGCAAAACAAAAACATAAACACTGCAAACGAATAAACAGGTATGCCTGGAGAGAGAAACAAATGTTCCTTTCCTTCCTTACCTCTGCTTCTACCTGCTGCTGAGTTCGGTTGTGGTTCTCTTTGTACTGGTTGGCTCTCAGAACTTGCTGCTCGATGCCCAGTAGAACTGCTTCACAGCCATCACACCTACAATGGAGAAAACCAGCCCTGAGCTGCAGAATGGCCTGGGAAGTCTCTTCCAGGCTCAGAAATATTCTTCCCCAACAGCTCTCCCCAGTATCTTACAGGGACCTCCTTTAATACTCCCTCTGCCACATCTCTTGCCCGTTCACTCCTTCCCAAAGACAAGCACTTCTAAATACATAATGCAGGACATTAGGAGACAAATATGGTAGTCTGGGGCTAGTTTCTTAGAATACAGCTTTAATTTTCAACTTTGTATCTCATGGAAGATGGTTTTGTAGCACATACGATTAAAGAAGGTAGGACAGGCCGGGTGCAGTGGCTCCCACCTGTAATCCCAGCTCTTTGAGAGGCCGAGGTGGGTGGATCACCAGGTCAGGAGTTCGAGACCAGCCTGGCCAACACAGTGAAACCCCATCTCTACTAAAAATACAAAAATTAGCCAGGTGTGGTGGCGGGTGCCTGTAATCCCAGCTACTTGGGAGGCTGAGGCAGGAGAATCACTTGAACCCGGGAGGCGGAGGTTGCAGTGAGCTGAGACCACGCAATTGCACTCCAGCCTGGGTGACAGAGCGAAACTCTGCCGCAAAAAAAAAAAAAAAAAAAAGAAGGTAGAATAGATTTTATAGATGGCACTGAGTAATCCTTTTCTCAACAGAAAAAAAAGATGTTCTAGGCCAGGCGCAGTGGCTCATGCCTGTAATCCCAGCACCTTGGGAGGCCGAGGCAGGCGGATCACCTGAGGTCGGGAATTCGAGACCAGCCTGACCAACATGGAGAAACCCCGTCTCTACTACAAATACAAAATTAGCCAGGCCTGGTGGCACACGCCTGTAATCCCAGCTACTAGGGAGGCTGAGGCAGGAGAATCGCTTGAACCTGGGAGGCAGAGGTTGCGGTGAGCTGAGATCGCACTATTGCACTCCAGCCTGGGCAACAAGAGCAAAACTGTCTCAAAAAACAACAAACAAAAAAAGATTTCCTAAAAGCATCCTGTTTTGAAGATTCCGCCTTTTCTCAGAAGTTTAAGTTACTTCCTAATTGCCATACCCCTCCTCCTATTTTCCCCACTATTAATTTTTTTAAAAATGAAAAAGTTGAAAGACTACAATGAATATCCCCATACCCTCCACTTAAGATCCAACAGTGTGAGCATTTTGCCATATATGTGGTAGCCCTCAGCCTATGAATTTTGTTTCAATCTACCTCCAGTGCCTAAACATGAGTTGTAAGAGTTTCTACTAGTAAACATCCCATGGTAACCAGTTAGTCTGGCACCTCTATGTCAAACATATTGGGGGCTTAAAAACAGGAAACCAGACTATGGACATAAAAAGCTGTGTCAGCCATCTCAAAAACAGAATAGGACAGCCAACTTTGGCAGGTTCAGAAACTAGATTTTGTGTGCCAGACCATTTTTGTGTTGGGGTATTTCTAAGTTTATTTCTTATTTATTCTAAGTTTTGTAAGCTATTGAAAACTTCCACTTGTGGCAGATGTTGTATAGAGAAGGTGTTTGGGGCTATATTTGGGACAGAACTTGGGGTGAGGGGTGAGCAACACATGTCCTGGGGTGTAAAAGTAGCTGAAGTGAGGGAAACTCAGGGGACATCAGGCCCCAAGGAGTCAAAGTGGCACTGCTCCTCTCTGGATATGCTTCTCTCGGGGATGAGCAGAGATTCTCTCTCCCTCCCGAACCTGTGTACAAAGCTCACCGGGTCTGCTTCATGGCTTCCAACATGCCACGTGCCTGCCTGGGAACACACTCTCCTCACCTCCAGGTATACTCTAACCCTGGCCTTCCTTCAAAACTGAGCTAAAACTTCTCCAATCAGTCCATCTGGCTTTATAAGCCCCAAATAATTTAAATCACTCCACAGTGAATCCTCGTAGAATGTGAGACAGCTCTTACAAATATCAAATTCCATTAAAACAGAGAAAACACAAATGTCCCAATGCTTTTTATATACCAGAGTATAGTTATCAGATATTCTTTGTATGAGTCTGTATTCCAAGTTAAAATGACCCACTCCTTGTCTTCCATGTCCCTCACGGTGTTTTACAAACATTAGCCCAATATGTTACTGATTTTGAACGTAAGTTCTTTTATCCGAAGAATCTTATAAACATGTTAACTTCAACAGGGATAGAAAAAATAATAAAAACAAAGAAAGAATCTTACAAACACTAGCCTTCCTGAGTTTGGTCAAACTTTGAGCGTGAGTTTGGAAAGGGCAGGACTAGCCTCACACAGCTAGGACACATAGGCTCCACCTGCTAACCCTGGGCATTTTATAGCCCACTTTTAAATAGCTCCCAGTTGCATTTAAGGAAAGAACTATTTTACAACCAAGGCACCAGGAGGCCTGAAATGACTCCTGTTATCACACAGCTGTGATCACAAATGTAGCTCCACTCTCCGGCTCACTAAGCCCCAGCTCCCAGGTAGCTACAGGCCCACCCCAAACCCTCAGCTGACACCAGGGAATCACATTTTTGCAAGGAGAGGCACAAAAGACATGCTAGATATCCCCCTCCTCCTTTTAGCCTCACCATTCATGCAGGGTCTTGACAATATTATTGATATCCTTCTTTCGGATGTCACGGCCAATGCAGAAATCCACTTCCAGCAGCTGGTTTCGCTGGTCCAGCTTGCCCTGGATGATGTCAGTGTAGACAGCCTCAATGATAAGGTCTTCTAGTTCCCGGAGATTCCGCATCTCCAGGTCTTTCAGCAACACGGAGTAGGGGATACACTGTAGATAAGGCCATGTGATCATTATAAAAACCATCTGGCAAGCATTAGCGAAAATGCAGGTATTACTCCCATAGCCAACAGCTGCCTCTAGGCTCGGGAAACGCAGGCTAGTGGTAATTATTAATAGCTAGGGCAACAAGAGGTGGATAAATGAACCATGAGACCTAGAAGACCCAACATCTAAGAAAGCAACCTCCTGGTTCTCTGCCTCCTTGGCTTCACCCAGCCTTCAGATTTCACATGCTGCAGCATACTTGTAGAGATCCTAAAAACTTGTACCAGTGGAGAGAAAGGGAACTACTGAGTATATGCCACTCTGCCACCTTCTGGAAGCTTTCAGACTTTGCTAGATCACCATAAATCTCCAACAGATCCCAGTCACTGGAAAGAGCTGGCTACTTGCCCAGCAGAGTGCAAAAACAAACAAAAAAAACTTGCAGGCCAGCATATCTACCTATAGGTGGCCAATGGGTACTGCCAGCTCAGATGTCACCCTGAAGTTTGTATCTGTTTTCTCAGACACAACCAATATGAATTCCCCAACAATAGTTCTTTATTGGGCTGTACCAACATTCTTTACTACACTTGAGAAGTCCACAATCAGTACAAGAAAAAAGGTCAGGTCCTCATTTCACAACAAAATAGGCCTCCCACCTGAAATGCTAGGCTGAGAATCAGAAATGTGCCATTAGATCAGATAAAATGATTTCAGCAACTGAAATTGCAATCCAAGAACAAAAAAACCAAGTGCAGTGGCTCACACCTGTAATCCCAACACTTTGGGAGGCTGAGATGGGAGGATCGCTTGAAGTCAGGGGGTTGAGACCAGCCTAGGCAACATGGTGAGACCCTTGTCTCAATTTAAAAAATTTTTTAAGTTAAAAAGGCCGGGCACGGTGGCTCATGCCTGTAATCCCAGCACTTTGGGAGGCCGAGGCAGGTGGATCACCTGAGGTCAGGAGTTCAAGACCAGCCTGGCCAACGTGATGAAACCCTGACTGTACTAAAAAATATAAAAATTATGGGCATGGTGGCAGGTGCCTGTAATTCCAGCTACTCGGGAGGCTGAGGCAGGAGAATCACTTGAACCCAGGAGGTGGAGGTTGCAGTAAGCCCAGGTTGCGCCACTGCACTCCAGCGCAGGCAACAGAGCAACACTCTGTCTCAAAAAAAAAAAAAAAAAATTAGCCGGGCGGGGTGGTCCACGCCTGTAATCCCAGCTACTTGGGGCTGAGTAGGGGAATCGCTCGAATCTGGGAGGCAGAGGTTGCAGTGAGCTGAGATCACACCACTGCATTCCAGCCTGGGCGACAGAGTGAGACTCCGTCTCAACAACAACAACAACAAAAAATCTAGCAAGTCCGACATAGCAAGTTTTTCCTCCAGCATGGGCATAGTTCACTGTGTACTGAGCAACAGATTAAGCTGTTAACTTGCCTTGAGATGCCTTGCTATTTGAAAAATGTATATCTTTAACAGCAGTCTCCCCTTAATATGGCAAAATGATCATGCCACATGCGGCACCACAGCATGCCAGGACTAAGACCTGCTGAGTCAATCACTTCTGGGCATACTTTTCCTGTATGGAATGGGGAGTACTTTTCTACACCATTTTATCTTTTCCTCTGTCAAGCAAATTTTATGCATTTATGATGTGACTCTCCTATGTGCAGCTGGGACTTCCTTCATTGATGTCAATGAGACAGCTGACTTGGGGTAAGGAGGAAGACAAGAGAAGGCTCAGTACCGTACCTTCATTCTTGATGCCAAGCTCACGATGGTAAGATGCTTCAGCTTGTTCTGCTGAGCTGTGCTCAGTTCTGGCAGGCTCTCCTTGTTGGCTGCTCAGTCCCACCCACCACAAAAATCAAGACACAAAATAAAATTAGGATTTCTTTTATGGAATAAGCTCACCAACTCCCCAAACCAAATCTACTACTGAATCACTATCATGACTTTGCACTTATTCATTTGACAAATATTCCTGTCTTCTTTGGAAGACTATGTACTTCCAAAGAAGAAAAGACTCAGTTTCTACAAACACAGAGTTTAGTCTCCTAAAAAGCAAACAAGCAAAATGATGTGGCAATTATCTTAATGGAGTACTATTTGTGCCCCTTGTGACATTCAATTAAATTAAACATATCTTCATCGAGCATCTGTTGTGTGCAATGCTCTGTACTGAGAAGAATCAAGGATGAACAAGATGGGCTTTGCCAGGGCTGCTGCATGGCACAACTCCAGGGCCACCAACCACCTGGAGGTGTGCAACTTCATGGCCCTGGACTTGTCCTCGGTCTTACAATCAGATGTTTCCATAGCTACAAATCCAAGGCAGAACTACCAGAAGAAAGGTACAAGCTACTAGAAGAGAGGAGGAGAGGGATGGGGAGGAGACAGGGGTAAGAGAAAGAGATGAAAGGGGAGGGGAGAGGGAAAGAGAACAGTATCATTTGGAAAGTACAGAAGATAAAAAGAAAGAATTCATGGAAGAGATGGAGTTTGAGTTGAGCCTTGAGAAAGAGGCAAAATTTCAATAATAACCATAAATGATAATAACAGCAAGGGCAGCAGCTGCAGCAGCTAACATAAATAGCAAGCTTTACATCTTGTGGATTGCATAGATCCACACGTACATACACACATCCAGTTCATCTTCACAACAACCCGCAAGACTCCAAGTGTCCTCAATTCCTTAACGATAATTCTGGATTCCAAAAAACTATATCCAAACTGATTTTTTCTTAAGCATGGTGCTGAAATTCACCTGGTGGGAATTTCTAACCTGTACGGAGACAGGCTTTTTATCCCACTTGTTTCCACATTCCTCTGGGAGTGTTACATAAAAAGGCATGCGCATCATATTACCTTTTTAAAGTCCCAAAAATTCTAAATTCTGAAACATCTAACTTCGAGGAGTGTAGGTAAGGAATAATGGGCTTGTATTGTTACTCCCACTTTACAGACGAGGAAATTGAGCTGCATAAGGTTACTTCATTTGTCAACGAACACACAACTAGTAGAAGTGGAGCCAGACTGGCTACAGGCAGTCTGCTAACAGAGTCTGTGCAATGCTGCCTCTTTAGTAAGCAAGGACAGAAAAACAGAACACATTCCCTGGAACAAAGGGAAGGTCAGAAAAAAATGTGGTGTACCAGGAACTGGCAAACTGTCCAGTCTGACAGCAGCACAAAGTAGAAGTGACCAGGGAGAAAGAAGAAGTCAGGGATATCGCAGCGAAGGCCCTGAGTATCAGGCTACAGTCATACCATTAAAAAAGGGTAGGAAAGCCAGAAAAAAATGCTTTGGGTAGAAGGTAAGTTAGTGTTTGGACATACAAATACCTCAACCTAATACTTCAGATTATAATTTAAAATGACCCAAATGCCCTGCAACAGAAAATGAGCTAAGTAGATTATGAAATATTAAAAATATTAAAAAGACTTAAAATATGGATAAATGTTTGTAAGTGGGAAGAAACAAGCAAGACATAAAACTGTATACATAGTTGTACCTATGTAATACAAAACACAAACATAAGGGGCACAAAAAAGTCCAGCATCCAAATGTCTGAGCAACATATGAGTGACATTTATTTATTTATTTGTTTGTTTGACAGAGTCTCGCTCTGTTGCCCAGGCTGGAGTACAGCGGTGCAATCTCAGCTTACTACAGTCTCTATCTCCCAGGTTCAAGCAATTCTGCTGCCTCAGCCTCCGGAGTGGCTGGGATTACAGGCGCCCACCACCACGCCGAGCTAATTTTTGTATTTTTAGTAGAGACAGGGTTTCACCATGTTGGCCAGGCTGGTGTAAAACTCCTCACCTCAAGTGATCTGCCTGCCTCGGCCTCCCAAAGTGCTGGGATTACAGGCATGAGCCACCGCGCCCAGCCTATGAGTGACTTTTAAAAAGTCTATTTTCCAAATTTTCTTCAATATGCTGGTATTATTTTGATAATATTTAAAATGTTGAAACATTCTACAGGTGGGTATTCTGCACTTCACAGCACTCCAAGAGCCCTACAAACACCAGTCCTCAAGAATCTCATCTGGAAAACAAACAAGGGCTACATTTGTGGATGAGCACACACAGGCCCCATTTGACCCACTAGAATATAAAAGGTGAGAAGGAACATTCCCTTTGTGAGGTCACCCACCGGGCACAGCAAAATGGGAGGCAGCCAGGTCAAGAAGTCTCCCCACTACCCCATGCTTTATATCTCAAACCTTGATGGTCTTCCAAACTGAGCAACATAATTAACACAAGTCTTTTGAAGGATCTTCACCAACTCACCTATGTAATCTGGGTATGTCCCATAGGCAAACAGGTTCAACAACTGCAAATAAGCAGCATTAGCTCCTTCCGCAAGCTGAAGAGGAAAAAAAAAGTTCACCACAGACCAAACTGTCTACCAATCACTGTAGTGTTCAAACAGAGGACGGGTGAGCATGTGTCAAAGATGCCATGGCTGTTTATTCTGTACTATTTGATTACTTGGCCCCTGGGGTCTCTACCAACTCTGGTTCTTCGGGAAAAAATAAACAAGATTATTAAAGCCCCAAATTTAATTTCTCTCTCTCAGGAATGTTTTACTTTCTATACAGCATGCCCAACGAACTGCTTTTCTCTCACACACACATACAAAGCATTAAGCATTGGAAGGAGTTCAAATCTTCTCAAGATTCTGTTTGCATTAAAACAAAGACTGGAGCAGCCCTATCTACATACCAGCTTGGTAGGTATGGCATGAGCCACCACCAACCCAAAGTGAACAAAGCTCAGGGTTGGTTCCAAGTTTCAGGACTACACGTGGACTATGAACCCTGGGAGAGACCAGCACATCATAAGGTATGACAGAAAGCCAGGCTGGGACAGAAAACCAGGGTATCAGTCTGCCCCAAATCAAAATGTTCATTAAAATTACTTACTCTTCACTGATGCTGATGGCAAAAAGCCATGTGTAGAAGAAAAACGAAAGAGCCACTGTTCTGCCTGGAACTTCTCTGCTGTCAATTACGTTAACTGGTTGTTGTTGTTGTTGTTGTTGTTTAAATCACAAACGTGGGCCGGGCGCGGTGGCTCACGCCTGTAATCCCAGCACTTTGGGAGGCCGAGGCGGGTGGATCATGAGGTCAGGAGATCGAGACCATCCTGGCTAACAAGGTGAAACCCCGTCTCTACTAAAAATACAAAAAATTAGCCGGGCGCGGTGGCGGGCGCCTGTAGTCCCAGCTACTTGGGAGGCTGAGGCAGGAGAATGGCGTGAACCCGGGAAGCGGAGCTTGCAGTGAGCCGAGATTGCGCCACTGCAGTCCGCAGTCCGGCCTGGGCGACAGAGCGAGACTCCGTCTCAAAAAAAAAAAAAAAAAATCACAAACGTGCTCCTGTTACCCTTCCAACTTACCAAGCCCAGTAAACTCTAAACAGGAATAGCAAGTGGTAGTCTACAGACAGCAATAGCGATACTACTCAATTTTAGCCATTAAAAAAAATAAAGCTTCCAAGAAATGCATCTATAATTTCAGATCACTGAAAGGCAACCAGCTTATTCTCAGCTCACATATGGAAAAACGCAATGTATGGGGAGATAAAGGTGGTCTGCTAAGCACCCTATGGAGAACTCCAGCACCATAATACCTCAGGCTACTTTCTCAGGTTACCACAAACCTCCTGAAGTCCCTGAATCAGAAGGGGAAGAAACCTGGTAAAGACCATCCAATCTAGCCCCCCTTTTCAGAAACATAATTAACAAAACTAGCCGGAAAAGAGCATTTTCTCCAGAGCAGATACTCCAACACTTCTCCCACTGGCCTAAATCAATAAGGTCTTTCTGACTTTACTTTCCATCCATCTCCTCTTAGCCAATCTTCCACAGTTACAAAACAACTACTTGGCATATTCATGCAGGCTGTTCATGAACCTGAAGGAACATATTACCCCTTGGTCATCTCTTGTGTTGAAAAATGAACTCAGTTTTCTGAAATTTTCTTCATAAAACTCATTTTCCACTTCTGGTAAATTAAATTTTTATTGAAAGCCTACTGTGTGTCAGGCTACGTATTCAGCTCTAAAGAAACAATGGTGAGCACTACAGACCTCCTCACAGAGTTTATAGTTCGGCAAGCAAGGCTGACATTAAATAAAAATTTACAGTGAAAAAGTAAAAGTGGCTCTTCTCATCTCTGAACATCACAGGTAGAGGAGACATAATTGGGCACCTGAAATGGCTGGACTGTAGGGAACTGCTCCAGTTTCCCCATCAAGAGGAATAGGCAGACACACAGCACCGAATCCAATAAACTGAAGGCCGGCAACTCCTTTGGTTACAACTAACTGATTCACTGAAACTCCTGTTAAAACTGACTGTGGGTGTGGAGCCAACAGCAAAGGTGTTGTGGTGGTCATGAAGGTGATAAACTGCCCAACAAAAGCAAACCACCTCCTATATGCAAATCGCCACCACCAAGAACTCCGGGGCCACTCTCAACAGCATCCAGCACATGCTCCACAAGAAGTACCATCACCCAGATCTATGCATGGCAGCTTCCACAGAGCCAGCACCAGTCTGCATAGCCAGAAGCCTGTGAGGATGAAGAGGAAGGGGACCTGCCCCACCAATCCGCCAAAAGCTCCTGAGCACCAGCCTCCACCCCACAAAACAATAAAGATGCTTACAGACTTTTCTCAATAAGTGAATAAATATAAATAAATAAAAATGTTCAAATTGGAAAGTAGAGGTTGAGAAGTATAGATTGCTTTACATCTCTTTGTTCCTTCTGTTCAATGGATCTTCTCATTTTTGAGGCACAATGACCAAAACTGGATATCCAAGGTTTTAATAACAAGCAAGCAAACAAGTAAAATGAACTATGTCCTAGCTTTTCATGTCATATCTAACACATCTAACACATTTAGCACAACACTGCCCTTTTCCTCAAGAACAATACACTCCTATTCATGTCCATCTTATGTTCAATAGCAGTATGTTTCTGCTGTGTGTCCCTGACCAATCTTCCTTATCGATATTGCACTGGAGGTTTCTGGTCCTTAAGAATGCATGAATCTACTCCTATTAAACAGCCCATGCTTACAGCACTACTTTTCTAATTTATCAGGATCAATTTGACTTTTTTACTATCTTTTAGGTTATTATTAGCAACAATCTAATTTTACCCAAGGTAAGATAAAAATACTGGATAAAAGGAGCCAAGGATATTCTCTCAATCTCTCCCTCTGCCCCACCAATTCCCATCTGTCTCACAATAGGGTACCTCACAGGTTCACAATACTTCAGCACTGAAATTCTTTGGAAACCTGGAGAATTACAGAGTCTTAGAATAAAGAGAAATTGTTTGCAAACCGTTCTTACCTCCTGCACGTTGGCCAGCTCCAGAAGTTCTCCAAAGACATACACTCCGGGAGCCTCTAAGACCTGGCTTATGAGAGCAGTGAGGGCTGAGCCACTGGTACCTTTGGCTAGTAAAATAAACTGCTCCAGGAGATTACTTGAGGGTTTCTGTTCCCCTGCCATTCTCTGGCCTTGAAATCTGTCCAAAAGAAAATTGTGTCAGTCATTCTTCCTTCTCCTTTGCAAAGTCTGTGCCTATTCAGTGCTGAATCAAACACCAGAATACTTTACTTTTATAGTGTTGATAAAGAAAAAACAGGACAAGTGCAGTGGCTCATGCCTGTAATCCCAGCACTTTGGGAGGCTGAGGCGGGTGGATCACCTGAGGTGAGGAGTTCGAGACCAGTATGGGCAACATGGCAAAACCCCATCTCTACTAAAAATACAAAAATTAGCTAGGCTGGTGGCAGATACCTGTAGTCCCAGTTACTTGGGAGGCTGTGGCACAAGAATTGCTTGAACCCAGGAGGTGGAGGTTGCAGTGAGCCAAGATTGTGCCACTGCACTCCAGCCTGGGCAACAGAGCGAGACTGTCTCAAAAAAAAAAAAAAAAAAAACAGTTCCTGAGTCCAGATGCAATGACCACCTTATGAGATGGGTGGAGTTCAACCTGGAGTTAAAAGGATCTTGTCCTAAATTCTGGTGTTTGAAACACACTTTGTAAAAGTCATTTCACTTCCACCTGTCCCTCCTCCAGAGGCAACACCTTCTAAGTCCTTAAACCTGACCAGGACCTAAAGAAAAACACATGAGTTTCTCAGCAGCTGTTTTATATCCACCTCGTTTATACATTCTGGTTAAGAAATGGAGGATACTGCCTATACACAGAGGCACCGGATGTAAGCAAAAGCAATCAGTTACAGCTCCCACTGTGTCATCAGAATCCAATCTACAGCCAGACAGATAAGGAAAACAAAAAACCAGACAAGAAAGATGTCTCATTTAATCAAGTCAAGTAAGCACAGATAAAGGGAGACATCATTTTGAAAGAAAAGTAGCGATATATTCAAACTAAGAACATACATGCTGTGTAAGACCATGGGGAAAAATCCCTGTATTCGGCCTCCTCCTGATACGACATTTTAACCAAACGTGACTTCAGAATGTGTAAAAAAAAAAAAACCTCAAGAAAACGATAAAAAGATTTGGGAAAACAGTGAAAATATTGTATCAGCGCTCCGAAGACATTAAGTACAGGAGGGTCCCTCAATTGTGTAATCTAATTACACGCTGAGTGTACAGGAGTTCCAGGTAAGATTTCTCCTCCAAGAATGATACATATTAGAGCAGCGTGACAAAATGAACGAAAAACGGTATAGTAGAGTGCAGCAAAGAACAATTTGAAGAATAGTTTGGTGCAAGAGGAACTAAGTTTTGTGTTGGCAGGCACACAGATTAGTTGCCCTTTCACAGTATTAGAGAAACAAGTATGTCGCCTCACTTAGGGTTACCTAAGAAGGTCCGGCCAGACACAGGAAAAACAATGAAGTGCTGGGGAACAACGAGTTTGAGGACGGAAGGGAAAGGGAAAAGAGAAGGGGAGAGGATACGAGGAAGAAGGAAAGGAGTAGGGAAGAAAGGAGGGTCGGTGACGGTAAAGAGGGAAGGAGCGAAAAGGCCCTTCCAAGAGGACCCGTGTGAAGAGACAGATGGGGATCTCTGCAAAGAGTCCCAATGTTAGGAGGTGGGGGTGGAGAGGGGGTAGGGAAATGGAGAGAAACTTCTGTCCCTTCAAAAAATCTCGGCTTAAGGAGCAAAGCCTGTGGGCGCAGAGAATGTAAAGAGACGGAGACAGTCGCTTTCTTCTGGAGTGGGAGGGCCAGAGGCTAGGCACAGAGCGGAGATAAATTCCCGTCAGGGGAGGGCGCTATTTGGATGGACTGGAGAGGGGCAAACGAGCAGCCTTTGGGGATGGGAGAGCGAAAGCAGCCACAGCACTGAAGCTGAGGGTCGCAAGCTGCAGCAGACCTCACGGTGGGCGGTATGCTCCAAGCAGGGCCGCAGGCGTGGAGTGAGGAGCCGCGGGACGCGCTCCCCAAGGCGGGGGCGGGGCGGGCACGGCCGCGGGCTTCCTTGGCGGCGGGCTCTAAGCCGGATCGTCTGGCCGAGCCTGGAGCGCCGGCCCCGCTCGGCCCACCCTCTCGCTAGCTCCTACCTGTCCACGCCACCTCTCGGTCCTCTTAGTCGCTGGCTCGGCCTCCCGGCGCCTGCCCGCAGGTTGTCAAGCGTCCATGATCACCCCGGCGTCCGGCGCTTTTCTGTCTCCGCCGACCCGTCGCCCGTGCAGCTCCCCCGGAAGCCTCCCACCGCTGCACTCGCGTTCCGCCCACACAAGGTTCCACCCGCCGCGTTTACAGCCTTCGACCTCCGGTGGGGAAGTGGGAGCGAGGGGGCGGGGAAGAGTCTGCAGCCCGGGAACCAGGCGGGGAGGGGGTGGCTAGGGGCCCAAGGAGAGGAATGCGGCCTAGACGGTACTGCAGCCCAACCGTCGCCATCGCCATCCCGGGCCCCAAATCCTCCCCTTAGGCTGTGCTTTCTCTCTCAGGAGCTCCCCATGGCTACTGCGCTACCCCTGGGCACCGAGATACATTAAGCCTACTAACTACCACTTATTGAGCGTTTTACCATGTGCCAGGTGCTGTACATGCATTATCTCGTTGAATTCTCATAACTGTGGCTTGTATTATTGTTCCCATTTTTCAGGTGAGTTAACTAAGTCCAAAAGTCAGAAAGTGACAAAGCTTGCTATCTTTGTCAAACCCAGGCTATCTGAGGCCGAAGACGATGTTCTTGACCTCTATTCAGAAAATGTTTTAAAATAAGCAAGAGATGGGTTAAGCCAACAATGGTTCTATGACCAAAATGTCATTGATAGAGTTGCATCTGGTGCTTACCAACTCCCCTGGGAAGATGGCTAAGAAATGCCACATAATTGAACACTTAAACTGATTCCTGTATACACCACAGTCTTTCAGGTCTTGAAAATGAGAGAGAAAAACAGCCCTATTTGCCTATCGTGCGTTAGAATGCAGAAATGAGACAGGACAAATGCAAAGGAGCCTAGCATCAACCAACTCATTCATTTATTCAAAAACATTTCTTTAGCACCTATTATGTCCTGAAAAGTTATATGAAGATAAAACAAAGCTCTTACCCTCAAAAGCTCCAATGTGTTAAATGCTATGGGGAAGATATGACAACACTTTGGAAGCACAGAAGAGGTTGGGGAAGAAAAAAACAGACAAAAAGGGGAAAAAAGGGGGGTAGTGCCCATTGTCACAGAGGCTCGCACTGTGCAGCATATACTGATGTCAAAAAGAAACCCAGAGTGGTTTGACCCCAGGGTTTTCAAGAGTGAGAAATGAGGGGTACAGAGCTGGAGTCAGGTCATCAAAGGTCTTGGAATCCACATGCCAGGTACTGGGGAATTACTTAGGCTTTTTAAGCTAAGGAGAGGTATGAATAATTGCCTTGTTAGAGTGATCATGCTAGGTGCTATAGGAGTGGATTGGATGTGGAGAGAATTGGAGGCAGGGAAAACCTCCGGTGAGGTGACCGATTTATTCTAGATAAGAGATTGTGTTGCCGGGCGCGGTGGCTCACGCCTGTAATCCCAGCACTTTGGGAGGCCAAGGTGGGCAGATCACCTGAGGTCAGGAGTTCGAGACCGGCCTGGGCCACATGGCAAAACTCTGTCTCTACTAAAAATACAAAAATTAGCTGGGCATGGTGATGCACTACTAATCTCAGCTACTCTGGAGGCTGAGGCATGAGAATCGCTTGAACCCAGGAGGTGGAGGTTGCAGTGAGCCGAAATTGCGCCACTGCATTCCAGCCTGGGCAACAGACTGAGACTGCATCTCAAAAATACAAACAAAAACAAAGGTAGTGGCAATTGGGGATGAAAAAGAAGGGACACTGTTGGAGACATTTAGACTATAGAATCTATAAGACTTGGTGACCAGTTGAATATAAGGAGAGGGAGGGAGCATAACACCCAGGATTCTGCGCTGGGAGGCCAGAGCTGTCTAGAGCTAGTGTTAAGTGAACAGGGCTATGGAAGAGGAGGGACAAATATGAGAGTGAGAGGAAGACAAGTGAGTTTAGTGTGACTTCATAGAAATTCCAGCAATGCCTCTACTTCCTCTAGAACAATGTCCAGACTCCATGGCTGCAATTTGGATTTAGTATTTTGGTTTTTTTTTCCCTTAAGAGACAGAGTCTTACTCTGTCACCGCGGCTGGAGTGCAGTGGCACTATCATAGCTCACCTCAGCCTTGAACTTCTGGGCTCAAGGGATCCTACCACCTCCACCTCCCAAGTAGCTAGGACTAGAGGTGCGTGCCACCACACCCGGCAAATTTATTCCTTTTTTTTTTTTTAAAGATGGGGTCTCACTATGTTGCTCAAGCTGGTCTTCCCTGATCTCAAGTGATCCTCCCACCTTGGCTCCCAGAGTGCTGAGATTACAGGCGTGAGCCACCACGCCCAGGCAGTGGCTGCACTGAAAGCCCTTCAAAGTGTGCCTCCCTCCTAACTCCAGCTTTGTCGCACCCCACCCCCTCCCCCTTCTCAGTCCAAACTCCCATGCCCGGCACAACTTACACCCTCCCTCTCAGACACCACACCTATGCTCAAGCTTGCTCTTTTTTGGAATGCTCTTCTATCAGCCTGTAAAAAACCTGCCAACTCTAAAAGCAAAGATTTCTGAAATCCAATGCAAAAAACACTAACCATAATAAAAAGCACGGAACTATTGCACTGTGTTAAAATTAAGAATTTCTGCTTGTCAGATGCAGTGGAGTACACCTATAGTCTTACTATAGCTACTTGCGAGGCAGAGGCAGGAGGATCACTTGATCCCAGGAGTTCGAGGTTGCAGTGGGCAATGCTGGTGCCTGTGAATAGCCACTGCATTCCAGCCTGGGCAACACAGCAGAGACCCCATCCCTCAAAAATATAATTTGTTTCAAAAGACACCAGTAAGAGAGTGAAAAGACAAGCCATGCCTTGGAAAAGATATCTGCAAAGCATATATCAAAGAACTCCATATCCAGACTGTAAAGAACTACAAATCAATAAGAAGACAGCCCAATTTTTAAAAGTTGGGAAAAGAACAGGCACTTCACGAAAGAGGACGTTCAACTAGCCAACAAGCACATTGAAAGGTGCTCAACATCAGGAAAAATGCAAATAAATACCTTAATGAGATACCACATTCAGCCAGAACGGCTACAATTAAGAAGACTGACAACAAAACTCTTGTGTTGACAAGGATAAGAGGCACCTAGAACTCTCTCATATTGCTGGCAAAGGCGTAAATTGGTACAATCATTTTGAAAAACTGGCAATGTCTACTATCACTGATCATGTGCATACCCTCCCTACACACTAGCAATTCCTCTCCTAGAAATGTGTGCAAGTGTCTACAAAAAGAAACATGTAAGAATGCTCACTACGGCTTTGCTAATAATAGTCCAAAAAATAACAACCCAAATGCCCGCCAACAGTGGAAAAGATAAATTGTGGTATAAACATACAACAGAATACTATTCAGCAATTAAAAGGCTACACACAACATGGATGAATTTCACAAAAATACTGATAAAGTAAAAAAGCCAGACACATACTGTACATACTGTATTATTATATTTAACTGGAATTCAAGAACAGAGAAAACTGATCTATGGTGATACAGTCAGAAGAGTGATTATCTCAATATGTAAGGATGTAATACTGATTGGGAGGGAGCACTAAGTGTGCTAGAAATGTTCTATATCTTGATTTGGGTAGTGGCGACAGGGGTGTATACCTATGTGAAAATTGTTCCCATACTGTATGTTACACCTCATTAACAAAAAAAAAACTTTTTTAACATGGAAAAAAAATTCAAGTTCAAATGCCACCTTGTCCATTAAAGTTTTGCCAGCTGCAATGAACCTTTTCATCAGGGCCTCCTTAGCATTCTGATGTCATTTCTTTATGCCATTTTATCACACTCCATCTTGAATCTCAGTGGAGTCTCCTTATTTCCCTAAATATATGTTCATCTTCCTGGTGGCAGTGACCATGTCCTTCACCTTTTACCCACTCAGTGCCTGACAAATAACAGGCTGAAAAGATATTTGTTGAATTACATGGAAGAAAAAATTGGGTGAGTTCCCAGATGGGTGAAAGTGGGGACAGGCAGAGGAAGGAAGGCCAAGAGAAGGACAGAGGAGGTTTCCAAGGAAACCGTGGCTCACACTGTAATTTTACCTACTTCCTGAAATCACATTAAATGTCACCTTGAGTGGCAAAAAACAAAACACCAAATCCTACCTAGGCTGAAAATAAATAAATATCACACTCCCTCACTCGCAAGAAATCCACCAAATAAATGCTACCTAATTCTGGGTGTTTCAACAGTGGATAGGAAAACCGTTCAAGGAGAATAATTCACATTGCCATGCTGCTAAAAATATCACCTCCTTAGTGTGGTGCAAAGAGTCCAGACTGCAAGTCAGCCGACTTAGGGCTGAATTCTAACTCTGCCCGAACTTGCTGTGATCTGTGGCCAATCCCTTCGCCTCTCTGGGCCTCAATTTCCTCATACGTAACAACAGGGGATAGATTAGCAAAGTCCCTTTATGTTTTGATATTCTGAGTATACAATCCATAGCTCTCCCGGTGCAAACCAGGAATACAGCAAAAAACCCTGAAATACATGTAAAAGGCGCCTCAGACCAACAAACAAGCACGATTTGAAGAAGTCATTTTGTTCTCTTTCACGGTTTAATCAGTGTTTTTGTTTGTTGTTTGCAGCCTTACCATGATTTGCAGATGTCTGAGTTCCATGTAAACAGAAGTTAACTCTCTGCGGGCTGTCATCTTCTTTTGAGGGTGAGAAGGGTCTTCCCGTTGGGTTTCAAGTCTCGGGATTCCGAAACGACCAACTCAGCGGGCGGGTTTGTGAATTTGCGCACACTGCGCGGCACACTGGAGTCTAAGTTACAGAGGAACCGAGTGCAGGGGATGCTGGGATTTGTAGTCCCCGGGCCTCTTTGTGGTGCGCTGGGATCTGTGGTCCCCCGAGTGCGCCGCTGGAATGCTGGGAAATGTAGTCTCTGTCGCGTCGCACAGTGCAACTCAGCTGCCGTCTCAGACGGCTAGTGTGCTCAGTGGCTGGAGCAGGTCCCTAAAGCCTCTGCAGATCCGAAGCCAACCCTCCGCTGGGACAAACTCTAGGCAACAACACCAGATGAATATTGTGTCCTATGGGACTTCCCGGGGAGGGCCCTTCCCATTGACGTTAACAGTCCCCCTGCGAAGCCGCTGCGCGCTCCTACTGGCTGGTTGAGATGCCAATCGCCAAGGCTGGCTTTCCATTGGTTCCAGGAGGGCACTGCGAGGCTAGGGGGAAGGAGAAGGGATCAGAAGCGGGAGCTGAGGGGAGAGAGAGGCCGGTCCTGGTCTGGCCGCTGCGGCTGCTAGCCCGAGGTCTCCAAGCCGGGCTGCGGCTCCATCCTCGGCTCCTGGGCACCGTCTGCGAGGCTCCGCCGACCAGAGTGAGAAAGCCGCGGGCGGCGACCGCCGCATCATGTCAGCCAAGGACGAGCGGGCCAGGGAGATCCTGAGGGGCTTCAAACTGTATCCGTCCGGGAGCGGGGCGGGGCCGGGAGGACTTGGGAGGCGGCCGCTCACTGAGGAGACTGGCCGGGGGCGGGGGCCGCGCCAGGTGGGCCCCACAGAAGAAGGGCCGCGGGAGGGGAGAGGAAAGGAACAGCGTGCCGAGCACCCGGCGGGACCCGGCGCGAGAGGCGCCCCAAGGGGCGTCCTGAGGGAGGAAGGGGACGTTGACGGGAGCGCCGGGGGGTGGCGGGTGGAGACGGGGGAGCCTGGGGGACGGGGCTGCGAGAGGTGCCGGGCGTCGGAAACGCTGTCGGAGAAGCCGGCTGGGTTCCGATCCCCGGCCGGGACCCAGAGGCCGGGATGGGGCTGCGGCCCGCGGAGAAGGGCTGAGGGGGCGCGGTGGGCTGATCTCGAAGCCTAGAAGCCTCTTTGGCTATAAGCCTACCCGGGGAGCGGGGAACAGTGACTTGGAGCGGGCGACCTTGTGTGGGACAAATACCAGTGCTTTTAAAACTCTCTCAGGTCCCCCACCGCACCGCACCGCACCCCACCCCCGTCTGGTTTCCACAACTTCTCTTCCAAACTTGTGGCTTCTTCCAGGACTGGAGTAGTTGGGGGAGGTGGGGAAAGAGAAGTCCAAGATCGACCTCGTCTTAACACTCTTGGCCTTCTCAGGCATTGGTCACTGCTTCCCCCTCAGCGCCTCAGTTTTCTTTCCAGCAAGATGAGGACCATAGGCTTAGGTGTGGGGTGCCTCGCGCTGGGACTCCTAGCCGAGGTGTCTTTGCTCGCTCCTGTCGGTGCGGTTATGCCTAGCTGTGGTGGAGCTGTCCAGCAATGGTGTGATGTCGCTGGGGCCACGGTAGGATAGAGTGGGGTAGAGAAATCATTGCCTCGGGCCTGTTGTGGTGCCCCTTTTGCATCCTCTCCGTAAGGAAGCTTTGTGTTTTCGTGGAGTGTGTTAGTCTGTCACCATATGATGCAGATGAAAAAATGCAAACTTGGATATTCAAATTTTCCATTCTCCTGCCAACTTTAATCTCTTCATGCATCCTATCTGTAATCTATAGTACGAACGTTCTTAAATTGCTCCCTCAGTGAAAAGGTAGTCACCACTTCAGGGCTCCTCCCTTGGAGGTTTAGTAAAGCACTGTTTTCTTGGTATTCTGTTGCGTTTTCACAATGTCCATGTCACGCTTGCAAATTTAATTGCTTTGCTATAATCAGAAACCAAGTTGGTAATACATTTTAGACCACAGTGCAAAAAGGAAGTTTTGGATGTACAAGTGAGATTTTTCGAATGGAAATTGATCTATGCTTTTTAAAAAAACTAAAGGCTGTATCACCTTTGCATACTACCATCTGTGATAAACTTTCAGTACTTTCATGTTTTGGTTTAGTAGCAGCCTCTTTTATAGCTCCATGTGCCTTTCTGTGTTTCTCTCCATAATGGATCAAATAGGTATATAGGGATGACTGAAGTGCTGGAAAAGCTATGACATGGATTTTATTTTTCCCTCAAATAATTTATACTATTAACATCTAACAATGTAATAATATTGCTACTTAACATGCTTTGTAGACAGTAAACCGGAAACTGGAGAATTGAGAGATTTCAGAAGCAACGTTTTCATCTGATTGGAAATACCGTATTGCTGAAAAGAAGAAAGGCCTTTTTAATGGCTTTTGAACAAAGCAGAAAAGTTTGAGCTTCTCACCTTCAGTCTTAGCTCTTGAACCTGTTGAGAAAGAGGATAAGAGACAAATACGGAAAAGAGTTTCAGAAAGCAGAATCTGTGTCAGCCCACTGGAAGGAAAAGCGAATCAACCGATTCAGTGATGTTAGTGCATCCAGAAACAGGCTTTTGGGAAAAGCTTGACCTGAGCTGATTAAATCCTGAAGCACAAGGGAAGCAGCCACATCAAAAAGTTAGCATGAGAGCAGTGGCGTGCTCATCCTCTGGTAGCCTTTACTGGGCATTTGTGGAGTAAGAGAGAAAAGAAAAGCAGGAATGTTAAGATATGCTACTACCTTCAGGAAAAAGTAAAATTAATGTTTTAGTAAGAAACTGACTATTGTCCACCTTTTATTGGGTAAATAGATTTTCTGAACTTTCTTTCAGAGTATCTGTTTCTGTAAGAATAGTTTATCACTGCAAAAAGAGCACCATTATGTTCTCCCACCAGCAGTGTTGATAGTACTCAGTTTTCCACGTTGACTAGGTCAGTCTTTTTTATTTGCCAGTTTGGATAACAAATGATACATTGTTTTAATTGGTATTCTTCTGGATCCCTAGATCCATGAAAAGGTAATGTAGCATAGTGGTTAAGAGCTATACTGGACTATGTCTCTATACTGCCTGCATTGGAATTCCAGCCCTGCGCTCCTAGTTGTGTGTCCCTGAGCAACTGCTTTAACCTCACCTCAATTTTCTTATCTGTAAGATGGGGAAAATAATAGTACCTATCTCATGGGGCTGTAAGAGTAAATGAGTTGATATCTAAAGCATTTAGAAAAGCACCTGATCCACAGTGAGCATTATGCTTTAGCCAGTGTTATTCTTGTTATTATTAGAGAAGTTGCACATCTCTTCTATTTGGCCATTTCTTTTTCTTCTGTAAATTGTTTGTTAATTTTGTTTTTGCCCATTTTACTATTGTTTATTTTTCTTATTTGTAGATGTTCTTTACATATTGTAATATCAATCCTTTGCCTATTATGTATTTTGCAAATATTTTCTTTCAATGTATTGTCTCCTTTTTTGTTGAACAGAATTTTTAAATTGTCATTTCAAATTTATTTTATTTCATTTGTTTGAGACGGAGTCTTGGTCTGTTGCCCAAGTTGGAATGCAGTGGCGCAATCTTGGCTCACTGCAACCTCCGCCTCCCAGGTTCAAGCAATTCTCCTGCCTCAGCCTCCTGAGTAGCTGGGATTACAGGTGCATGCCACCATGCCCAGCTAATTTTTGTATTTTTAATAGAGATGGGGTTTCACCATGTTGGCCAAGCTGTTCTCAAACACCTGACCTCATGATCTGCCTGCCTCTGCCTCCCAAAGTGCTGGGATTACAGGCATGAGCCACCGTGCCTGGCCTCAAATTTATTAATATTTGCCATCTGGCTTTTGCATTTTGTATCTTGTTTAAAAAGATCTTTCTTATCCCAAGATTAACTAAATATCCTATCTTTTCTTCTCTTTTCAATGTTTAGCTCTTTAATCCACCTGGAACGTATTTACACATTTGGTATGTGGTAGACATCTAAGTACTTCTGCTGTTTGGATAGCCAATAGTTCCAGTACTATTTACTAAGTAGTTAGTCCATCTTTTCCTCACTGTTTTGAAATGCCATCCTTGTCATATACTAAATTTTCATAAGACATAGGTTTTTTTTTGGATTATTTCTGTTTCATTGATCTATTTGTCTCTTCTTGTACCTATACACATTTGATTGAATTATTATAGCTTTATAATATGATTTAGTATAGTTTACAATAGAATGGTCTGTGACTAACATAATATGTGTGTTTAAGGTCCCTACAAATATGTGCCCCTTTTGTTCACATGGAAGCTTGCCCATATGCCCATAGTAGATAGAAACATGAGGACTTGGCTGGGCATGGTGACTCACACCTGTAATCCCAGCACTTTGGGAGGCCTAGGTGGGAGGATTGCTCAAGGCCAGGAGTTCAAGACCAACCTGGCCAACATAGCGAGACCCCCAACTCTAAAAAAAAAAAATTTAAAGATACTGCATAAAAGTGAATACTGTATGCATAAATTAGGCATGGTCTGAGTGAATTCAGTAGAAGCTTTGTATTTGCCATCAGTTGTTTCAAAAACAAAATCTTATAAGATTTTATTCTTGTATCACCTTCACCCCATCTCACCCTACCTCTTTCAGAGTATCTGTTTTTGTGAGAAGAGTTTATCACTACAAAAAGAGCACCATTATGATCTCCTGCCAACAGTGTTGATAGTACTCAGTTTTCCACGTTGACTAGGTCAATCTTTTTTATTTTTGCCAGTTTGGACAACACATTGTTTCGATTTGTATTTTCCTGGATCCCTAGATCCATACAAGGTAATATAGCATAGTGGTTAAGAGCTATACTGGACTGTGGCGCTATACTACCTCTCAAGAAATGCAAGGCTCTCATACACATTAAGAACCTTGCATTTCTTTCTTGTTTGTTAAAAGCATAACATTTCCTAATTGTAAATTAATGTTATGAATGAAATGTTACTTGGGGAACAATATGATTCTCCTGCAAATATTTTGGATTTGATTATTTTAAGCAGCTGACATAGAGATTGATGTTTGTAAATCCCACGTTTCCCATTTCGTTCCTTCAACAAAGGTCTGTTGGGTGACTATTATGTATAGGGCACTCTACACTTGAAGGATACAAAAATGAATAACTTACAGTCCCTTCTTTCCAGAAGCTTAACCAGCTTTATGTCTGTTTAGAAGGAATATCTTCAAAAGCAATGCATTTTTTAAAATTCTATTTAATTTTCCTATTACAAACGCCAGCCACCTAGAGTGACCTTTGTAAATATTATTTAATATAGCCTTCTAATGTAGCTAATGTTTAATGTGTTTTTTATAAAAATGGAATTGTAAATATCACTTTGTAACTTACTTTGTTCACTTAATAATAGATTTACCATGTTTATGATTTCCAAAGATAGTTACTTTCAGTTGCTTTCACTGACAGATTTGTCACAGTACTCTTTTTTTTTTTTTTTTTTTTTTGAGACGGAGTCTTGCTCTTGTCACCCCGGCTGGAGTGCAGTGATGTGATCTCAACTCACTGCAACCTCTACCTCCGGAGTTCAAGCGATTCTCCTGCCTCAGCCTCCCAAGTAGCTGGGATTACAGGCACCTGCCACCACGCCCGGCTAATTTTTGTATTTTTAGTAGAGAGGGGGTTTCGCCATGTTGGCCAGGCTGGTCTCGAACTCCTGACCTCAGGCCTCCCAAAGTGCTGGGATTACAGGCGTGAGCCACTGCACCTAGCATTTGTCACAGTACTCTTATACTAGCTTTCTAGTATAGTCTGTATCTACTGTTTTGCCTATTTGAATAGCTTTTTCATCAACATAAAAATATAACTTTATTAAATTAACAAGAAACTGACAGACTTCCATAAGAATGAATTATGCTTTTATGATTTCATTATCTTTAATCCATCTGAATTTTCTTTGGTATAAGATACAGAGTAGTAATGTAGCTTTTTTTTAATATTGGCTTATTGTCTCCATTTATTTATTTAATTCATTTATACGTCAGATATTATAATATCCAGAATATAAATGGCTGCCTACAAATCAATAGGATAAGCATTTAACTCAAAGTGGACAAAGGATATGAACAAGCAGTTCCTAGAAGAAAAAGCAGATGACCAATGAATAAATGAGGACATGCTCAACCTTGTTAAAATAATAGACTATCTTCCGGGTGCAGGGGCTCATGCCTGTAATCCCAGCACTTTGGGAGGCCAAGGTGGGTGGATTGCTTGAGCCTAGAAGTTTGAGACCAGCCTAGGCAACATGGCAAGACCCCGCCTCTACAAAAAAAAAAAAAAAACACACACAAAAATTAGCCAGGTGTGGTGGTGCATGCTTGTGGTCCCAGCTACTGGGAGGCTGAGGTGAGGGGATCACCTGAGCCTGGGAGGTGGAGGTCGCAGTGAGCCAAGACTGTGCCCCACTGCATTCCAACCAGGGTAACAGAGTGAGACCCTGTCAATAATAATAATAATGGACTATCTCTTCCCAATTAATTGACACAGATTTAAAAGATTGATAATATATATGTATATCCTGAAAGTGGCACTGTACGAAAATAAAATTAAAAATTAGGCCAGGCACAGTGGTTCACGCCTGTAATCCCAACACTTTGGGAGACCAAGGTGGGCAGATCACTTGAGGCCAAGAGTTTGAGACCAGCCTGCCCAACATAGCAAAACTCCCTCTCTATTAAAAATACAAAAAATTAGCCAAACTTGGTGGCACACGCCTGTAATCCCAGCTGCTCAAGAGGCAGAGGCAGGACAATTGCTTGAACCCAGGAGGCAGAGGTTGCAGTGAGCTGAGATCACACCACTGCACTCCAGCCTGGGCTACAGAGTGAGACTCTGTCTCAAAAAAAATAAAAATAAAAATTTATTAAAAAAAAAAAAGATGCCAGGCACAGTGGCTCATGCCTGTAATGCCAGCACTTTGGGAGGCCAAGGTGGGCGGATTACTTGAGGTCAGGGATTCGAGGCCAGCCTGGCCAACATGGTGAAACCCCGTCTCTACTAAAAATACAAAAATTAGCTGGGCATGGTGTGGACAGCTGTAATCCCAGCTATTATTAGGGTGCCTGAGGCAGAAGAATCACTTGAACCTGGGAGGCCAAGGTTGCAATGAGCCGAGATTGCACCACTGCACTCCAGCCTGGGTGACAGAGAGAGACTCAGTCTCAAAAAAAAAAAAAGATAATATTCAGTGTTCACAACATTGAGGGAAAGGGGCACTCTCATTTGGTTTATGTGTGTGTGTGTAGTGTCTGTAGAAAGTAATTGGTATCTATCAAATGTTTACACATTACTGCAGTAGAGTATATAGCACAGTGGTTGAGAGTATGGGCTCACTTCCAAGGTTTAGACTTACTGCCTCTGCTATTGTGACTCTCAACAGAACACTCAGACTCTGAGCCTCAGCATCTGTATCTCATATTATCAGAGGGTTGTTTTGAGAATTAAATGAAACTGCATAAAAGATGTTTGGTTCAGGGCCTGGCATATAGTAATATCTGCTGCCATTCATTTTATTAATAATTACTAATAATAATGACAGGCCAGGTATAGTGGTTCATGCCTGTAATCCCAGCTCTTTGGGAGGCCGAGGTGGGTGGATCACCTGAGTTTGGGCATTCAAGACCAGCCTGGCCAACATGGTGAAATCCCGTCTCTACTAAAAATACAAAATTAGTCAGGCGTAGTGGTGTGCACCTGTAATCCCAGCTACTCGGGAGGCTGAGGCAGGAGAATTGCTTGAACCCAGGAGGTGGAGGTTGCAGTGAGCCGAGATCACGCCAGTGCACTCCAGCCTGGGTAACAGAGTGAGACTCCATCTCAATAATAATAATAATAATAATGACAATAGTGTTAATATGATTGTAAAGCTACTTATTTCTCTGAGATATAACTAATGCCTTCATTCTAGTTATATTTTCTTACTGAAAAACTATCGTATTTCCATTTTGCCTCTGAATAAATGATTCAATAAGCATTGATATATACCTCATGTTTATCTTGTCTAGAAAATGAATCTCATTCTAATTTATGGCAGGTTAGCAAAAAGAGTTTGGGCTCAGAAGGTTTCTGAAAGCATCTTTCACTTGTTTTCTTACATTTCTTCTCCCATAGTTTGGTCCTGGAATCCCTGTATCTTCTTTCTCATAGTACCTTAATCCTTGACTTTGCTTCCAATCAAAAAACAGTTGGCTTTACATCTTCTATTTACTCACTTAGAATAAAGAATAAGAATAGTAGACATATTAAGAAAAGTCGACTGTAGAACTTCTCTTGAAAGTCAGTATTCCCTGGTACAGTTGCCTTGGCCAAATGTTAAAAATGAATTTGAGGTTTATTATTTCCCATAATATAGGTTTTGTCTGACAACCCAAAGTCTTGGAAAGCAACCAGACATACCACTCATAAAGCCCAGTTTCATGTAGATTGTGATTGGTAGCTTGTTTCCTCATGCATGGACTCTTGAGAGTTTGTATTGTTATCCTGAATGGATTAAATGAATATAATGTCCTATTGATTATCTTAGGATTCTTTTTTTCTTTTCTGCGACAGGGTCTCATTGTCATCCAGGCTGGTGCTATCATAGCTTACTGCAGCCTTGACCTCCCAGGCTCAGATGATCCTCTGCCTCACCCTCCTGAGTGCCTGGGTGCACAGGTGTGCACCACTATACCCAGCTAATTTTCGTATTTTTTCTTTGTAGAGAAACGGTTTCACTATGTTGCCCAGGCTGGTCTTGAACTTCTGGGCTCAAGTGATTTGCCCACCTTGGCTTCCCAAAGTGCTAGGATTACAGACGTGAGCCACCACGCCCGGCCTTACTTAGGATTCTTAAACAGGCATTCCTGCTTTTGTTTTTTGGAAGGAATTTAGTGTATAATTAGATATTTATAGTCTTCTACTGACTTTCTAAGTTTCTTGCCAGGGTTGTGTATATGGTTTATAATGAAACATTACAGTAACTTCTGGAGAAATGGGACAGAACACGGTAAAACTGTCATGGAGAATTCCAGTTGTATCACCACTACATTTGATAAAGGACTAGCAATGGTTCTGAGGCTTGGAAGCTCTAGGTTCTTACTAGGGTTGACCTCAGTTTTGCCTCCCAGGCCTCACTTGTCAGCATTCTGCATCCACAAATCCTCGTGTTATGAGAGGATTTGACTTATAGACCTATCCCTCTCTATTCCTGAGCTAAAGCCTAGCATCATAGGAAGGAATTTTAAGGCCATCTTCTCCAGCAGCCTGACTATTCTAATAATTGCTTGAATGCGTAAAACTCAAATTGTCAAAGTTCTGAGAGCAGCATTCTTTTTTGCTTTTGACCTGCTTATAATTTTGGAGCTGGGAAGAAAAGCAAATATATTTCTTACAGTCCAATATCCACAAAGATTTCAATGGATTGGACTAAAGCTTACTGTTTATGGCAAAGAAGGCGATGGTCTCACCGTAGGACACATGAAAGCTTGTTTAGTCTACTGCAAAGGGAGGCAGGGGAAAGTGGAGCTGGTATAAAGGTGGGCCACTTGAAACATGGCATACATTCAATAATGGGGGAACTGAAGGGAGTTTAACCTAAAGATGAAAAGAGTTGGACAAGAGATATGAGTATTCTCTTCTAAAGTTAAAAAAAAAAAACAACTGTTCTAAAGAGGAAGAATTAAATGTTGCTGTGTAGCTCTCAGAGGAAGTACAAGATTTGCGGGGTAGAAATTACAGGTGACAGAGTTTAGGCCAGTTTCTAACAATTAGTAGAATTACCTGAAAAAAGACATTTTCCAGAAAGTGTTTTAAGCAGCAGATAGATGCCTGTCTGTCAAGAGTGTTGCAGAGGGAAATTTTGTATGTATCAAATGTGTATTACAGTAGATGATCTACAGAAATACTCAAATCCTTTTCCAGCACTACAATTCTTTGATTTGGTGACAGCCTTTCTTACTTAACAAGTACTTTTTTTGGCAAATGTTTATATTGAGATATGTTCTACACCTAAAATCGGCAAAAAGTTTTTTTGTGACCCAATTGTTTCCTTTTTGTTTCTGACACAACTCTGAGACACTCAGTATTGAAGTGTTTGGTTTAGTGCATTGTGGATACAACTGATTCAGAGTCAAGGAGAGCAATTATTGCCTCTGAATTTAGATAACATTTAGAGAATGAAACATAAATAGCTGTAATATAAATTAGCACTGTAAATATAGCCACAAGAAGAAACAGCATGGTCTAGTAATATCTCATAATTCTATACTGCTTTTCGGTTTTTAAAGAACTTTGATATATTACTGCATTATCACAACAACCCTATTCATTGTTATCCTCACTTTATAGACTAAGGAATTGAGGATCGACGAGGCAGTCACTTAGACGAAGGCAGAACCTTAATTTAAGCCTTGTTTTGTCTTTTTAAAAGTCCATGTTTTCTACAGTATACCATGATGCCTCTCTGGAGAATTTATTCTTTTGTTGTTGTATTATTAATTTTGAGTTTTAAATTTTTCTCAGCTTGGCTGAGCAAGGTGGCTCACGCCTGTAATCCCAGCACTTTGGGAGGCCTAAGTGGGCAGATCACTTGAGGTCAGGAGTTCGAGACCAGCCTGGCCAACACGCCAAACCCCACAGAAGCTATTTGGGAGGCTGAGGCACAAGAATCGCTTGAACCCGGGAGGCAGAGGTTGCTCAAAAAAAAAAAAAAATTTCTCAGCTCACTGCAGCCTTAACCTCCCAGGCTCAAGTGATCCTCCCACCTCAGCCTCTCAGATAACTGGGACTACAGGTGCACACCATCATGCTTGGCTAATTTTTGTGGGTTTTTTTTTTTTTGAAATGAAGTCTCACTCTTGTCACCCAGGCTGGAGTGCAATGGCGCGATCTCAACTCACTGCAACCTCTGCCTCCCAGGTTCAAGCAATTCTCCTGCCTCAGTCTCCCGAGCAGCTGGGATTACAGGCGCCTGCCACCACACCCAGCTAATTTTTGTATTTTTAGTAGAGACAGGGTTTCACCACGTTGGCCAGACCCGTCTCAAACTCCTGACCTCAGGTGATCCATTCACCTCAGCTTCCCAAAGTGCTGGGATTACAGGTGTGAGCCACCATACCCGGCCAATTTTTGTTATTTTTTTAGAGACCAGATTTTGCCATGTTGCCCAGGCTGGTCTTGAACTCTTGGGCTCAAGTGATCTGACTGCCTTGGCCTCCCCAAGTGCTGGAATTAACAGACATGAGCCACCATGCCCAGCCCTTGTCTCAGTGTTTAAGTCACAGCCAGATTTATTTTTCACTTGAAAATTATCCTCTTCTAATGTGGTCATATCTCCTATATTCTTTTTTTTCCCTCAATTCACCAGATACAGGGGCCAGGGTTTAGCCCAGGATAATGAATTTTTTAACAATTAGAGTTACCAGAGGAAAAAAAGACATTTTCCAGAAAATACTTAAGCAGCAGGTGGATATATTCTTGTTTTCATATTTTTTTCATCTTAAGCACAGTCCTCTTAAACATTGTCCTCTGTAGTCAAGAGATGGCTACTCATAGGGGTCTGATTAGCAACTTCAGTGATGATCAAACATAGGAGGTTGTTACTCAAGTCTGATAAGCACAAGATTGTGTCCATATAGTTTTGTCCAATAAAGTAACACAAAATTTATCCCACAACGAAGTTGTTTTCAGATGAGCAATTCAGATAATCTCGTTAATAGGGAAAAAAAGGTGAAAAAGTCTTGGATACTAGCATGGATAAACAAACATGTCCTGGCTTTGTTCAGAATACACAAGGCTACCTTGTGACCAGCTTATTTCAGTTTCATTTTGAAACCTTTTCCTTAAATGTCTATGAAAAATATCAGGTGAAAGTATATTGTGGGTAGCTTATAGAACCAACTCGAGGGTTCCTGTTACAGAGTGTTATTATGCATTTAGAGTTTGTTTCAAAGGCCCCTTAAGTATTTATGGATTGAGATAAGAATCTAACAGACTATTTCCTTTTCTGTGATTCTCTGTTAAAAAATGTGGTCCCATCTGTGGTCTCAGCTATTCAGGAGGCTGAGGCAGGAGGATCACTTGAGCTCAGGAATTCGAGGCTACAGTGAGCTATGATTGTGCCTCTTCATTCCAGCCTGGGCAACAGAGCAAGACCCCATCTCTAGAAACTGTGTGTTTGTGTGTGTCTGTGTGCATGTGTGTGTATATGTATATCTGTGTGTGTATGTGTATATATATATATACATATCTCTGTGTGTGTGTGTGAGAGAGAGAGAGAGAGAGCAAATTGTAGGATAGTCATAATTATGCCATGTGTGGCACTGCTACCTAGGTGACTACTCTGTGTGAAAAGTATGGTTTTCACCAGGTCACTGCTAAAGATTAAGAAAAAGGGACTAAATCTGAGATTCAGCATTTTCATGAAATAGGAAGTGAGAAATGTAACTGTAAGCCTTAATTGCTTTTGAGCCATCTTCTGCCTAAGGAGCAAAGACAAAGGAACCAGAAAAGCTGCGTTCTGGTCATAGTGCTGCCACTCACTGGCCATTCATTCAGACATTTGTTAACAGAATCTGTACGTGGCATATCATCTGCTAAACCAAAGAGAAAGAAAATGATAAAGCAGGCCAGGCATGGTGGCTCACGCCTGTAATCCCAACATTTTGGGAGGCCAAGGTGGGCGGATCACATGAGGTCAGGAGTTCGAGACCAGCCTGACCAGTATGATGAAACCCCGTCACCACTAAAAATACCAAAATGAGCCGGGCGTGGTAGCGTGTGCCTGTAATCCCAGCTACTCGGGAGGCTGAGACAGGAGAATCGCTTAAACCCAGGAGGCGGAGGTTGCAGTGAGGTGAGATCGTGCCATTGCACTCCAGCCTGGGCAACAAGAGCGAAACTCCCGCTCAAAAAAAAGAAAATGATAAACCAGTTTCCATGACCAAATAACTTGTATTATATAAGGGAGAGAGAAAGAGACCATAACAATCAGAATGCAATGTGTTACATGCCGAGTAGTATCAAGTACTGTGGAAACTCAGAGAAAGGGTGACTCCTACTAGGGGTGTTGTGGGAGACTTCAAGAATTATCACTTGAGGTCGGGCGCGGTGGCTCACGCCCGTAATCCCAGAACTTTGGGAGGCTGAGGCGGGTGGATCACTTGAAGTCAGGAGTTGGAGACCAGCCTGGCCCATGGTTTCAACATGGTGAAACCCTGTCTCTACTAAAAATACAAAAATTAGCTGGGCGTGGTGGTGCATGCTTGTAATCCCAGCAACTCAAGAGGCTGAGGCAGGAGAATCGCCTGAACCTGGGTGGAGGTTGCAGTGAGCCAAGATCACGCCACCGCACTCCAGCATGTACGACAGAGGGAGACTCCATCTCAACAACAACAACAACAAAAGGATTATCACTTGAATAGGATCTTAAAAGATGAGGTGTTACCCAGTTTAATCTTTATGACAGTAGGGAGTAACAGAGGAAGGAAAGTGTTTCAAGAGTGAGTTGGAGTCAGGAATGAGGAAGGATGAGGACCAAACAAATTCTTGGAATTCTTTGAAATTTTATTCATTAATGATATTTAAGAATCAGCTGAGAGTCCCATGATACCTTATAGGTCATTGTGATCTTTTTAAGAATAATAGATAGTGGCAGATACAGTGGCTCACACCTGTAATCCCAACACTTTGGGAGGCTAAGGTGTATGGATCCCTTGAGCTCAGGAGTTTGAGACCAGCCTGGGAACATGGTGAAACCCTGCCTCTACCAAAAATACAAAAATTAGCCAGGCATGGTAGTGTGTGCCTGTAGTCCCAGCTACTCGGGAGGCTGAGGTAGGAGTATCACTTGAGCCCAGGAGGCAGAGATTGCAGTGAGCCAAGATTGTGCCACTGGCTACTGCACTCCACTCTGGGCCACAGAGCAAGAACTTGTCTGGAAAAAAAAAAAAAAAAGAATAGTTAAAGAAACAAAGTATAATCTTTCAAGATTAGAAAATGAATACATGAGGAAATAAAGTCAGAAATAATAGATTACTCTTTCAAGAAATCTGGTGGCCTAAGAAAGCAGATATTAGGGGAGCAGCTTGAGTGGGTAGATAGAATTCATTAAATAATGGAAATCACTTATTTAAGCTGACTTTGTACAAGTCACTTAATATCTGTAAAACAAGGATAAAGTGGTTGGGTGCGGTGGCTCACACCGTAATCCCAGCACTTTGGGAGGCCAAGGCGGGCAGATCACAAGGTCAGGAGATTGAGACCATCCTGGCTAACTCGGTGAAACCCTGTCTGTGCTAAAAACACAAAAAATTAGCCAGGCGTGGTGGCGGGCGCCTGTAGTCCCAGCTACTCAGGAAGCTGAGGCAAGAGAAGGGCATGAACCTGGGAGGCAGAGCTTGCAGTGAGCCAAGATCGCACCACTGCACTCCAGCCTTGGCAACGGAGACTCTGTCTCAAAAAAAAAAAACAAGGATAATGCATGCTGTTTGATGGAGATGTTATGAAATTTGAACGAAATAATACATGCCAACTCAATTTAAAAACCATAGCTCTTCAAATGCACTATGCTTGCTATTACATTATTACAATCATTATTTACCTTTGCTTTAAAGTAGGATATCAGAAAAGTCAGAGCCTTAGTGATTGTTTTTTACTTTAGCTTCGATACCTGTGAGCCTTTTTTCACATTTCTGGGAATTAATTGTGGCTCTTGGAGTGACAACAGAAGAAACCCCCAGATGACACTGAAAAACCAGAATCATCTTTGACTTAGCTTTTTTTTTTTTTTTTTTTTTTTTTGAGACGGAGTCTCGCTCTGTCACCCAGGCTGGAGTGCAGTGGCGTGATCTCAGCTCCCTGCAACCTCCGCCTCCCGGATTCCAGCCATCCCGAGTAGCCTCAGCCTCCCGAGTAGCTGGGATTACAGGCATGCACTACCATGCCCAACTGATTTTTGTATTTTTAGTAGAGACAGGGTTTCAGTTGGCCAGACTGGTCTCAAACTCCCCCTGACCTCAGATGATCCACCCTTCTCAGCCTTCCAAAGTACTGGGATAATAGGCATGAGCCACCATGCCCCGCCAGCTTTCATTTTTTTAAGAGTTATAATTTGAAGGAGTTGAGTTTCTTCCCAATACTATAGCATTTTTTAAAAACTGGGTGAAATTCAGGAATCTGAATGTAGATTTTGACAGGATTCAAGGCAATATCCCTGTGCCTCCAAATAACCTGAAAGAAACAGTGGCCCTTTTGGGAACATGCCCTTGGGAAAAGGCCTTGTATTATTTCTTCCTCAGTCAGGAGGTGCTGGGAAGCAAATAAAAGTGCAAAGGGAGCCTCTAAGAATCTCTTTGGATATGTCTCTTCTAGCTTGTTTCTGACCAGTTCCAGGCACATAACTGTACATGTCAGTAGGATAATGGGCTGACTAGAAAAAAGAAAGGTTTGCGTTATTGTTTGACTTTGCTAGGGAGAAGACTGTGTTATGTTTCAAATACTGATCTTTTTCTCATTACTAAATTACTTGCCTCCACTGTTTCCCAGGCCAGTTTGAATTTTGATTGTATACTTTCCAAGCATAGTAACTTTGCCAGCACAAGAGTATTATTTCACGGGGATATCACCACTGATTACAATGCTGCATATTATGTTTCAAGGATACTGAAACCTGGGTTCTCAGAGATCCATTTATATTTTCTCATCTTATCCCCCATAAATGGGAAAATCACTGGGAAATTATTGGGTGGAGAAATGCATTTAAATGACCGTGAATTAGAATTGGTCCTTAAGAAGGAACTAAAGGCAGAATGCTCTGTATAACCAACACTAAGGCAGAAGCATAAGAGGGCTCTGACATAAGTGGTATTTAAGAATTAATGAAGAAAGTGGGAGTAAGAGAAGGAAATGAGTTCAGAAAGGAAACAAGGAGGAGAGAGTTTGAGAGGGGAGAGATCATAAAGGCAAAGTGTGAAAAGATAGAGAACAGGAAGAAAAAAGCCACAACCAAAAACTATGAAAACAGAGTAAAGACAGACAGCCCTGTAATGAAAATGCTCAGGATACCACCAAATAGAAACTCCCTTTGTTTACTGCTAGTCATTGCAGCTGCTTCCACCCCAAAGTAATGAGAAGGGAGAGGTTTTTCTTTATGCCTGTGACCTTGGTTTTGAAGCTTTGCCTCATAGTGCTCTGGTCTGCCATAGTAGACATTAGCATATATCATTATATGCTTAGTCAGCCATTTTGCCTGAAAAATATACTTACCTGGAAATTACTCAGAGCCACATGCCCATATATAATTTATGAGTACTCTGTCAAGTCATGAATTCAAACTTAATGCAGAATGGGCTTTTAAATTCTAATATATTGTTACTTGCAATTCAGCTGACTGACTTAGGTGTTGTCCTTAGGGAGAGTGGAGGTTTTTTGGTTCGTTGGTGGGTTGGTTTTTGCTTTTTTTTTCTTTCTGAGTTCCAGGTTTAAGTTGCCCCCCTCCCACTTTTTTATTTTTTATTTTTTTTGAGATAGGATCTTGCTTTGCCACCCAGGCTGAAGTGCAGTGGTAAGATCCTGGCTCATTGCAGCCTTGAAATCCTGGGCTCAAGCAGTCCTCCTGCCTCAGCTTTCTGAGTAGCTGGGACTATAGGCACGCACCACTGTATGGCTAATTTGTCTTTTTTTTTTTTTTTCCCTTCCGTGGAGATGGAATCTCACTGTGTTGCCCAGGCTGGTCTTGGATTCCTGGGCTCAAGCAGTCTTCCTGCTTTGGCCTCCCAAAGTGTTGGTATTACAGGCATGTGCCACTGCACCCAGCCTGAATTGCCCTTTTTACAGTCCACTGGACCCTGAAAGCATCGCTTGTGGTTGCTCAGCCTGAAGAGAATTCTAATGAACTCTCCCTCTATTGCTTAGTGTGATTCAACACATATTTGAGTGTCAGTTACATGCTGAGCACTGAGAAGAGAAAGATAAATAATATAGTGTCAGTAGAATTTGACTTGCAAACTAATATATTCATGGTACTCTCCGATAAGTACTGTGACACAGGTATAAACAAGTGGCCAGGATAGGAGGTGATGCTGTAACAAACAACACTTTGGAGAATGGAATGTATGGCAGAGACTGGACTCAGTGTCTTCCTCCAGTAAGCCTTGATTTGCCATCTTGACTTCTTCACCTGAGGCATATAGCAATTTGTTACACATGCTGGCCTCCTGGTTGCCTGTTGATTTCCTGTTCTTTATCAAACTATCCTTTCTGTTGACAGCCTTTCTTATCTCACCCTTCTCTGTTGTCCTTTTAACCTATTAATAGCTCATTAGAAAAAAATTAATATTCCCCATAACTATTTACAAAGCCTAAACTTTCTGTGTTCCTCAGAAATGTGTATGAGGATGGAAGGAGTTTTTGTTGTTTTTGGAGACAGGGTCTCACTCTGTTGCCCAGGCTGTAGTGCAGTGGTGCAATCTTGCCCTCAGCCTCCCAAGTAGCTGGGATTAAAGGCACACACCACCACATGTAGCTAATTTGTTGTTGTTGTTGAGACACAGTCTCACTATATTGCCCAAGCTGGTATCAAACTCCTGGGTTCAAGTGATCCTCCTACCTTGGCCTCCCAAAGTGCTGGGATTACAAGCTTGAGCCACTACATCTGGCAAGATTTTTTATTGAACACTCACACAAGACTAGACTAAGACCTTGTCAAGAGCAAAAGTCTTATCTTATTCTTCCTGTTTCCTAGAACAATGCTGCTTAAACTATGGCTGGCAAAAGAATCGGGGTTTTACTTCTAATCCTTCATAGACCAATATTTTTGTAAAATACAGTGAGATTAATTATTAGAAAAATAACATAAAGCCAGGCCTGGTGGCTCAAGCTTGTAATCCCAGCACTTTGGGAGGCCAGAGTGGGAGGATCACTTGAGCCCAGGAATTCAAGACCGGCCTGAGCAACATAGACTCTGTCTCAACAGCAACAACAAAAATTAAAAATTATCCAGGCATGGTGGCACATGCCTGTAGTCCCAGCTACTCAGGAGGCTGAAGCAGGAAGATCACTTGAACCCAAAAATTTGGGGTTACAGTGAGCTGTAATCATACCACTACACCCCAGCCTGGGCAACAGAGTGAGACCCTGTCTCTAAAAAAAAAAAAAAGAAAAAAAAAGTTTTTAAAGAAAAATGACATAAAAGTTTTTTTAAATTATTATTGAAATCAACAAATAAATTATTCTGCTGTATTGTTATTAAAAATTTTAAACACATGTCACAGGCTGGTAGCAAATGGATTCACAGACCAGGACCAGTCTGTGGGCCACATTCTGAGTGGTACAGCTGTGGAATCCCCAATATTTGCACCTGATACACAGTACCTCAATACATGTTTGTGCAGTAAATACATGAATGAGACGATTGGAATGATTATAGTAGTAGGCAAGGAAAAAAGGAGAATAGAGGCTCTCTTTGGAGAATTGGAGGGAAATGATTAAGTGAGAAACTCAAGATGACTGCAATAATGCTACCCTCCATGTAAAACAAACTTTTTGTCATCATTCACTCTGAATACTGTTCCTTTGGCTCTCTAGCAAGACAGATAAATACTAATAAATACTCTCTCTGAATTTCTGCAAAATATAGTTTTGATCTTGCTGAATATGTAGAACTTGCTCTAAATGACTGCACAAAGATGTCAACCTATTTATTTAAACTTGCTCTCATGAGCAGATCTATAGTAGCTAGGATTGATTTCAAATATTAACAACTGCTCTTAGAACCAGTGCATTTTTCCATGTTGCAATATGGAGCATACCACCAAATGCTTTCTCTGGCTGCAATTTTCTTTTCTTTTCTTTTTTTTTTAGTAGAGATGGGGTCTCACTATGTTGCCCAGTCTGGTCTTGAACTCCTGGGCTCAGCTGATCCTCCCGGCTTGGCCTCCCAAAGTTCTGGGATTACAGGTGTGAGCCACTGCACCTAAGATCTCTGTCTGAGATTTTCTTGTTTCCTCTGTGTCCTCTCAAAAGATTAGCTGAATAGGGTAAGAAATATTTTTATGAAAAACTTTGAAACAAACAAGCCTTCTACGTCCATTAAGATAATTTTGCGTTGCTTACAGCACTACAAGTCTTCAGTTCTTAAAACCAAATTGTTAGGCCAGGCACGGTGGCTCACACCTGTAATCCCAGCACTTTGAGAGGGCGAGGCAGGAGGATCACTTGAGGTCAGGAGTTTGAGACCAGCCTGGCCAACAGGGTGAAACCTTGTCCTTACTAAAAATACAAACATTAGCTGGGCATGGTGGTGCCCACCTGTAATCCCAGCTACTCGGGAGGCTGAGGCAGGAGAATCACTTGAACCCAGGAGGCAGAGGTTGCAGTGAGCTGAGATCGCACTACTGCACTCCAGCCTGGTCGACAGAGCAAGACTGTGTCTAAAAAAAAAAAAAAAAAAAAAAAAGCGTTAGTCCTTGAATCCACTTCAGATTTAAAAAAAAAAATAGTTTCATTCAAGGGATAGAAAAGAGGAGGTCTACTTTTTAATAGCCACACACATAGCTATACTCAATGGAGATCATTATTTTGAAATATTTAAGCTCACAATATTTAAGTGCAACTTACAACAGGGAAGTTTTGTTATCATAAATGGAATTTTGTTTTCAATGTGGATCAGTACAAATTCAATAACTCAATACATCATCTTCCTTCTCTACTAAGCATATCCCCAAGAGAACATTGTTAGGAAGGGCAAAAGGGCCATTTCCATGGTATATTTGAGGAAGTCTGCTTGCCTTTCTCACCCTGTCATCAGTTCCCTCAGCTCTTCTAGCCCTGGAGGAATGTCGTCACAAAGATACCCAGGACCCTGCAGTTCCCTGGAGCCTTTCTGTTCCCAAGGGTATGTAGTGTGAACAGACCTCTGTCTGAATGTTAGCTCTGTTATTTACCAGCTGTGAGTTCCTGAGAAAGATATTTGACTGCTGGGAGCACCAGTATTTTATGTGGGTATGAGTATTAAATAAGACTGAAAAATAAAAAAGAGGGACTGTTAGCACAGCACGTGACATATATGTTGAAAGTAGGTACTCAAATATTAGCTCTTTTACCCTGACTCTTGTTTCTTTGAGGACTACCTTTAAACTATGAATATAGCTAGATGCCAGATAAGGCTAGAAATATTGTTCACCTTTTCCCTGGCCTCATGCTGTCTGCAGTTAAGTTAAACAAGACTGTTAGAAAGCTAGCCCTGAGAAATGCAAAAATAGTTAAGACTTTATCTGTCTGCATTGATAATGAACCACAGGTTAAGAATTATTGATTCATAGGCCAGGCCTGGTGGCTCACGCCTGTAATCCCAGCACTTTGGGAGGCCAAGGCAGGCGGATCACGAGGTCAGGAGATTGAGACCATCCTGGCTAACATGGTGAAACCCCATCTCTACTAAAAATACAAAAAAATTAGCCGGGCGTGGTGGCAGGCACCTTGTAGTCCCAGCTACTCGGGAGGCTGAGGCAGGAGAATGGCGTGAACCTGGGAAGCGGAGCTTGCAGTGAGCCGAGATTGCGCCACTGCAGTCCAACCTGGGCGACAGAGTGAGACTACATCTCAAAAAAAAAAAAAGAATTATTGATTTATAGCCATTGTTGGGCCAATACAATCAATGGGATTTCCGTTTAGCCTTTGGAGATTTTATAGAAATGGTCTCAGAAGAGAGACCACAACCTTAGTCTTAGACTCATTTCTGTTGTCTCCATTCTAATGTATTCATGGACCAAGTTATCAGGCAACACGCTAGTACTTGAATATGGAAGAGATCATCCACTCAACTGGTATTAGATCTGTTACCTGGACATTGTTAGGGCTTTATCACCTTTATATAGACTGATGTGGTTCAGTAATTTCTGGAGAGCTTGGCTGAGCTAGAAAATAGTGTCACTAGCCTTGCAGCGTGTCCTTTTTATAAATCTGCCTTTTACCCATTAAGGTTATATAAAACTTAAAAATCAAGGGCTCCAAAAGTATATGGGTTTTGACCTGTGGAATACACTAGCAGCATAATCTGATCTGGCATCTTGTATCCTGTAGCATTTGGAAATGTCTTTCTAATCTCATGTGCTAGAGGAACTACTTGTCTTGTACCATGAGTTTAGGGATCATGAGTTATTCATCTTATATCCCTCAGTCTCTCCCTGGTACAAACTGGGTATGCAGGATAGCTGGGGGTGTCATATAAAGTTAAAAATCACAGATGTTAGAATCAGGCAGTCAAAAACCAACTTGACCACTTAACTGGCTTTGTGACCTTTTAGCAATGAAATGAAGCAAAAACTTACCATCCTCAAACCTGTACAGATTCCTCATCCATGTAAGAGCTATAATAATAATGCCTATTTCATAGGGTTATGTGGATTAATTTATACATGAATAATATCTAAATTATTAGCATACTATCTAGTACTCAGTACATCTTAGCCATCATCATTATATAGTAAATAGATACTGAATGTGAAGACTGTATACATTTCTGCCAAAGTTTCATATACCTAAGCGATGTGTAACACAAATCATGTGACAACAGAATTCTTTCCATATCTTGGTAAAGTCTTCCCCTTACTTTCTTCTATTGATTTAAACAGAAATTTACTTGGATGTGACCCATTTGATAAGGACCAGCTGATAAAGTATACCAGCTGATTCAAATAATTGCTCCAGCTAATTTACATGAAGGTTTTCCTATTTTATTGTTTTTAGAAATTATTTTGGAGGTATAAAAGTCTGGTAGTGACTTATGAATATCTTTACATTAAATGTTTACCTTATTGTTCTAAAAAATACTAAACATTTCTCATTTCTATGGGAAAGCCCTCAGGAGAAAAACACTTTTTTCCCTGTTTTGGGGGCTATGTCTCTAGCCTGCCTGGAAGTTTAGAAATTCCCAGAAGGATATTGCCAAGAAGCCGCAAAGGGATGCCATGTTTGAGTTTCTTGCCATTCTTACTGCTTATAAAGAGAAGCATTTGGGCAGTAGTTCACTGTTTGTTGTTAGTTCCTAAAGCACTGCCACGGGAGACTTATACTCCTGGGGTCTCTTCATGTCCCCAAGAGGGAGTTGATGGAAGATGGTTATTAATCTATACCAACTTCAGTTTATTAGCTTTTCTGCTTCCCAAACATGTTTTTGGCAGAGAAATAGATTCCACAGATCCCTTTATAGTGCTTCTCTATCCCTTTCCAGCACTGTAGCCAAGGGTTTATTTTTTCCATAACAATTTTTTAGACATTTGATCTTTTTCTCTCACTGCCTGCTCCTCTTCTCCCCCATGCTTGCTTGCCTTCCTTTGTACACACGAATAATAAGCTCCAATGGCTGTTTTTCCCCCTGAAAAATGTGTTATTCCAAACCTTTCCAATCTCTAAAATCTTATTTCCTAGAAATACCTTTTTCCTTTTTTTCCTCTTTAAAATTGCTTTATTTATTTATTTTGAGACAGGGTCTCACTTTGTCGCCCAGGCTGGAGTGCAATGGCATGAACACAGCTCACTGCAGCCTTGACATCTGGGCTAAAGCAATCCTCCCACCTCGGTTTCCCAAGTAGCTGGGACTACAGGCATGTGCCATCACGCCTGGCTAATTTTTTTTTTTTAATAGAGATGCTGTCTCCCTATGTTACCCAGGCTGGTGTCGAACTCCTGGCCTCAAGCAGTCTTCCTGCCTCAGCCTCCCAAAGTGCTGGGACTACAAGCGTGAGCCACCATGCCTGGCCTAGAAATGTCTTTTAATTCCCAGCCTCAACCCTTTGTTCATCCACTGTGGACCACCCCTTCCTGTCTGGTGGTATAGAGTATGGGCTTTAGTGGCTATAATTTTTTTCTTTTCACTCTTTATGAGAGTTTTCTTTCCTGGTACCCTAAAGCTACTCAAAGTATGGTCCCTGGGGCAGTAGCATTGGCATCATCAGGGAGCTAGTTAGAAATGCAAAATCTCAGATCCCACCCCAATCTACTGAACCAGAATCTGTATTTTAACAAGATCTCCAGATGACTGGTATGCATATGAAAATTTAAGAAATCCCTGTTGTAAATCACCTTTTGCTCAAGGGTCAGGGATTAGGAGACACTTTGTCAAGTCATGGTTCCCCACCCTGGCTTCAGTGGAATGACTTGGGGAACTGTGAAAAATACTGATGCCTGGGTTCCACCTCCAGAGATTCTAATTGGTCTGAAAGGTCAGGTCCAGGAATCAGGAGTTTTAGAAGTTCCCCAAGTGATTCTAATAGGCAGCCAAGGCTGAGAAGCACTGTTGTACATGATTCTTATAATTTGCCCTAGCTTCTTAGAACACAAGGTATATATAAGTTGATGTGGCCAGATGCAGTGGCTTATGCCTGTAATCCCAGCACTTTGGGAGGCCAAGGTAAGGGCATCACTCGAGCCCAGGAGTTTGAGCCAGCCTGGGCAACATAGTGAGACCTTGTCTCTACAAAAAAAAACAAAAAAAAAATTAGCTGGGGGTGCCTGTAATCCTAGCTACTCAGGAGTCCAAGCCAGGAGAATCCCTTGAGCCCAACAGTTTGAAGCTGCAGTAAGCCATGTGCACCACTGCACTATCTATCTACCTATCTGTCTGTCTATCTAAGATGCCGTTTTAGACAGACAGACAGACAGGTAGGTAGGTAGATATATAGGCAAAGCTAATGACTAAAAAAAACTTTTACAATTACATTTATTGGGGAGAAGTATATGTGCATCAAAAATTAGAAATATATACATCAAAATATTAAACCCAGTAATCTGTGGGTTATAAGATTACAGTTATTTCTTTTTTGTCCTTTGTTTTCTTTTTTTTTTAAGGGGCCATGCTCATCTTCTCTGTATCATTCCAATTTTAGTATATGTGCTGCCGAAGCAAGCACTGTCCTCTATTTTCCAAACTTTCTGTAACAGCCATTCCTTTGGTAAAGGAAATATATGTGTAAATATAATTTTTAATAACTGTGATCACATTATACATGTTTTGTAAACTGCTTTTTAATTAAAAAATACTCTTCCTGTTCACATATCAATACATTATGAACATTTTCTCATTATCATTAAACATTATTAGATAGGCTTTTATATTGTTTAAAGTGAATCCTGACCCAGGATAACTGAATTTTTACCTTAATTTTATTTACATACTGATATGGGGATTTAAGAAATTGACTGTTTAGCCGAGCGCAGTGGCTCCCGCCTGTAACCCCAGTACTTTGGGAGGCTGAGGTGGGCAGATCACCTGAGGTCAGGAGACTAGCCTGGCCAACATGGTGAAACCCTGTCTCTACTAAAAATACAACAATTAGCTGGGCGTGGTCGCACGCTCCTATAATCCCACCTACTGGGGAGGCTGAGGCAGGAGAATTGCTTGAACCTGGGAGGCGGAGGTTGCAGTGAGCCGAGATCGTGCCATTGCACTCCAGCCTGGGCAACAAGAGCAAAACTCATCTAAAGAAAAAAAATAAATCGTTTAATACTTGAAACTTTTAGTGTTTGGAAATTGTCCTGGTCCACAGGAGGGGACATGTTTAAAAGGAGATGTCTGTTGGGAGGCTGAGGCAGGCAAGTTGCTTGAGCCCAGGAGTTCGAAACCAGCCTGGGCAACATGGCAAAACCCTGTCTCTACTAAATATATAAAAAATTAGCCAGGTGTGGTGGCACACACCTGTAGCCCCACATACTCAGGAGGCTGAGGTGGGAGGATCACCTGAGCCCAGGAAGTTGAGGCTGCAGTGAGCTGTGATCGTACCACTGCACTCCAGCCTGGGCAACAGGAGTGAGAACCTGTCTCAAAAAAAGAAAAGATATCTGGAAGCGAGGTTAGATTAGCCCTTCTCTAAGGCTTTTACAACAATAGTCAATTGAATACTATCTTTTTTTTTTTTTTGAGCACTTAAACCTAACACATAGAGCTTGACTTCACTTTCTCAGAAGATGCTTCACCACAGGGAATTCTTAATGATGTTTGGATTGCAACCTGTGGCTGGAGTTATATTTCTAAACTTTCTCTTTGAATCTTTGGTTTAGGGCCAGGTGTGGTGGCTCATGCCTATAATCTCAACACTTTGGGAGGCCAAGGTAGGTGGAACACTTGAGGCCAGGAGATAGAGATCAGCCTAGAACAACAGAGAGAGACCCTGTCTCTCAAAAAAAAAAAAAAAAAAAGCCAGGTTTAGTAGTTTGCACCCATAGTCCTAGCTACCCAAGAAGCTGAGGTGGGAAGAATTGCTGGCACCCAGGAGTTCAAGGCTGCAGTGAGCTTCAGTTGTGCCATTGCACTCCAGCCTAGGCGACGGAGTGAGACCCTGTCTTTAACAAATAAATAAACCATTGATTTGGTTGGAATTGTGCTTCAGGACAACCAATATCTCTTACAGTTTGAGTTTCCTCTGCATTAATATGTACATTATGATGTGGAAAGCTGGAAAATCCTTAGAGCAACATCTTGAAAACTTCAATGGTATATGATGGCCAAGCTATGTTGTAATCAAAGTCGAATATGTCTTCTTGCCCAAACCTTTGGGAATAAATACCACTCCAACAACTTCAACAAAAGAAATGGTCTGCCCCCAAAACTTCTGTTCTTGCCCCAGTCTGCTTGCATTATAGGGGAAGAGAGTAATTTTGCTAATGGTCTCTTTACAATGAAAAGAAAAGAGAAATGTTCTGTAATTAGGGAACTTTTATAAAGATGCACAGTGGATTATTCTGCAAGAGAAAAGCTCTGTCATCACATTTTTACCTCTTTTAACCATTTCTCTACCAGAATCTGTACATAAAAGTTTCAGAAGTGCACAGTTTTTATTTTCAGAGAAATAGGCTTTATATATATAATTTTTTTTTTTTGAGATGGAGTTTTGCTCTTGTCACCCAGGCTGGAGTGCAATGGCACGATCTCAGCTCACTGCAACCTCTGCCTCCGAAGTTCAAGTGGTTCTCCTGCCTCAGCCTCCTAAGTAGCTGGGATTACGGGCATGCGCCACCACACCCAGCTAATTTTGTATTTTTAGTAGAGACGGGGTTTCTCCATGTTGGTCAGGCTGGTCTGGAACTCCTGACCTCAGTTGATCCGCCCGCCTCAGCCTCCCAAAGTGCTGGGATTACAGGCATGAGCCACCGTGCCCAGCCAACTTTTTTTTTAGAGATCTTGTGTGGTAGGAAAATAAATATTGGGCATCATGCCTGGCTAACTTTTGTATTTTCATAGAGACAGGGTTTCACCATGTTGACCAGGCTGATCTTGAACTCCTGACCTCAAGTGATCCCGCCCACCTCTGCCTCCCAAAGTGCTGGGATTACAGGCTCGGCGTGAATCACTTTCATAAGCAATCAGCTTCCCCAGAATTGGGAGCCTATGACTGAAATCAGAATTGTCATCGGTTTGAGCACTTTGGTGCTTATAGAAGTGCTTAAGACTTAGTTTTTCTGGGTCTTTTTACAAGTAAGTTGTTCTTTATTTCATTATGAAAAAAAGCACTGTAATTTTAAAAATTTATAGTAGAGATATCTGTCATTTCGGGCTGCTGTAACAAAGTGCCAAAGACTGGGTGGTTTATATACAACAGAAACATTTCTCATAGCTCTGGAGGTTGGAAGTCTGAGATCAGCGTACCAGCATGTTCAGGTTTTGGTGAGAGCCTTCTTCCAGGTTGCAGACTACTGTTTTCTCGTATCCTTATGTGGTTCAAAGAGAGGAGAAAGCTCTCTAGGGTCCCTTTTGTAGGTCACTGATCCCATTCATGAAGATTCCACCCTCATGGCCTCATCACCTCCCAAAGCCCACCTCCTAATACCATCACATTGGGGGTTAGGATTTCAATGTATGAATTTGGAGGGGACATAAACATTTAGTTCATTGTAAGAAATAAGGGTAAAATTTAGTCTTTGGAAGAGAGGATAAGAAAGGTGATAGCAGAGCAAGAAGAAGATTATCCTTTTATCGTTGCTCTGTAACCTTGGCCAGGGCACTTAACCAGTCTACTTTATTACCTTTCTCTTAGTCTCATCACACAATGAGAAACTGCCATTCTTTGGAATAAGTTTTGCTGCATGGCATTAATGGCATTCTCATACAAAAAAAAAAAAGACAAAAGAAGGCTGGGCGTGGTGGCTCACACCTGTAATGCCAGCACTTTGGGAGGCTGAGGCAGGTGGATCATTTGAGGTCAGGAGTTCAAGACCAGCCTGGCCAACATTGTGAAACCCTGTCTCTACTAAAAATACCAAAAAAAAAAAAAAAAAAATTAGCCAGGCATGGTGGTGGGCGCCTGTAACCCCAGCTACTCAGGAGGCTGAGGCAGGATAATCACTTGAACTTGGGAGGTGGAGGTTGCAGTGAGCTGAGATCGCACCACTGCACTCCAGCCTGGGCAACAGAGGGAGACTCCGTCTCAAAAAAAAAAAAAAAAAGACAAAAGCCATTTTCTTCTCACAGCAATGGAAGTGAAGACTATTGAGATGATTTGTTTTAGAGAGATTCTCTTGGGGTGATATGGCTGGCTTTACTCTGCAGTTGGTACATGGTATGGTACATCTGGGGCACTTGTAGCCAGCCTCTGATAACAATAATTGCTGTCTTTGTTACTCCCATTTTCCTCTGTCATGGTTACCTCCACAGGGATCCTCTAAGTTAGGGAGAGGTTTATTCCTCCCTCCTTTATCATCTTTGTCTGATGTGGTCCTATGGTCATCATAACACTTAATTGGGTCCCTGAAAGGCCACTCAACTCTTTTGATGTTGCTGATGTTTGAAGTCTTATGAGAAGCTTCAGACAAGAGTGTGCAAGCTCACCAGAGTGCATAGAGGGGCATATGTGCATAGTATATTCACTGTGCCTGGATGAGAATGGGTGTAGGAAGGAGTGTAAAACAGAAAGGGAAGCCAGAGAGATCTTTGAGCCACAATGTAAACTTTCAATACTAAGCTAAGAAGTTAGCACTTTTCTCTGAACAGTGAAAACCTATTGAAGGTTTTTGAAGAGGAGGTAATGATATGATCCAGTTTGTATTTTAGGACTGGCACTCTGGTCACAATGTATTAGATTGTAAAAGCCAGACTAGAGGGGTTTTTTACATTTTTTATTTGTTATTTAATTTATTTCCATGCAAAAGCTCATCTATGTGAAAGCTAGTGGCTTTTTATATTTTTATCTTTTATTATTTATTTATTTTTATTTGTTTGTTTATTTATTTTTATTTATTTATTTTATTTTTTTTGAGACAGGGTCTTGCTCTGTCGCCCAGGCTGGACTGCAGTGGCACGATCTCGGCTCACTGCAAGCTCCGCCTCCCAGGTTCACGCCATTCTCCCGCCTCACCCTCCGGAGTAGCTGGGACTACAGGCGCGTGCCGCCACGCCCAGCTATGTTTTTTGTTTTTTGTTTTTTGGGGTTTTTTTTGTATTTTTTAGTACAGACGGGGTTTCACTGTGTTAGCCAGGATGGTCTTGATCTCCTGACCTCGTGATCCGCCCACTTCGACCTCCCAAAGTGCCGGGATTACAGGCGTGAGCCACCGCTCCCGGCCGAAACAGCATTTTTAACAAGGTCATGGAACCACCCTTTGAGAAACAATGGACCAGAGACTGGAGGAGAAAAATGAGTTGGGAGGCTGTTGGACCAGTAATATAAAAGAGAAGGCCGGGTGCGGTGGCTCACTCCTGTAATCCCAGCACTTTGGGAGGCCGAGGCGGGCGGATCACGAGGTCAGAAGATTGAGACCATCCTGGCTAACACGGTGAAACCCCGTCTCTACTAAAAATACAAAAAATTAGCCGGGCGTGGTGGCGGGCGCCTGTAGTCCCAGCTACTCGAGATGCTGAGGCAGGAGAACGGGTGAACTGGGAGGCGAAGCTTGCAGTGAGCTGAGATTGCGCCACTGCACTCCAGCCTGGGCGACAGAGTGAGACTCCGTCTCAAAAAAAAAAAAAAAAAAAACTCAAATCTCTCAAATATAATTTCTGCTCTGTATATATCTATCTAATATTTAATATATATATAATACAAGTATAAAAGTAGAATTAGGCCTTATCTCTAAAACAAAAGAGGATGAGCAAAGAGATGAAGATTAATATATGAGCAGCACAAAAGATTGCAGCAGGTTTTCCAGGAATTACAAGGTTTTGAGTGAATAAAACTCAAGTCAAACATTAATTAATACAAATAAGCTTTCAGTTGTGTTTTCCTTTTTGAAGATTTTAGAGAAAGAATAAGATAATAATATATGCTTTTATTAGAGAATTTGAAGTTGTTCATAAAAAGTCACTTCCATAATGTGCCTCCTTCAATCCTGAAGAATTATGGCATAATAATGTCCTACACTTGCTTATATCGTGTTTTATAATCTCTAAACCATTTTTGTAGGCATTTCATATAATCCTGGAACAACTGTAAGGCCTTCATATTATCTGTTGTTTACAAATTAAATCTCAGGCAGGTTAAATGACTGATCTAAGATCACAGCTGCTACGTGATAGAACTTGGACTCCACAGCAGGTGTTCTGCTCTAAACCAACTGTATTTTCCCCTCTCTCAGCTTTTCCTTCTGACTATAAACTAACATACCCTGTGGTTTCTGTCTTACCCCATAACTCAAATGAATTCCTGAGACATGTAAGCATCTCAAATAAATATTTCTAAGCAGATTTCTTAGTGTTAAAATACTTTCATCTTGGTGATAAAAATTTAGGTATCAGAGCACAGTCATTTGATTAAAAAAAGCTGGACTGATATAAATGATTGAATAAAACAAATGGGGAGAAGAGATAAATCTCCAGTGTATAATTCCAAGTAATTCATATAGTTATTTATCCCTCAAGGAAGTAGAGCATAATTCACCACCCCTTAAGTTGTGCCAGATTTAGTAACTCCCTTCCAAAGGGGACAGTGTAGAAAGGAGAGGAAAAGAGTAACTTCACAATGGAAGAAACTGACAGAGTACCCTCAACCAGGTGATGAAGGTTAACATCAGCATCGATCGGTCATGTTGATAGCATGTATCCTTGATATTGATGTGATAAAAATGATACTATCTCTGTGGTCTTCCTCCCAAAAAACCCATAACTCCAGTCTAATAATAAGAAAAACATTAAATACCAGTTTATGGATATCCTACAAAATACCTGACCAGTTCTCCTCAAAACTGTCAAGGTCATCAAAAACAAGGAAAGTCTGAGAATCTCTCACATCCAAGAGGAGCAATAACATCAATATTGGTTCCTTAGTTGTGACAAATGTAAGATGTTAATAATAGAGTAAACTGGGTGTGCAATAAATGAGAACTCTACTATTTTGCAACTTTTCTATAAATCTGAAACTGTTCTTGGCTGGGCATAGTGCTCACGCCTGTAATCTCAGTACTTTGGGAAGCCAAGGTGGGAGGATCACTTGAGACCAGCCTGGACAACATAGTAAGGCCCCATCTCTATAAAAAATGTTTTTAAAAAATTAGCCACACGAGGTGGTAAGTGCCTATAGTCCAGCTACTCAGGAGGCTGAAGTGGGAGGATCAATTGAGCCTGGAAGCTCAAGGCTGCAATGAGCAGTGATTGCAACACTGCAGTCCAGCCTGGGCAATGAAGCAAGACCCTGTCTCAAAAAAAAGAAAAAAACTATTCTAAAATAAATGTTTATTTTTAAAAAAAAAAGACTAGAATAGAATAACACCTGATAAAACAATTTATTTCTTGGTGAATTGATATGAATTGAAATGTTTTAGATTTTCCATCCCTAGATTGGTAATGAGGATTTGGGATAATATCATTAGAGGATTATCTCAGTATCATTAAGAAGTGTCAACTTGCATATGAGCTATTTTGAAGGAGATGAGTGAATAAGTTATTTGGTTCTAACTAGAAGGAACCCATAAAATTATGAGAATAATGTCCATATACAAGGTAACCCTGAATATAATGCATTCTGTCATCTTTGCAGTGAAAAAATATTTTTAAAAAGTGATGTGAGGCCAGGCATGGTGGCTCACTCCTGTAATTCCAGCACTTTGGAAGACCAAGGTGGGCAGATCACTTGAGCTCAGGAGTTCGAGACCAGCCTGGCCAACACAGTGAAACCCAGTCTATACTAAAAAAAAAAAAAAAAAAAAAAAAAAATTAGATGAGCATGGTGGCACACACCTGTAATCCCTGCTACTTGGGAGGCTGAGGCAGTAGAATCTCTCGAACCCGGGAGGAGGTTGCAGTGAGCTGAGATCGCACTCCAGCCTGGGCAACAAAGCGAGTGAGTGAAACAGAGTGAGTGAGACTCTGTCTAAAAAAAAAAAAAAAAAAAAGTGATATGGATGAAATAGACATATATTTTCACATATATAACTAAGACCATAAATTTTATCAAATAATATATGAATTTAAAGATATTGTCCCCCTCTATACCACCTGTCATTTTAAATGAAACATATTGCCCAAATTTTTTAGATGCAACTTTGACATTAATACCGGTACATAGTAGGTTGTATTAGTTTGTTTTAACACTGCTGATAAAGACACACCTGAAACGGGGGAAAAAGGTTTAATTGGACTTACAGTTCCACATGGCTGGGGTGACCTCACAATCATGGCGGGAGGCGAAAGGCTCTTACATGACAGCAGCAAGAGAAAATGAGGAAGAAGCAAAAGCAGAAACCCCTGATAATCCCATCAAATCTCGTGAGACTTATCACAAGAATAGCACGAGAATGACCAGCCCCCATGATTCAATTACCTCCCCCCTAAATCCCTCCCACAACACTTGGGAATTCTGGGAGATACAATTCAAGTTGAGATTTTGGTGGGGACATAGCCAAACCATATCATTCTGCCCTGGCCTCTCCAAATCTCGTGTCCTCACACTTCAAAACCAGTCATGCCTTTCCAACAATCCCCCAAAGTCTTAACTCATTTCAACATTAACCCAAAACTCCACAGTCCAAAGTCTCATCTGAGGCCTGGCACGGTAGCTCACGCCTGTAATCCCAGCACTTTGAGAGGCCAAGGCAGCTGGATCACCTGAGGTCAGGAGTTCAAGACCAGCCTGCCCAATATGGCAAAACCCCATCTTTACTAAAAAATACAAAAAACTAGTCGGGCATGGTGGCAAGTGCCTGTAATCTCAGCTACTTGAGAGGCTGAGGCAGAAGAATCACTTGAACCCGGGAGGCAGAGATTGCAGTGAGCTGAGATCACACCACTGCACTCCAGCCTGAACAGAGTGAGACTCCATCTCAAAAAAAATAAAACAGAGTGAGACTCCATCTCAAAAAAAAAAAAAAAAAAGTCTCATCTGAGACTTTGCCTTGCCTTGGCAAGTCCCATCCGCCTATGAGCCTGTAAAATCAAAAGCAAACTAGTTATTTCCTAGATACGGTGGGGGTACACGTATTGAGTAAATACAGCCATTCCAAATGGGAGAAATTGGCCAAAACAAAGGGGTTACAGGGCCCATGCAAGTCCAAAATCCAGCGGAGCAGTCAAATTTTAAGGCTCCAAAATGAGCTCCTTTGACTCCAGGTCTCACAAACAGGTCACGGTGATGCAAGAGGCGGGTTCTCATGGTCTTGGGCAGCTCCGCCTCTGTGGCTTTGCAGGGTACAGCCTCCCTCCTGCCTGCTTTCACCAGCTGGCGTTAAGTGTCTGCGGCTTTTCCAGGTGCACGGTGCAAGTTGGTGGATCTACCATTCTAGGGTCTGGAGGAGAGTGGACCTCTTCTCGCAGCTCCACTAGGCAGTGCCCCAGTAGGGACTCTGTGTGGGGGCTCCAACCCCACATTTCCCTTACTTACTGCCCTAGCTGAGGCGCTTTATGAGGGCCCTGCCTCTGTAGCAAACTTTTGTCTGGGCATCCAGGCATTTCCATACATCTAAACTCCAGGCGGAGGTTCCCAAACCTCAATTCTTGACTTCTGTGCACCCGCATGCTCAACACCACATGGAAGCTGCTAAGGCTTGGGTCCTCCACCCTCTGAAGCCACAGCCCGAGCTGTACATTGGCCCCTTTTAGCCACGGCTGGAGCAGCTGGGACATGGCACCAAGTGGCTGCACACAGCATGGGGAACCTGGGCCCAGCCCGTGAAACCACTTTTTCCTCCTGGGCCTCTGGGTCCTTGATGGGAGGGGCTGCAGGGAAGTTCTCTGATGTGGCCTTGTGACACATTCTCCATGGTCTTGGGGATTAACATTAGGCTCCTTGCTACTTATGCAAATTTCTGCAGCTGGCTTGAATTTCTCCCCAGAAAATTGGTTTTTCTTTTCTATCACATAGGCTGCAAATTTTCCAAACTTTTATGCTCTGCTTTCCTTATAAAACTGAATGCCTTTAACAGCACCCAAGTTATCTCTTAAATGCTTTGCTGCTTGGAAATTTCTTCCACCAGATACCCTAAATCTCTCTCAAGTTCAAAGTTCCAGAAAACTCTAGGGCACGGGCAAAATGCCACCAGTATCTTTGCTAAAACATAACAAGAGTCACCTTTGCTCCAGTGCCGAACAAGTTCCTCATCTCCATCTGAATTTTATTGTCCATATTGCTATCAGCATTTTGGGCAAAGCCATTCAACAAGTCTCTAGGAAGTTCCAAACTTTCCCACATTTTCCTGTCTTCTTCTGAGCCCTTCAAACTGTTCCAACCTCTGCCTGTTACCCAGTTTCAAAGTTGCTTCCACATTTTCAGGTATCTTTTCAGCAACGCCCCCAATCTACTGGTACCAATTTACTGTATTAGTTTGTTTTCATGCTGCTAATAAAGACATACCCGAAACTGGGAACAACAAAAAAAAAGCTTTAATTGGACTTACAGTTCCACATGGTTGGAGAGGCCTCAGAATCATGGCGGGAGGTGAAAGCCTCTTCTTACATGGCGGCGGCAAGAGAAAATGAGGAAGAAGCAATAGTGCATTCAGAACCCATTGTGGACTCAGTGTTCCCAAGAACCTCTCAAGGGAGGTGCCACTGACACCAGGACCTGAGGCTGTGAAGAATAAGGTTAAGAGTACTCAGGCTGCTTGGTGCAGGTGAGAAGAGGTATTAGTGTATTGGAGAAAGAGTTAAGAGGCTTTTGTGCCTAGGGCATAGTGATTGAGGGGCCTTGTAGACCATGGAAAGAACTCGATTTTTTTAAGTGCAGAGGAAAGCCAGGGATTGACATCTAACTTACAGTTTTAAAAGACCCTTTCCTTCTATGAAGAGAATGGAGAAGGAGGCAAGAATAGAAGCGGGGAAAACCAGTCAGAATGCTAGATGGGAGACAATAAAGAATTAATTGTCATTGATAATAATAATAGCTAACACATGGCTTACTAATGCCAAGGACTGTTGTAGCACATTTTATGAACCAGCTCATTTAAATGTGCTCTTCAGTTAGCACACTCTTTCATTCTTTAAAGTATCATAGGTCGGGTGTGGTGGCTCACGCCTGTAATCCCAGCACTCTGGGAGGACGAGGCAGGCGGATCACCTGAGGTCAGGAGTTCAAGACCAGCCTGGCCAACATGGTGAAACCCCGTCTCTACTAAAAATACAAAAATTAGCCAGGTGTGGTGGCGCATGCCTGTAATCCCAGCTACTCAGGAGGCTAAGACAGGAGAATCGCTTGAACCCGGGAGGCGGAGGTTGCAGTGAGCCGAGATCGCACCACTGCACTCCAGCCTGGGCAACAAAGAGCGAAACTCCATCTCAAAAGAAAAAAAGTATCATCGTTTGGATGATAAATTACACGAAACTATGAACCAGCCAATTAACATTTTCAGAGGAGCTTAACACTTGGAATACTTAGTCTTCCTCCTGTTCTCATCAATTTCAAACTGTCTTGTGAAACTCACTAACCCAGACAGCTATACAGTATTAAAGTAGGAAGAAAACTGTATGGGATCTATCTCCAAATTTTCGGAGACTCTTCCTTTTTGTTGCCTTCTGTCCTGGCTCTGTCTCTTGGTTCTGAGTTGTATGTGGGCCTTTCTGTGTTTTTTCTCAGTCTTTTTTTCCCCTTCACTCCGTCCCTGTGTCTCTCCTGTGTGTGTCCCCCGTGTTTCTTTTCTCTTTCTGCTTTTTGTCTTCCCCATTCCTTCTCACTCTCTGTTCTCTTACCCTGATTTCTCTTTCTTCCTCCTTCAACTGGCCGGTGAGGTACGGGCATGTAGTGTGGATCTGTTTATTATATAAAAAATGATGTTGACTATTTCCATTTAAAACGAATCAAGTCTCTCAGAACCAGTGTACTCATTCCAAAATACTCATAGATGATTGTTACAAACTACTTTAACAGGAGTGTCCAATCTTTTGGCTTCCCTGGGCCACATTGGAAGAAGAATTATCTTGGAGCACATGTAAAATACACCAACGGGCCAGGCACTGTGGCTCATGCCTGTAATCCCAGCACTTTGGGAGACCGAGGCAGGTGGATTGCTTGAGGTCAGGGGTTTGAGACCAGCCTGGGCAACATAGTGAAACCCCGTCTGTACTAAAAATACAAAAAATTAGCCGGACATGGGGGCGGGCACATGTAATCCCAGCTACTCAGGATGCTGAGGCAGGAGAATCACTTGAACCTGGGACGTGGAGGTTGCAGTGAGCCGAGATTGCACCACTGCACTCCAGCCTGGACAACAGATTGGGACTCCGTCTCAAAAATAAAATAAAGTAAAATAAAAATTAAAAAATAAAATACACTGACGATAGCTGATGAACTAAAAAATAAATAAAAAAGTTTTAAGAAAGTTTACAAATTTGTGTTGGGCCACATGCAGCCCAGAGGCCATGGGTTGGACAAGCTTGGTTCAAATCATTTTATTATCCTGTTTTCTACTTTCACATCTCTCAAGGAAATTTACCTAGTACCCCGTTCATCTAACTGATCTCTTCTGATCCCCAATCCTTCCCTTCCCATTCTACCACCCACCTCCTTCACTGCCTTCTATACCTCAAGTCTGCCCCCAGCTCCAGCACCAGACTGCACCTAAATCACACCAGGTCACAACTATTCTGTAAGACACAAGAGGATTTGCGTAACCTGTGTTGAGCCAAGTGTCACCCATTCTTCCATAATATTTATGGAATATTTACTTCCTTTTTTACCTTTCCTAACGCTTAATACTTTGCAAACTATTGGTTTTGTTCTGAAGCTTACTTTTAAGATATTCTTATTTTACATACGAAAGTGCTTCCTTATGTTTGCCTGGTTCCAAATTAGAGGGTACCAGAGCCCGATCTCCTCTAAGCAGGAGGCTTCCCATAGGAAAGGAATGTTCCTTTGTGCTCATCCTTCGTATAAATCACCAGGGAGCTTTTAAATGAACAAAGACCTGGCTGACCCAGAGGGTAGAACTTATAAATAGTACTCCAGCCCCTCCTTTAAAGCCTGTCCACCTAATCCTCCTCTCAAGATTGGAAGTGACTTGACCTTTGAGTCTTAAAACTCAGGCTCTTTTTCTCTAAAAAATCTGGTTAGCAGTAAGCTGTTAAAACAAATATGTTTTTAGCCAGATGATGACCAATCATCAAAGCTTGTCTTTCATTTCTAGCATTTTTAGCCAAATGTTTCCTCGGTTTTTTTTGTGTGTTTTTGTTTTTGTTTTGGCTCCTCAGAAGTCAACTTGAAGTTTCCTCTTTTGAGGACCAGCTTTTCTCATTGTTATTATTTTAAGACATCTACCTTAATAACTTTTATTTCTCCTTACTAATAGACTATTATGGATTTCCATTTTATAAAGATGTTCCCAAATTGCTGCATTTCTACCATGAACTAAGGGCTTCCTTTTCACCCCTAAAATTACAGAACTTAGAGGGGCCTTCAATGGCCTCAATCCCAACGTCGTTGGATGGAGCTCTCTTTGTATTTCTCTAATGCTGTATTGAGGATAAAATCTTACAAAACTTGTTAAGGATTAAAATGTGCAAGGATTATAAAATGATGCACATGATATAGATACTGGTAGATAATTTTCCAGATTAGGGCACATGCAGGAATAACTATGTATATTGAACTGGCTAAACATATAAATATATTTTATAGAATATATTTTTATGTGATTCCCAAAAAGATAAGCAATTAGGGCCGGGCACGGTGGCTCAACGCCTGTAATCCCAGCATTTTGGGAGGCCGAGGCAGGCAGATCACCTCAGGTTGGGAGTTCGAGACCAGCCTGACCAACATGGAGAAACCCCATCGCTACTAAAAATACAAAATTAGCCGGGCATGGTGGCGCATGCCTGTAATCCCAAATACTCAGGAGGCTGAGGCAGGAGAATCACTTGAACCCGGGAGGCGGAGGTTGTGGTGAGCCGAGATCGTGCCATTCACTCCAGTCGGGGCAACAAGAGCGAAACTCTGTCTCCAAAAAAAAAAAAAAAAGAAAAGCAATTAAGTCCTTAACCTGGTTATTTACAGAGAAAAGACATTCATGTTGTGGAAATCAACCATGTATTTTTAGCTACTTCTCTCCCTTGAAATAAGGGGAGCTTAAATTTACTATTCACTAAATGCCAGATAGAAGACTAATTTAAAACATCTTTCTTTTTTATCATTTAATACATAGATTGAAGAGTAAGTCCTGGCCCCAGGCTTTGCTTTTCTGACCTCTGCCAGTCACAGTAGTGCTTTTTCTGGAAGTTCAGTCTGCTCCAACTGCAGCTTTGTGCAGGGACCCTCCGGGACTTTTCTAGTTTTGCTAGAATGCCTCATCTGCCTGTGAGCCTGGAACTGTAGAAGTCATTTTAGTTTTGTTTAGTCTTATTGTTTAATTTAAGAAAGTCTGATGTCCATGTTGCCGTAGTGGGTACATAGGACACTATCGGCTGTGAAAGAATGAAAAGCTTGTTCAGAGAAGGTCGAATGAGGACTATGTCTTCAGAAAACCTTGGGCTTAGCTGCCTGGGACAGTTTAGATCTGAGCTCAGAGGGGATTGATAGAGCAGTAGTATCTGTTGTTTTCCTTCTGCCGTTGGGAAGCTTTCTCTTAACATATAGAGACCCTGGGATGTGTGAGCATATTTATAGTAATTATAATTGTGAGACATGACCTAAGGAAGTATGTGAACTTGCTTTTGAATTTAGTTGTTTAAAAAAAAAAAGTGGAGTTTGAAAATATGAACCAGAGGAAGGCAGATCACACGGGTGGAGAGGAACGGCACTGTCTGGAGATGTATTGAGCATAGAAGGAGAGTTTGTTAGGAATTGCACACCCTGAGGGGAGAATGACACAGCCAATGTGATCTGAAAGCGACAGTACATTCATGCAGGGATGCCCACAAGCAGGTTGAGTGCACAGAAAGATAGACTCCTCATCACATTGCAGGCACTCTGCTGAATAACCCTTTGTTATATTTTGAGACTTTTCTTTTTTTTTTTTTTTTTTTTTGAGACGGAATCTTGCTCTGTCGCCAGGCTGGAGTGCAGTACATGATCTTGGCTCACTGCTCACTGCAACCTCCGCCTCCTCTGTTCAAGCGATTCTCCTGCCTCAGCCTCCTGATTAGCTGGGACTACAGGCGCACACCACCACGCCCAGCTAATTCTTGTATTTTTAGTAGAAACGGGGTTTCACCATGTTGGCCAAGATGGTCTTGATCTCTTGACCTCGTGATCCGCCCGCCTCGGCCTCCAAAAGTGCTGCAATTACAGGCGTGAGCCACGACGCCCAGCCGAGACTTTTCTCGTATAGCAGCAAAACCTAGACAGAATCTCTCCAGAGGGTAAAATATAGTGTTATTACACACATGATGATTCCAGTCAGCTGTGTTGTTTAGGGTTCTTCACTGCAAGCTATTCAAACAATGGGAAAGGGTATCTGAGGCTTTTGGAGCTGCCTGGAAGTTGAAGGACAGGGTCTGTAGCAAAGACCACACAGTAGGAAAGGGCAGGTTGGCATGCCCCTGCTGCCCCCACCCTGAAGAACTTCCAACTCCCTCGAAAGTCCTGTAGCTTCAGGACCCCAGAACTGGGTAGCACGTGTCCAAGGCTAGGCCTTCTTGTGCTCACCCCTGATTATGCCAGGGCTGGGAGAAAAGGATCTGGCCTTTCTAGCTGCTGTAGTGCAAAGCAGTCACTGCCTTCCACAAGGTAGAGACTCTCTTCTTTGGGAAGAGAGTCTGATCACAAGATAGCAAAAAAAGAAAACCAAAAAAAAGACACATGTAAACTATATCTATATTATACATATATTTATCTGCAGCTCAGTCTCTTCGCAAATATTAACGATCTTTTGCAGACAGCCTCTGTGCTTGCATAATGTTAATTTTCTTTTCCTTTAATGGTTTGTCAATTGTTTTTTAAAACAAAACAAAAAAAACCTTAGCACTCTCTTCTTAAAGTTAGTCTTTATTTTTATTAAGTTGTATGTGTTCATCATTTAAAGAATCATAGTCAGCCGGGCAAGGTGGCTCACACCTGTAATCGCAGCACTTTGGGAGGCCAAGGCAAGCGGATCACCTGAGGTCGGGAGTTTGAGACCAGCCTGAACAACATGGAGAAACCCCATCTCCAGTTAAAAATACAAAAATTAGCCGGGCATGGTGGTGCATGCCTGTAATCCCAGCTACTCAGGAGGCTGAGGCAGGAGAATTGCTTGAACCCAGGAGGTGGAGATTGCAGTGAGCCAAGATCATGCCATTGCACTCCAGCCTGGGCAACAAGAGCGAAACCATCTCAAAAAAAAAACAAAAAACACAGTCTATCTAGTTTCTAATGAAGAGCACCACTCCCTGTCCCCCTATTTTCTACTCCCCAGAGAAAACTATTTTCAATCCTTTTTAGCTTATTTATTTGGTATTCATCTTGGTATTTCTAAAAAGCAAAATGTGGCTATGTCGTAATGTTTCCATTTTAGCATTATTTATCCACTTTCCACTACGGAAAATGACAGTTTTGTTGTTTCTCAACATTTCGTGCCTGACTATCCAGATATACATACTCTTGTTCCCCCATCCTCCCAGGTAAATTATATTGGGTGTTAGCATGTGCTTTCATTGTTATGACCATATCAGCACTACTTGCAATGAAGCCATGAGTTATACTATGACTACTTTTTTCTTCCAGTACTACCTTTAATTTTTCTTGATGTCAGTACTTGGATTTTTGTCATTTGCTTAGATTTTCTGTGCTTCTCATGAATTTGACCCCAAAATCTCCCTCTAATTGTATAAATCTCCTTTCCATATAAACACACTAGGTATTCTATGAATTTTATCTTTTTAAAAGAAAATCTCTTCCTGAGCTTTGTGACCTGCTCTAGCCTGGACCCTGGACTAGTCACTCTCCAGACCTGTTAAAGAGCTATTGTCTTGGGATCTTCCTTCACTGTCACTCAGGGGACTCCCTTCAGCTGTTTCTTGCTTGCTATATCCCATGTCATCCCCTTTCTTGGTTTTCTCTGTCATTTTGATGAAGCCATATTTTCCTTAGTTTCTTAAGAAAGCAAATATTTTTTAGTTTGTTTCAGGAATTGTTTCCCTGAAAATTTTAAAGGCCCTGCTAAGTTGTCTCCTACCCTCCAGGGTTCCTTTTGAATTTGATTTATTCTGATTTTTTTTCCTATTCTGATTTGACCCTTTGTATAATGACTTGTTTAACCTCTGGAAGCTTTTCGCTTTTCTTTATCTTTGATATTCTGTAAATGCACTAATGATGTGACTTGGGCATTTGCTACACCCTTTTTTTTTTTTTTTTTTTTTTTTTGAGACAGGGTTTCGCTCTTGTTGAGGCTGGAGTGCAATGGCGCAATCTCCCGGGTTCAAGTGATTCTCCTGCCTCAGCCTCCTGAGTAGCTGGGATTACAGGCAGGCACCACCACGTCTGGCTAATTTTGTGTTTTCGGTAGAGATGGGGTTTCTCCATGTTGGTCAGGCTGGTCTCGAACTCCCGACTTCAGGTGATCCGCCCGCCTCAGCCTCCCAAAGTGCTGGGATTACAGGTGAGCCATCGCTCCTGGCCTAGACACTTTCCATCTACGAAATTTTCTTGAATTAATTTATTGATGCCATCCTCCCCTCTGTTCTCTCTGTTCTACCTTTCTAGAACTTCTATTAGTTAGACACTAGAACTCTTGGACTATTCTTGGACTATAAGTTTTTGTGCCTTTACTCTCCTTTTTTTTTTTTTTTTTTTTTTTGAGACAGGGTCTCCCTCTGTCGCCCAGGCTGGAGTGCAGTCGCATGATCTCGGCTCACTGCAGCATTGATTTTGTGGACTCAGGCAATCCTCTCACCTCAGCCTCCAGAGTAGCTGGGACCACAGGCATGCACCACCATGACTTGTTAATTTTGTATTTTTGTAGAGATGGGGTTTCACCATGTTTCCCAGGCTAATCTCAAACTCCTGAGCTCAAGGAATCCACCCACCTCAGCCTCCCAAAGTGCTGGAATTACAGGTGTGAGCCACCACACTCAGCCTGCTCTCCTGTTTTCTATCCTTGCCTTTTTCGTTCTGAAAGCTTTCTTCAATTTTGTCTTTGTGTTGAGTTGTTTGGTTCTGCTATCAAAATATATGTGTTTCTAGAGTTCTTTTTTGTTCTCTGAATATTCTTTTTTAAATTGGTATTATTGACTCATTTAATGTATGAAACAATACAGAAACTAGAAAATATAAATACTTATGTTAGAAGGCATTTTCTGACAGAGAACATCAGTTAACCAGCTTCATAAGTTGTAACCTCAAACCAGAGAAATTCACCTAAAATATACAGAATTTTATTATATTAATTTTTAGTGTCTGTAAAGGTTATGTCTTATCTCTCTTTTTTAATGCTCCTTTTTAAAACTTATGTCTTTATCTGTAAGCCTCTTTATTCTTCTAAGTTACTTTTTTCTTTTAGTTTGTTTTGGTCTGTCTTTCATAATAAATGCTTTCTTAAATTTCTGTTGATACTTGGCTATCTTCTCATATTTAAAAACAGGGCACTCAGAGGCTGAGGCAGACAGATCACTTGAGGTCAGGAGTTCGAGACCAGCCTGGCCAACATGGTGAAACCCCATCTCTATTAAAAATACAAAAATAAGCTGGGCTTGGTGACGTGCTCCTATAATTCCAGCTACTCAGGAGGCTGAGGCACAAGAATTGCTTGAACCAAGGAGATGAAGGTTGTAGTGAGCCGAGATTGTGCCACTGCATTCCAGCCTGTGTGACAGAGTGAGACTCTGTTTCAAAAAAAAAAAACAGAGGGGGCCACTACAAAGCAATTTGAGAGTTCTGTGCTTGTGGGTGAAGTTTATGGACTGTGGCATTCACTATAGAGTGATCTTCATGAGTTGTTTCCTTGGGGTACATCTGATATTTGTTTCTTTAGGTATTTTATCTTGGTTGGTCAGATCCTGTTGGTAAATTTTAAATTTTGCACTATTCGTTTTCTGTCCCTTTCTTGCAGTCTCTAGGTGTGTGCAGTCTTAGGATTCTCATAGATAAAAGTAACTTCTCTAGGTTTCTGCTTCTTCCTTTAGATGTCTTTTTGACTCTCCTCACATTCTTATGTGCTTCCATGGCAATGAGCAGTTTGACAAACTTTTTAAAAAGTAAACAAGAGTTGGTGGGAGTAAACATGAGACACCTAGAATACAAAGTGGGAGTCACTTTCAGTGCCTTATTTTTCCTTAGTCATATTTGATCAGAAATTGGATGAACCTTCGGGATGCTGAGACAGGGAAGATACTCTGGCAAGGAACAGAAGACCTGTCTGTCCCTGGTGTGGAGCATGAAGGTACTTTCCAACCCTTTATCTACACAGGGCTGTGACCAATGCCAGACTAGCACCTGAGCATAAGAGAGCTAAGTTAACACATACCTAATAGGCGGGTGAGCCCCTGAAGACACAGCATGTTAATCCATGTGTTGTTGACAGTTTCAGTTACTTTCTTTTTTTTTTTTTTTTTTTTTTTTTGAGACACAGTCTTGCTCTATCACCCAGGCTGGATGGAATGCAGTGGTGTGATCTTGGCTCACTGCAACCTCTGCTTCCCAGGTTCCAGCGATTTTCATGCCTCAGCCTCCCGAGTAGCTGGGACTACAGGCGTGCGCCACCACATCTGGCTAATTTTTGTATTTTGAGTAGAGATGGGGTTTCACCATGTTGGCCATCCTGGTCTCGAACTCCGGACATCAAGTGATCTGCCCGCCTCAGCCTCCCAAAGTGCTGGGATTACAGGTGTGAGCCACCACGCCCAGCCAGTTACTTTCTTAACAGTTCTTTCTCTCACTTCCCAAAACCCATTTTGTGCTGATATTTTACCATTAGAACATACCCAAAGATAGAAACTAAGATCTCAACTTTTTCTCCAAAAGAAAATTTGCATTTTTATCTCCCTGAAGTAAAGAAGAAGGAAGGGGTTAAAATCACCAGAACAGAGTAGAGAGAAGGTACCCATGCAGCCCCCTTCCTGATGAGAGTAGTTAGATGAGGCCCTTAGATGCACAAAACCTGGTGTTCCTTGAAGATCTAATATCTTTCAGATACGGGTGACCAATTAGAGACCTCTGCTTTCAGCCACACAAAGTGTAATGCACTTACCAAGGCATTATCCAAAATGTAAGAAAGTGTTCTCTAAATCAGCTGTAAGAAAGTGTTCTCTAAATCAGCTGTAAGAAGCTCCCAGAAATTTGAAGCATCATAGTCCTGTGGTTTTCATTTAGAAAGGCTTCAACATTTGTTTTTCTCTTACCAGCCCGTGTTCCCAAGAAAATCCTCAAGTGCAAGGCAGTGTCTCGAGAACTTAATTTTTCTTCGACAGAACAAATGGAAAAATTCCGCCTGGAACAAAAAGTTTACTTCAAAGGGCAATGCCTAGAAGGTATTCTGCTGCCTACATGCCTGAAATCAGGGCTTAGGGCGACCAGGACAAAAGGCAACAATACCCAGTGAACTAAAGCAGTGCTTTGATAACATTCCTTTTACAACTCAGTTTGTGGTAGGATTCCTACACTCTGCAAGACTGTGAATCCCCAGTGAAACAAACCAAAACAAAGCTAGCCACTACAAGGGGCTTTGAGGTCTCTGACACTGGGAGCGTGGATGGTGGTGCCTGGTTTAGGCACTGACGTTGTATTGTGATATGATCATGGAGGAAGCTGCTATGAGCAGGGCCTAGTACAGTGCTCTACATACAGTATCATACAGATTTGACTGGCAAGGCCACTCTGCATTGAATTCTCACCATGCAGTGTAAAGGGCACATAAGCCCCTTCAAGCTAATTCCAAGTGAATTTAACTATGTATCTATATATAGTTCACATCTAGCCTACCTCTAAGAAAATGCTGCTTATATTGTGTCCTGCTCGCTGGTCCTAGTCCTTTAGACCTCAAAGCATGAGAAGCAAGCCTTTGGTGTGGTTCAGAGGACAACCTGAGCAGGCTTCCCTGTCTTTTTTACGCCCCTGGTCTGAGAGGTTGCTGATAGCTTCCTTTGGTGGTTCTCAGGGTAGGAAGAGGCTCACTCTAGAGAGGGAGACAAAGAGCCCTTAAACTTTATACTGGGGCACCTGCTCACCCCGGCTTTTCCTTCTTCCTTCAGAATGGTTCTTCGAGTTTGGCTTTGTGATCCCTAACTCCACAAATACCTGGCAGTCCTTGATAGAGGCAGCACCCGAGTCCCAGATGATGCCAGCAAGCGTCTTAACGTGAGTGAGCAGGTCTCAGGAAATTATGAAGTGTGTCTAGAAACAGGCATTCCAGGCAGGTGGGACTCCTGGTGCCATTCAGTGGGCAGAGAGCTCGGTTGAGAAATAGAGTAAAAGAGTATCCAAGGGTATCTAGGTTTCCAGGTTCCTGACCTTTTTCATATGAAAAAGACAGTATGATAGAGTAGAAAGAATAAAAAACTAAAAATAAAAATAAAACTTTAGATTAAACCAGATTTAAATTCCTGATTCACCCTGACTACCTGTGTCATCTTGGGCACTAATATACTTTATCTCTCTGAGCCTTAGTCTTTCATCTCTAAACACAGAAATTAATTCTGTCTTACAGAGGTGTAATGAAGATAAAATGTGATGACATGGAAGGAGACTGGCATTTAATATATATACCGAATCTATGTTAATTTGCTCCCATTCCTGACTACCGTACTTCCGGTATCTCTGTATTTTGTTTAGATCACCTTTAACAGAATCTGGCAAAGTCCTATTAATAATTCTGTTTTCGAGGATACTACTTGGTTACAGTTTTTTGGAGAATGGCTTACCATATTAATAGCTTTGGTTCCTGTTCCAAGAACAATTTGTTTGTGCTTTTTCCAAAAACACTGTCAATAACTTCCTACCTCCCATTGTCTGTGGGAAAGATGTTAGTCTCTCAAATGTTATAGTAATAGTACCTTCTAAAGAGTTAGCTGGGCGTAATGGCACACACCTGTAATCCCAGCTACTCAAGAAGCTGAGATAGGAGAATTGCTTGAACCCAGGAGGTGGAGGTTACAATGAGCCAAGATCATGTCACTGCATTCCAGCCTGGGTAGCAGACCAAGACTCTATTTCAAAAAAAAAAGAGTTAGTCCCACAGATAATTGTGTAATATTGGATCATCTCTTTCAACAGTTCCTTTATGAAAGCCATATTGAATTTGTTAAAAATTGAGGTTATTGACTTTAAGGTTTTTTGTTTTTGTTTTGGGTTTTGTTTATTTTATTTTTTTAAAAAACAGGGTCTTGCCATGTTGCCCAGGCTGGACTCCAACTCCTGGGCTCAAGTGATCTTCCTAGCTCAGCCTCCTAAGTAGGTGAGACTACAGGCATGTGCCACCATGCCTGTCTCTACTTTTTAAGTTTTTTTTTTTTTTTTTGAGACAGAGTCTCGCCCTGTCACCCAGGCTGGAGTGCAGTGGCGTGATCTCAGCTCACTGCCAGCTCCGCCTCCCAGGTTCAAGCAACTCTCCTGTCTCAGCCTCCCAAGTAGCTGGGATTACAGGCATACACCACCACACCGGTTAATTTTTTTTTTGTATTTTTAGTAGAGACAGGGTTTCACCATATTGGTCAAGCTGGTCTCGAACTCCTAACCTCGGGTGATCCACCCGCCTCAACCTCCCAAAGTGCTGGGATTACAGGCATGAGCCACCGTGCCCAGCCCCTTTTTAAAGTTTTTAATAGTTTTTTTAACAGCCAGGTGTGGTGACACTTTCCTATAATCCTAGCTACTTGGGAAGCTGAGGCGGGAGGATTGCTTGAGTCCAAGAGTTTGAGACTAGCTTGGGCAACATAGATTTTGTAAGAGGCTGGGCGCAGTGGCTCACACCTGTAATCCCAGCACTTTGGGAAGCCAAGTCGGGTGGATCACGAGGTCAGGAAATCGAGACCATCTTGGCTAACACAGTGAAACCCCATCTCTACTAAAAATACAAAAAATCAGCTGGGCATGGCGGCACACGCTTGTAGTCCCAGCTACTCGGGAGGCTGAGGCAGGAGATCACTTGAATCTGGGTGCCGGAGGTTGCAGTGAGCCGAGATCACGCCTCTGCACTCCACCCTGGGTGACAGGGCGAGACTCCACCTCAAAAAAAAAAAAAAATTGTAATAGAATTTTTTAAAGTTTTAATAGTTTTAAAAGTAGATTTTTTTTTTTTTTTTTTGATATGGAGTCTCGCTCTGTTGCCCAGGCTGGAGTGCAGTGGCAAGATCTCGGCTCACTGCAAGCTCCACCTCCCAGGTTCCCATCTTTCTCCTGCCTCAGCCTTCCGAGTAGCTGGGACTACAGGCACCCGCCACCACGCCCAGCTAATTTTTCGTATTTTTAGTAGAGACGGGGTTTCACCATGTTAGCCAGGATGGTCTCGATCTCCTGACCTCGTGATCCGCCCGCCTCGGCCTCCCAAAGTGCTGGGATTACAGACGTGAGCCACCGTGCCTGGCCTAAAAGTAGATTTTTTAATTACAGTAGTAGCTATTTTTATATCTTATCAGCCAGTCAGATTCTGAGTACCTTATTTACCTGTTTTTTGGGGTTTTTTTTTTTGTTTTTTTTTTTGAGACGGAGTCTCGCTCTGTCGCCCAGGCTGGAGTGCAGTAGCATGATCCCAGCTCACTGCAACCTCCGCCTCCCAGGTTCACGCCATTCTCCTGCCTCAGCCTCCTGAGTAGCTGAGACTACAGGCACCCGCCACCACGCCCGGCTATTTTTTTTTTTTTATATTTTTAGTACAGACGGGGTTTCACCATGTTAGCCAGGATGGTCTCGATCTCCTGACCTCATGATCTGCCCGCCTCAGCCTCCCAAAGTGCTGGGATTACAGGCATGAGCCACCATGCCCGGCCTATTTACCTGTTTTATAATTAATTACCAGCAGAAATGTATCTGCTGGTTATTAATTACCCTGGGAAAGTACAGAGTAGTTTAGGAAAGCAGGGGTTTTTTTTTTTTAGATTTTATTAAACTTCATTTGACTTCTTCTTCACGAGGCGTGATTTTTTGTTGCTGTTTTTTTTTGAGACGGTCTCGCTCTGTCTCAAACCTATCATAAGATGAAAATATCATAAGTCAAAAATGCATTTAATATCCCCATAAATCCACTATAAAGTTGAAAGATCATAAGTTGATTCATTATAAGTAGGGAACCAACTATACTTAACTTTTTATTTTTTATTTTTTTTTATTTTTTTTGAGACAGAGTCTCGCTCTGTCGCGGAGGCTGGAGTGCAGTGGCGTGATCTCGGCTCACTGCAAGCTCCGCCTCCCGGGTTCCCACCATTCTCCTGCCTCAGCCTCCCGAGTAGCTGGGACTATAGGCGCCCGCCACCACGCCTGGCTAATTTTTTTGTATTTTTAGTAGAGACAGGGTTTCACCCTGTTTAGCCAGGATGGTCTCAATCTCCTGACCTTGTGATCCGCCCACCTCGGACTCCCAAAGTGCTGGGATTACAGGCATGAGCCACCGTGCCCGGCTACTTAACTTTTTAGAACCCCCAAAAACAGTTGCCCTAAACTCAGCTCAAGTGTGATTTGGTAAGGCCATGGTCTCTCCCATTTTACAAATGGGAGCACCGAGATACCCACCAAGAAAAATGAAATTCTTCCCTCACACCTCACAATACAGGTGCATCATTTAGTGTTCTGTAGTTGTAAGTCATAGAAACAGGCTCTGGCTAATACAAGAGCTGAAAGACTAAGGGGGAGAGCTGGGCGGCTTGGAAGATGCAGATGGGCAGGAATCCCTGGATGGCTTCCTCAAGGAGAAGCTACAGGAAGGATCTTGCTCAAGAGAAAGAGTCTGATTGGCCTAAGTTACATCCTCTGTTCACCCTTTTGCCAGGTGAGTGAGGGGCCACTCACTTGGCACATGGACTGGAGGAAGGGTGGTTCCCAAATGAAGAGCAAGGTGCTGTTACCCAAAGGCAGGAAAATAGATGTGGGCCAGGCCAAAGCCCACCTTTCGACTATTGTGAGTACTGTAGGGAAGGATACTGCCCCTGAGGTCTGCAGGCTTCTATATGTAAGCCAGCCAGAGGTGTCCATGAATGCAGTATCAGAAAGTCAGTCGGATCTATAAGCACCCTGTGTGCAGAGCACTCTACTAAGGGCTTTAGAGTGTACCAAGGAGTGGAGACATGCTCTCACTTCTGATTTGTGAGCTTGACAGGGATGAATGTAACCACATAAGTTAAATGTCATGTTAGACTTGTAGCCCCATATAGACAAGGATTTTAATGTCCCCAAGCTAAGACTCTGGGTGGGTGCATGTCCATTGGCCCAGGAATCCAGATGGAAACCACTTTGTGGAAATGAAATCTTGTGCCTAACATGCTCACTCTCTTTTGCCCTCTGTTTCTCTTCTTACTTACAGTGGGAACGTTATCATAGAAACAAAGTTTTTTGACGACGATCTTCTTGTAAGCACATCCAGAGTGAGACTTTTCTATGTTTGAAAGAAGAATGTGTGTACATTTCAAGAATTTGGGTTTTTTGGAGGGAGGAGGAAACTGTTTACTTTTTTCCTCCACACGTTTGATTTTTGACACATACACCCCTAATTCCCTCAACAGCAGAACCTACCTGCAGCCACCAGGGGACCAGCTCTGTGTAGGTAACCAGATGGCTCTTTTTCCCAAGCCACCATCTTCCAGCTGACCAGACTAAACTCCCAACCCCAGACCAGGGCAGGGGACAGGTCTCAAGTCCTTCCCAGCATACACACAGGGAACAAACACATACCACAAACCGGTAACTGTACCTGTCACCCTCCTTGTCTCCTCCTTGGGCCCTACAGGCTACACATCTACCTTTGGCCCCTGGTTTTGGAAAAATTCCGTGTTCCTGACCCATGTTTAGTTTTTTCCTACCATTTCTATTTCATACATTCTCATACATTTAACTTGTAAAATAGACTGTGATATTATTACATAATGTAATTAAAAATATGAATTAAAATATTCCTACAGTCTTTAGCATGGCACTGCTTTTATCTCTCCTTTTTCTGGAAAGTGAACCTGGCTGCATAATGGAAAGAAACCAAATATAAGATCACAACTGTATTTCACTCCAGGAATGGAACTGATAGATCTTGTTCCCTAGTGCCACAGTTACTGCTTTCCAAAATTGTGCAACATACTTGAACCAAACCCATGACCTTAACATTTGTCTTTTAGACACAATCTTTAATGGTTCTTTTCCACAACATACATGCACCCTTTGTTTGTTTATTATTGTTAATTTTTTCTATTTGTTTACAGTATTCATTTGTTCAAGAAGTTTCAAGAAAGGGCAATTCTAAGTTAGTAGAGTAGGGACTCTCATATTCCTAAATGAGACTAGAAGCTACAAAATGAAAAGATCTG